>NW_016107298.1:0-336529 GCF_000001405.40 Homo sapiens | reverse complement strand
AGTCTTTAATAAAGAAGTAGAGAAAGAAAACTCAAAAATGGACAAAGAATATGAAAAGATAATCACAAATGCTGAACCACCAATGGCAAATAAAACAGGAAAATACTTGTAAATTTGAGATAATGAGTTGTTTTGTCCATGAGGCTGAAAAAGACTGAGAATGCTCATCACATCCAGTGTCAGGAGGAAATGTGTTCTCTCCCACACTGCTGGTGGGTGTATATAATGAAGACCTTTCTGGAGGTCCGTTTTATGTTATCTAGCAAAATGTAGCCTGTATACTTTGACACAACAACCCCAAATTTATCCTAAGGAAATACACGGACAAGAGTACAGAGAACTTCAAGGATGTCTATAATATTGGTGTTTTTTTTTTTTTTTTCCAGACAGAGTCTGGCTCTGTTGCCCAGACTGGAGTGCAATGCAGTGGCATGATTAGAGCTCACTGCAGCCTTGATCTCCCAGGCTCAAGCAATCCTCCCACCTCAGCCTCCAGAGTAGCTGGGATGACAGACAGCATGCCACCATGCTCGGCTAATTTTTTTAAATTTTTGGTAGAGACAAGGTCTCACTATTTTGCCCGGGCTGGTCTCAAATTCCTGGGCTCCAGTGATCCTCCTACCTTGGCCTCCCAAAGTGTTGGAATTACAGGCGTGAGCCATGTGCCCAGCAATAGTATTGTCACAATATGGAAACAATCTAAATTAATAAGGTACTGGTTACATAATTGTACGTTAAAAAATGAAATACTACATAGTCATTTTAAATGGTTTATATCTCTCGTTATTGAGAACTGTGTGGAACATATTGTTAAATTTTTTAAAATTATAAAATGGTGTGCTTAAAATAATCATAGTTTGGTTTCATAAAAAAAGAAACCCTTCGAACATCTCACTCTAAAATACACAAACATATACACACACACATGCATGCACACACCTTTATTCATCTGCTAGAAGGGTGTATACCAGAATGTAACACTGAATTATCGGTCTAAGAGTAATGAGAATATGTGTGATGTTTAGTGTCTTTTCAAAAATACTTCTCTGAATTCAAAAAAAGATATTTTTCAACATGCAAAGACAATCGAACTTTTTTTTTTTTTAAAGGGAGGAGAGGTTATAAAAAAACACTGACCTGCACATGGAGGGATCAGGGAATCTTTAGATTCACCAAACACAATGCAGGAAAAAGGCTGGGAATTTTGCTAGGTAGTGTAAAATAATCTCTTTTTTCTGGGCAGTGGCCCAGCTACAGCTGCGGATGCCCCGAAGAGGGGGTGGAAGTGAGGAATGGGTTAGGGTACCTATTCCCCTCACACATTTACAGTCCCTGCCACCAGGAGTTTAGGCCTTGGCTCTGGTCACCAGCTCCTATGCAGGAAGAAAGCCCATCCCAAGAGGGCTGTCCTTCCCACAGAGCACTCTACACCTTACTGGTTACTCTCCTTTGTGCCATTTTATCAACCTGACTTCCCAAATCTCTCCTGACTCTATCTTCCTACTCCCCATCCAGGCTTGCAGGACTTCTAGACTAGTCTCCTCAAGGCTTTTGCTGTATCTATTCTTGGCCACTTCCAACTCATAACCTGAATGGCTGCTAGATTGAGCTTTCTCAAATCCAGGCATGATCATTTCAGTGTACTTTTTAAAAACCTCCAACAGCTCCCCAAAGCTCAGGATAAAAGGGGATAAAAGCTATACCCTTCAGGCAAGGCACAGTGGCTCACACCTGTAATCCCAGCACTTTGGGAGGCCGAGGCGGGTGGATCACGAGGTCAGGAGATTGAGACCATCCTGGCTAACATGGTGAAACACCATCTCTACTAAAAAAAAAAAATACAGGCCGGGCGCAGTGGCTCACGCCTGTAATCCCAGCACTTTGGGAGGCCGAGGTGGGCGGATCACGAGGTCAGGAGATCGAAACCATCCTGGCTAACACGGTGAAACCCCGTCTCTATTAAAAATACAAAAAATTAGCTGGGCGTGGTGGCGGGCACCTGTGGTCCCAGCTACTCGGGAGGCTGAGGCAGGAGAATGGTGTGAACCCGGGAGGCGGAGGTTGCAGGGAGCCGAGATCGCGCCACTGCACTCCAGCCTGGGAGACACAACGAGACTCCGTCTCAAAAAAAACAACAACAAAAAAGCTACACCCTTCAGCATAGCACCAATGGCCTAACTATCAGGCCCAGCCTCCACTTTCACCTCGCCCACAGAGCATCCTCTACTCCAGCCATGGAGAGCTGTCTGCCTGTTCCCAAACCTGCCAAGCTTTCCGTGTGTACCTCTGGCTATGCAACTTCTTCACCCTTCCGAGACCTTCCCCAGCTGCATCCCTGGGGTCCTCTACCAGTGGGCTCTTTGCCATTTGCCCTTCTTTGGGTTCAGTACCTGTTTGCAGATCCTATGTAAAGTCCCTGGACTAACGAAAGTGTTCATCTAGAGCCAAAATTTCATTTTACCTGAGAATCCAAGTCTTCTCCTTTCAAGCAGAGATTGGCATCGAGAACATTGAGTCCCACCAGCAGACCAACAATCACCATCCCTTCTTCCTCCATCATTAAAGCCTCAGGCTCATAGAACTCGCTGAAAGAGATGGACAGGACAGGGCGATGCTCAGAAACAGCTTCACCATCCCCACTCCTTCCCCACCCTGAACTGCCTTTTCACCTGTGCCCTGGAGCCAGAAGATACTGCTGTGGATTTCCTCCCTCCCTTTCATTTCTCTTCACTGCTTCAACGGCTGCTTTTTCTCCCGTCCTCTCCTCTCTTCCTGTGGCTTAGAATGGGCTCGCCTCTCCTCCTGTCTAAAGTTAACTCCTCCATGCAGACCCTGGACCCCAGTTCTCCTCGTCTCCTCTTGACTCCTGTCACTCTCCCCTCCTGTGTCTCCACTGGCTCCTGTTCTGTGTTGATATGAATTACTTCTCCACTTATGCTGATATAAACAGGAAATGGGATCCCACATCCAAGAATAACACTCCTCCTTCTTGCGTCCCACGGAGCAACATCTGTTGCTTTACTTCCTTTATTGCCCAGTTATCGCGGCCATTTGCAGGGGGTGGTCCATCCCCTGCCTGATATTGCTCTGGTCAGCAATGACTTGCTAATGTACCAAATCCAGTGGCATCCAGGCCACTGTGTGTGTGTGCGTATAAGACTTTTCTCTTAAGAATTAGTTCATTAGTAAAGTGAGGGATATGGTAATTACCCTGATTTCATCATTACATAGTGTATACATGCATAGTATCCCATAAATATGTATAATTTTGTATCGATTATAAATAAAAAATTGAAAAATACTTTGTTCATTAGAAGAAAATCTGTAACTCAAAGTTACTCAGTGTAACTACTCAGAGTATGTGAAATATTGTAAATCAGTATTTGTCGTGTAAAGATATGTTCGACAATGAGCCATGACTTGAAAACACTGAAAGGCTTGGGTTTTAGGCTATGCTGTAAAATGTATCTATTTCTCAATTACAAGAAAGCTTTAACTCTGGAAAGAGTCCTTCCTCGTAAATCATCACAGTCTAGAGAACATTCCTTTTATAATGATTATTGCTTACTTATAAATATAAAAAATGAACCAGTCATAAATTTCTGTAAATATTATATACTTATTTTTTTATTTTTTATTTTGAGACAGAGTCTTGCTCTGTTGCCCAGGCTGGAGGTACAGTGGTGTGATCTTGGCTCACTGCAACCTCTGCTTTCCTGGGTTCAAGCAATCCTCCTGCCTCAGCGTCCTGAGTAGCTGGGATTATAGGCATATGCCACCATGCCCAGCTAATTTAGTATTTTTAGCAGAGATGGGGTTTTACCATGTTGTCCAGGTTGTTTTTGAACTTCTGACCTCAAGTGATCAGCCTGCCTTGGCCTCCCAAAGTGCTGGGATTACAGGCATGAGCCACCACACCTGGCTGATACACTTATTTTAATTCAAAATGATCTACAGAACTATGTTCTAATTATTATTTTTTTGAGAAGGAGTCTCACTCTGTCGCCCAGGCTGGAGTGCAGTGGCGTGATCTCGGCTCACTGCAACCTCCGCCTCGCGGGTTCGAGCGATTCTCCTGCCTCAGCCTTCTGAGTAGCTGGGATTACAGGCACCTGCCACCACACCTGGCTAATTTTCGTATTTTTAGTCTCTACTAAAAATACGACACCATGTTGGCCAGGCTGGTCTTGAACTCCGGACCTCAAGCAATCCACCTGATCTTGGCCTCCCAAAGTGCTGGGATTACAGGTGTGAGCCACCGCACCCAGCCTATGTTCTAATTATTTACCAAGCAAAAGATAAGCAAACATGGTTGATGAAATACCTTAAGAGATGTTTATTGTCTATAAGCACTTTCAGATAATCTGCCAGTTTCTTTTGCATGAGTGCAAGATAAAGCCACGCTCGGCCTCTTCCCACAGCTGTCCTAGAATTCAAACAGAGAATCAACTATTGTGGCATAACAACAACAAACACAGAAAAGACACCTGATTTAGCCAGGGAGACACATAGGAAACACACCCTTGTAAATGCAGACGATACTCTAAGAATGGCTGTTTGGGGTTGGGGAGGGATGCACATGGCCTGGGCAGGCAGCGAAAATGGCTCACCACATACCTTTGAGTACTATTACAAATACAATTAGATAATGCTTTGCTTATAGTCATAAAATATCACAGGAAAATATCAGGTTAGATTTGTGTAATGGATAAACATTCCTTCAAAAGACGAATAGAGAACTTAGTGCTTGTTAAAGTGCTGAAGCTTATAAAATCTCTAAGGGGTTAGGGTTAGCTCAAACGTACTTTTTATTTTTTATTTTTTATTTTTTTTTGAGATAGAGTCTTGCCTGTTGCCCAGGCTGGAGTGCAGTGGTGCAATCTCAGCTCATTGCAACCTCCGCCTCCTGGGTTCAAGCGATTCTCATGGCTCAGCCTCCTGAGTAGCTGGGATTACAGGCATGCATCACCACACCTGGCTAATTTTTGTTTTTAGTAGAGACAGGGTTTTGCCATGTTAGCCAAGCTGGTCTCAAATTCCTGGCCTCAAGTGATCAGGCTGCCTTGGCCTCGCAAAGTGCTGGGATTACAGGCATGAGCCACTGCACCTGGCCTTAAAGGTATAATTTTATGTTTTATTATTAATTGTGGTAAGATACACAGAACATAAAATTTACCATGTTAACCATTTTTAATCTTACAGTTAAGTAGTGTTAAGTACATTCACAATGTTGTGGAACCAATCTTTTTTTTTTTTTTTTTCGAGATGGAGCCTCACTCTGTCACCCAGGTTAGAGTGCAGTGGCACAATCTTGGCTCACCGTTGTGATCTTGGCTCACTGCATCCTCCACCTCGCAGGTTCAAGTGATTCTCCTGCCTCAGCCTCCCGAGTAGCTGGGATTACAGGCACCTGCCACCACGCCCAGCTAATTTTTGTATTTTTAGTAGAGATGGGGTTTCCACCATGTTGGCCAGGCTAGTCTCAAACTCTTGACCTCAAGTAATCCACCCACCTTGGCCTCCTAAAGTGCTGGGATTACAGGCCTGGCCCCAATCTTGAAGGTGTAATTTTTCTGTATTCTAGCATTATCTCCAGAGAAGCAGAAAAGAAAGAAAAGAAGAGAAAAGAAAAGAAAAAAGGAAAAGGAAAGAAAGAAAGAACAGGCCTGCATTAAACATTAAAAGAAAAAAGGCCTCTCAAGTGCTGCTTGGTGAGACTGTAAACTTCACAACTTTCTTTTTTTTTTTGGAGACAGGGTCTTGCTCAGTCGCCCATGCTGTTGAATGGCATGATGATGGCTCCCTGCAGCCTGGAACTCCCAGGCTCAAGTGATAACCCTGCGTTAAGCCTCCGGAGTAGCTGGGACAGCAGGCACGTGCTACCACACCCAACTAATTTTTTTTTTTTGTAGAGATGGGGTTTTGCCACATTGTCCAGGCTGGTTTCAAACTCCTGGGCTCAAGCATTCTTCCCATCTCAGCCTCTCAAAGTGTTGGGATTATAGGCGTGAGCTGCTGTGCCTGGCCAACTGTGCAACTTTCTAGTGGCAATTTGATGACAACAGGTTACCAAAATTCTACATTTAGTAATATATCCTAGGGAAATAACTGAAGACGGACACAAAGAAGTATGTTTCGGGATGGTCACCTCATCATTATCACGGTTTGTGGTAACAAGAATTTGAAGACAGCCACAAGGCGGGGTTAAACAAAATTAGACAGACAACAGAATATTATTTGGCCATTTAAAAAATGATATTGTAAATGAATATTCGATACACAAAGAGATTTAAAATCTAATATTAAGTGGAATAAATGGAAAAAAGGCTACAAAACAGTATATGCACTTTAATGCTGAATTTTTTTTGAATGGGCAATATCTTCACTTGGTTTAAAACCTAGAAAGTAGGCCAGGTGTGGTGGCTCACACCTGTAATCCCAGCACTTTGGGAGGCCAAGTGGGGTGGATCACCTGAGGTCAAGAGTTTGAGACTAGCCTGGCCAACACGTTAAACTCCCATCTCAACTAAAAATGCAAAAAATAGCTGGGTGTGGTGGCTCATGCCTATAATCCCAGCTACTCAGGAAGCTGAGGCATGAGAATGGCTTGAACCCGGGAGGCAGAGGCTGCAGTGAGTCGAGATTGTGCCACTGCACTCCAGCCTGGGCTGGGCGATAGAGTGAGACTCTGTCTCAAAAAAAAAAAAAAAAAAAAAAAAAAGAAAACCTAGAAAGTATTAAAAGGCATATACTTGTCTCCTTGTCCTCCACCTTCCCATCCCCCTCCCCTATACACTAATATAGTGTCCTCTGTTTAAGTTCATTTCCGAAACATGTTTCTACACATGAAAACAGGTACCAAATATAAATTATTTTTCTCTCTCTTTTTACAAAAAAATTTAACATATTTTACATGCAGTTCTCAACCTGATTATTTCGCTGAGTATCTGTCATCTTGAAAATCTTTCCATATCAGTACACAGAGGACTTTACTTTTTTTATAGCTTTAGTGTGTCATTATTGGACAGCACCATAATTTATTTAGCTGGGTTAAAAAAAACTAGGGTGGTTCTAATCTCCTGTTACCAATAACGACTGCAATAGATCATTCTGTACATTCTGTGTCATTTTCATGTGTTACATGTGTAGGATAAAATGTATGTAAGTGGAATTGCTGGGTCAAAGTGCAGATGATTTTTTTTTTCTTTTTTTTTGAGATGGAGTCTCACTTCACTCTGTCATCCAGGCAGGAGTGGTGGCGTGATCTCTGCTCACTGCAACCTCCACCTCCTGGGTTCAGGCAATTCTCCTGCCTCAGCCTATAGTCCCAGCTATTTGGGAGGCTGAGGTGGGAAAGATCACTTGAGCCTGGGAGGTGGAGCTTACAGTGAGCTGAGAGACTGCACCACCACTGCACTCCAGCCTAGGCGACAGAGAGACTGTCTTAAAAAAAAAAAAAAAAAAAAACAGCCAGGCACAGTGGTTCACACCTATAATCCCAGCACTTTGGGAGGCTGAGGCAGATGGATCACCTGAGGTCAGGAGTTGGAGACCAGCCTGGCCAATGTGGTGAAACCCCATCTCTACTAAAGATACAAAAATTACCTGGGCCTGGTGGCAGGCACCTGTAATCCCAGCTACTTGGGAGGCAGAGGCAGGAGAATCGCTGGAACCCAGGGGGTGGAGGTAGCAGTGAGCCGAGATCACGCCACTGCATTCCAGCCTGGGCAACAAGAGCGAAACTCTATCTCAAAAAAAAAAAAAAAAAGAAAACATCAGGACGCCGTCTGTGTAGGTGCTTTACTCTTGAGGGAGTGAGTGAGCTGGACAGGAAGGGTATGAGAAATTGTACCATATAAAGAACAACTGAAGACGCAGGGCAGTAGACTTGAGAGGCTCATGAAAAAGGTCATTAAGGCCGGGTGTGGTGGCTCACGCCTGTAATCCCAGCACTTTGGAAGACCGAGGCAGGTGGATTACCTGTGGTCAGGAGTTTGAGACTAGCCTGGCCAACATGGCAACACCCTGTCTCTACAAAAAATACAAAAATTAACTGGGTGTGGTGGCACGTGCCTGTAATCCCAGCTACTCAGGAGGCTGAGGCATGAGAATCGCTTGAACCTAGGAAGCGGAGGTTGCAGAGAGCTGAGATTGTGCCACTGCACTCCAGCCTGGGCAAGAGTGAGACTCCTTCTCAAAAAAAAAAAGGTCATGAAATAAACATTTGAAAGCTTGGCAGGTGCAAAAGGCTTTAAATATAAGCGATGTAGGCCGGGCAGGCAGAATTTGCATAGAGGGCTTAAATCTAATCTTGAGAAGAATGCACAGGGCTTGGCAGCAATGGAGTTTCATGGGATTTGGAGGGCTTCAGGGCATAACAGACCTGTGTCCTCTTCCTGCTCCATCACTCACCTGCCAAGGCACCTCGGGCAAGTTACTCAACCACTCTAAGTCTCAGTTCCCACACTTGTAGATGAGGACACTAACAGCTATCCTAGAGGATGGCTGTGGAGGATTAAATGAGATAAATGAGAAGGAATGTTCTCAGCACAATGCCTGTCATTGAGCAGGTCCTGAGGGCAGTGGCTATTATTATTATTATCTGAAAATGGAATAGGCAGGCTCCCTAGGAGAAGGGTCAAATAAACGCTCAACAGTCCAGTCCCGTCTGGGAAACTCTGCAGAGGGTTCTTTTGCATTGGCTCAAGGATCCCTAAGACCCTTTCTAGATGCCAAATTCCATGAAGATGACTTATTTGTGTTCTGGACTGTTTTTGATTTTGAGCCTAAGCATAGCGATCCCAAGGACAAATCCAGACATGGCAAATAATTCGTTAGTCCCACCCTAACAAATTACAAATGTCCTTGGGCCTGGAATCTACAATCTGGCCCAAAATGTATTATTCAGAAAACTGCCCACCTGTGTCTGAAGCAGTGATTCCGGGAGTGTACCAGTAGTTCCTTTTCCTCCTGTGAGTGCCCTTTGGTTGACAACACCTTTTCAACCTATTTGGCCTGTGTGGCAAGCAGGAATCACTGTCCCCATTTTAAAGAAAAGGAAACTGAGGCTCAGAGAGAGTCAAGTCTTGCTAGAGATCATGTGGATAATGAGCAGCAGAGCTCTTTCCAATTAGAAAGGGCTTCATCAGCAAGGAATTGAGAAATGAGTAAATATGAGGGAGTTTTTAAAATCATCAAATTGGCAGAACTACTTCTCACTCACTTTAATTCTGGAAGATTTCTGACACTAGTCGCTATATCTGATGCTTCTGGACAAAGTTTCTCCACCAGCTCCAAAGGACCAAAGAATGATTTATTTTGGCCAATAAAACTCTTCTTAACTAAAAGGAAAAACAAAAGTGTTATTCATAAGAACAGGTTGCAAAATTTCTTCAGGGACCCACAGCCTCTCCCCACAAAAGCCAAGTGGAAGTGAAAGCTGCTAAACTTCACTGCTTAATCCTTTTTTAAAAATCTTTTTTGAGATGGAGTCTTACTCTACTGCCCAGGCTAGAGTGCAGTGTGCAATCTCAGCTCACTACAACCTCTGCCTCCCGGGTTCAAGCAATTCTCTGCCTCAGCCTCCTGAGTAGCTGGGGTTACAGGTGCCCACAACGCCGGGCTAATTTTGTATTTTTAGTAGAGACGGGGTTTCACCATGTTGGCCAGGCTGGTCTTGAACTCCTGACCTTGTGATCTGCCCGCCTCGGCCTCCCAAAGTGCTGGGATAACAGGCGTGAGCCACAGCGCCCGGCCTGCTTAATCCTTCTTGATTTACTCTTGGGGACTGGGAGAGGCCATGTAATAAATTAGTCTCTCTTTCTCTGGCAACAGAGTTTCTCTGATATGCTTACTGTGCTCTTTCTGGAAGTATGTATTGCCCATGGAATAAAACAGGCGCCTCAGCCGGGCACAGTGGCTCACACCTGTAATCCCAGCACTTTGGGAGGCCGAGACGGGTGGATCACGAGGTCAGGAGATCGAGACCATCCTGGCTAACACGGTGAAACTCCGTCTCTACTAAAAATAAAAAAAAAATTAGCCGAGAGTGGTGGTGGGCGTCTGTAGTCCCAGCTACTCGGGAGGCTGAGGCAGGAGAATGGCGTGAACCTGGGAGGAGGAGCTTGCAGTGAGCCGAGATTGCACCACTGCACTCCAGCCTGGGGGACAGAGCGAGACTCTTCAAAAAAAAAAAAAAAAAAAAAAAAAAGAAAGAAAAAAACAGTTGCCTTATAGGCTCATCTACTATGAAATTCTTCCCCCTTTTTTTCCTTGATGGCATAATCAAGGATTTATTTTTTTTTGTTTTTTTCAGATCCTCATCATCTGTACTGCTGTAATTGGTCTTCCTGCTCCTAATACTGTCACCTCCCCACCATTACAATCTGTTCTCTACATAGCTAGAAATTCTTTTAAGAACTGAAGTTAGGACACATTTCTCCCTTTAGGATCTTCCAAAGACACTAAGAATAAAATGCAACTCCTCATCTGACCTTTAAGGACATATATGGTCCAGCCTCTCCCTACTCCCCTGACCTCATGTCCTCCCCTCCTCTCCCTCAGCACACTTAGCACACCTGTTACCTGGAGTCTTTCTCAAGCTGAGGAAGGTTGGTCCCACTCAGAACCTTTGCATCTGTTTTAATTAATTAATTAATTAATTAATTAATTAATTTTTGAGATGGAATCTCACCCTGTAGCCTTGGTTGGAGTGCAATGGTGCAATCTCAGCTCACTGCAACCTCCGCCTCCTGGGTTCAAGAGATTCTCCTGCCTCAGCCACTCGAGTAGCTGGGATTACAGGCATGCGCCACCACGCCCGGCTAATTTTTGTGTTGTTAGCAGAGGCAGGGTTTCACCATGTTGGCCAGGGTGGTCTCCAGCTCCTGAGCTCAAGCGATCCTTCCGTCTCGGCCTCCCAAGGTGCTGGGATTACAAGGCGTGAGCCACCGCGCCTGGCCTAATAAGGCTTTTAAATATTGAATATGTGTTGAATGATATTTTGGATATACGGGTTCCATGAAATATATTATTAACACTAATTTTAAAACATTTTAGCAAATTAGGTTAACTTTTTTTTCTTAATTTTTAAAAGTTTTATCCCCACAGAAAGGCATCTCATCTAACACTTTTTTTTCTTTTTTCTTTTTTTTTTTTTTTTTTGAGACGGAGTCTTGCTCTGTTGCCCAAGCTGGAGTGCAGTGGCGCGATCTCAGCTCACTGCAACCTCCGCCTCCCGGGATCACGCCATTCTCCTGCCTCAGCCTCCCGAGTAGCTGGGACTACAGGCGCCCGCCACCACGCCCAGCTAATTTTTTGTATTTTTTTTTTTTTAGTAGAGACCGGGTTTCACCGTGTTAGCCAGGATGGTCTCGATATCCTGACCTCGTGATCCGCCCGCCTTGGCCTCCCAAAGTGCTGGGATTACAGGCGTGAGCCACCGCGCCCAGCCTCATCTAACGCTTTTAAAGTAACCTGGCTACCAGAAACTTTAAAATTGCCTATATAGCTTGCATGCTATTTCTATTGGCCAGCGCTGCTCTAGGACGTCGCTTCTGAATACAGGAACCTTGCCTGTTCTGTACACTGCTGGCATTTCAGCATCTAGAAGGATGTCTGGCGCTGATGAAAAAATGCTGAGCAAACACCCAGCCCGAACTTCCACGCTCCCAAACGCCCCCTCAGGCTCACCTTTCAGCCCATGTTTGAGGCAGTGCTCCATCACTACAAAGAACTGCTGCAAGGGGGCATGGTCCGCATCCAGGCTGCGGCCCAGGCTCAGAGCCGACTGGAGCAACACCTTGATGCTGAGTTTCATCATGTGCATCAGGTTGGCACGCTCCTCCATCATCTGGCACTTAGAAGCTGTGGGGCAGGAGCAGGGATAGCTTCGTTAGTGGACTGAGCGTGGGCAGGTCAGACTCCGGGCAACGGTGAGAAGACGGGTCAGGCAGGAGGCCAGGCGGTCTGCTTAGGGAACGGACGTGCTGGCGGGCGGGCAACCGGGATTCGCAGGTAAGTAGTCCCTGATCCCTAGAGGCCACAGCCCCCTACCTGGACGGCGGGGCCTTGGGTCAGAAGAGCCACTGGGCCTCCTGCTCCAGAGGCCTCTCCCAGACGGCTCCGCGCGTTGCTACGGCGACGGCTTTAGCAAGACTCGCCGCGTTTGGCTTCTCCCGCAACCCCGGTTCCATTTTTGACCAATGGAAGGGCGCTACCTACAGGAAGCCCTGCCCCAAGCTCTTAGAGGGCGTGCTGTGAAAGCGTCCCGCCCCCAAACATTCCTATTGGGCGAGTCCAGCTCAAGGCCTCTCCTACGGAGCTGGTGGGCGCCATTTTGCACCCTCTGTCCCGGACGGAGGAGGATGCGCACCCCGCCCAGAAGGCTTTTCCAGCCTTCTCTCTTGCCGGATAGTGCCAGCCGGGTGCCTGCAGGGAAGCATCTTCCCCTCAGCTCCAGGCTCAAATTCTTGTTGCCGATCTTTCGTCCGCTACTAGTGGACAATTTTAGGTTTTACGCACACTTTGTTTTTTGGTAAGGAAAACCGTTGGAGTCAAATGAATTCAGAGAGTTCCATTTCAACTCCCATTATCTTGTCGCATTGCCTTGAGGGTGTAATAAAGACTGTCTGCAATTATCATCAGATATCTATACGTGCTGGCCAAATGTTCTCTGAAACCCAGTAAGCTGGTATCCTAGAAACTAAAAGTTTAGATCCCAAAGTAAGAGTCCTGGCAGGAAAGTCCCAGGTGCGAAGCGCGGCCCTCACCCGGGCGCGCGCGCGCGTTTACATTGTCTTGGAAATATTTGCCAATTGGAATGGGGGCGGGGGATCGTATTGTTTTTGGTTTGCAGCTGTCCAATTACTACTGAGGTTAAATAACTTCTGTTTATTCTCTGCTAGTATTTCTTCTGTGAATTGCTTGCTCAATTGACTTTCGTGTTGAATTGCTTGCCTTTGTCTTACTGACCTGTATATTTTGGATACTAATCCTTTACCTGTTTTATTTCACCAGCATTGATTAATATGGACAATTAAAGAGCATATTTATACGTACTATATTTTTATATAGTTAATTACAGTTAAATCTGAACGATAATATTATGGCCGTGAACTTGTAGTAAAGGTCTTAAATAAATACTGAGACATCCTGGGACTAAAAATTCAAAATTATCTCAGCAAAACCCAAGAAGGTAGGGGGAGAGCTGCTGGGCAAGAAGAAACAGCCTAAGCATTTCACCTTGGTTGTGGAGAGGGTTAAAAGTGGCTTAAGTAAAGCATTTCGTTGGGGGTGGTATAATTTTTTTTTTTTTTTGAGATGTTGTTTCACTCTTGTTGCCCAAGCTGGAGTGCAATGGCGCCATCTCGGCTCACTGCAACCTTCGCCTCCTGAGCTCAAGCAATTCTCTTGTTTCAGACTCCCGAGTAGCTGGGATTACAGGCATGCGCCACCACGCCTGGCTAATTTTGTATTTTTAGTAGAGACGGGGTTTCTCCATTTTGGTCAGGCTGGTCTCGAACTTCCAACCTCAGGTGATCCGCCCGCCTTGGCATCCCAAAGTGCTAGGATTACAGGCGTGAGCCACCATGTCTGGCCAGTATAATTATTTTTATATTTCGAGAGAAGCCTATGTATTATATTTATAAATTTTAAAACTGTAATGGATGATTGGCAAAGGAAATAAAACTTGTAAAACTTCATCAAGAGAAGGGAGAAACTCTGAAGACAGCAATAACCATAAAAGCAATTTGTAAAGATTTATCTTTAAAGAAGACACCAAGCCCAGTTCTATCATCTAGTGGTCTTGAAATTGGAATACATATACAGCAGTCTTGCCAAAGCTAGGTATGCCCAGATGTTTTAAGGAACTCAATTTCCAGATTTTCAAGTTTCACAGGCACTCTTTCTCCTCCCTCTAAAGAAGGGCAACTCACTCCATAACCTGTCTTCCTCTTGATACGGTGACCTGGGGTGCCCTAGGTTCCATACACCAAATGGAGGTGGTGTCGCCCTTGATGATTAAGTAATCAAAAACATGAAGACCAGCCTTTTACTGCTTTATGGTATTCAGTTAAGCTTGGTCTTGGGGCAGAGGGGTGGTCTCTAACCCTCTGCTTGGGTGTCCTAAATTTAGAAAATTAAATTTTTCTCCCTACAAATCTATGTAATTATGTTCAACCAGTCAATATTCACAACCCTAAGATGTGCCATTAGCTTGATGGCCATTTTCCGTAAATTAAATGAGCCCAAACTGCAGCTAAGTATTTGATGAAAATGGATTTGAAATACATGATAAACTAAAAGTATTTTTGTCAAAAAGTACTGTATTGGCAAAGGTGAATGAAATAAGCAATACTCAGATGTCTCCAACCATTCTGAGTATTCTGGGTTAAACAAAGTGCCTAAGTGAAAGAATAAGAAGTGAAATTATCCCTTGATAAGTCTTTTTTTCTTTTGAGATGGAGTTTTGCTCTTGTTGTCCAGGCTGGAGTGCAATGGCACGATCTTGGCTCACTGCAACCTCCGCCTCCTGGGTTCAAGAGATTCTCCTGCCTCAGCCTCCCCAGTAGCTGGGATTACAGGTGCCCGCCACCATGCCCAGGTAATTTTTTGTATTTTTAGTAGAGACGGGGTTTTACTATGTTGGCCAGGCTGGTCTCGAACTCCTGACCTCAGGCCATCCACCTGCCTCAGCCTCTCAAAGTGCTGGGATTACAGGCATGAGCCACCGTGCCTGGCTCACACTTGATAAGTCTTGGTAAAACTTTTGTTTTGGTAACTCCCAACAGTTGAGAAATTTTCTTAATATGATTAGGTTGCAGGTCAGGTAATTTTCAATTATTTGCTTTGAATGAAAATAAGGGAACAAAAAATAATTTTTGGCTTTAGATCAGTGTGATTTGGGGCATATAACTTGGAAAGAGTTCAAAGATGACCAACATTACTAAAACAAACAAACAAAAAACAGGACTAAAACTGATGCTGAATTCTATCACGCTTTAGCAGTAAATCATATATATTCATCTACAGATATATGCTAATGACAAAAACCAACACCATTCATCTCATTTAGAGATGCAATTCATTGGCTGGGCGTGGTGGCTCACGCCTGTAATCCCAGCACTTTGGGAGGCTGAGGCAGGCAGATCACCTGAGGTCAGGAGTTCGAGATCAGCCTGGCCAACATGGTAAAACCCGTCTCTACTAAAAATACAAAACTTAGCTGGGCGTGCTGGCGTGCACCTGTAGTCCCAGCTACTGGGGAGGCTGAGGTGGGAGGATCACTTGAACTCGGGAGGCGGAGGTTGCAGTGAGCCGAGATTGCGCCACTGCATTCCAGGCTGGGCAACAGAGTGAGACCCTTCTCAAAAAAAAAAAACGCAATTCAAGAAAAATTTATGTATAATTCTTTATAAAAATTATATTTATGTTCCTGTTACCAATGTAGCATTACTAATAAACTTAATGATAATTCACTCCAGAAGAAAAATTTTTATACACTTAGAGCTTCAGTCACAATAAAAATTTATTAAACTTTAACTTATTTACATACTTTTTGCTGAGACTTATAAGATGACCAATAACACTTTTAAAAACATACAAATCTATTACATTAATTCTATGGCAGAAGTGGAATGGAAATCCAAGTTCAATGAATAAAAGGGAAAATGTAAAATTTTCAAATATTAAATAACTTGCTATTTTAAAGATGGATGGTGGTAATTATCAATTCATTAAGGTATTTACATACCACTTGATACATTTCAAAAAACAATGTAACAGTTTTATTTTAAAAAGTCAATATTTACACTATGCCAGAAAATGAATTCTGAGCAACTTTAAAATATGATGAATAATCTTATACGTTAACTTTAAAAGTTAAGTTTTCGGCTGGGAGCAGTGTCTCATGCCTGTAATCCCAGCACTTTGGGAGGCCGAGGTGGGCAGATCACTTGAGGTGAGCAGGTCACTTGAGGTCAGGAGTTTGAGACCAGCCTGGCCAACATGGTGAAACCCTGTCTCTACTAAAAATCCAAAAAATTGAGAAACACCCAAGAATGATCAATTAAAAAAAAAAAAAATCCAAAAAATTACCTGGGCGTGGTGGTGCATGCTTGTAATCCCAGCTGCTTGGGAGGCTGAGGCAGGAGAATCGCTTGAACCTGGGAGGCGGAGGTTGCCGTGACCCGAGATCACGCCATTGCACTCCAGCCTGGGTGACGAGCAAAACGCCGGCTCAAAAAAAAAAAAAAAAAAAAAAAAGTTGGGAGTTTTCTTAGGGGGTTACATGAGCAAAAAATGTTAAGACCAGTGTTCCAGGCAATCAGCGCTGGGTGGTGCTGTCTCTGGAAGTGCTGCTGGCAGTGTTTTGCCATCTCATGCATCCCCTACTATGGGGTTACCTGTACCCATTAGCACTCAAGTTAGAGGCATGGAAAATTAAACCTGGAACGATCTTTTAGCGGTTCTATCTCTCAATTTTACTGGCTTTGTGACCTTGGCCAAACTATTCACATCTCTAAGCTTCATTAATAATAGTTCAACATGACACAGAGAATATCGTGAAGTTCTACACCTACTGAATTGCCAAATAAATTGCCAGGCCAGTATCAGACTCCTGGGCTCAAGCAATCCTCTCTCGTTGGCCTTTCAAAGTACTGGGATTACAGGCATGAGCCACCTGCACCCCGCCAGCATGTTAATTCTTAAAACACGCATGTTTGTTACTCATCCTTTAGGAAGCATTACTCTAAAAAGCAAGATACATTCCTTGTGGGTACATCCTATTGCTTGCGTGAAAACAGCCAGTGTTGAGAGAGGAAAGCACATGTGCTATGTGCGGAAACTCTCAAAGATACAATAGTACTGGGGAAAATTTCTGGGAAGGAGGATTTAGTATTTGTCCTTTTTTTTTTTTGAGACAGAATTTTGCTCGTCACCCAGGCTGGAGTGCAGTGGCGCGATCTTGGCTCACTGCAACTTCTGCCTCCTGGTTTCAAGCAATTTTCCTGCCTCAGCCTCCCGAGCAGCTGGGATTACAGGCGTGCGCCACCACGCCCATCTAATTTTTGTACTTTTAGTGGAGACGGGGTTTCACCATGTTGGCCAGGCTGGTCTCAAACTCCTGACCTCAAATGATCCGCCCGCCTCGGCCTCCCAAAGTGCTGGGATTACAGGCATGAGCCACCATGCCTGTCCGAATGTTCTTTTGTATGGTTTGATTTTTAAAAATCATGTTCGCTTATTACCTTAAAAAAAAATCCCCCAAAACCAAACAGGACACCTATGGACAATACAATCACATACCAGACCCCACATGGGAAAACTTTTCTTTTCTTTTTTTTTTTGAGACAAAGTTTTGCTCTTGTTGCCCTAGCTGAAGTGCAATGCGGCGATCTTGGCTCACAGCAACCTCCACCCCCCAGGTTCAAGAGATTCTCCTGCCTCAGCCTCCTGAATAGCTGGGATTACACGCCTACGCCACCATGCCTGGCTAATTTTGTATTTTTAGTAGAGACGGGGTTTCTCCATGTTGGTCAGGCTGGTCTCAAACTCCCAACATCAGGTGATTCACCCACCTCGGTCTTCCAAAGTGCTGGGATTACAGGCATGAGCCACTGCACCCGACCGGGACAACATTTTAAAACAAGTATTCAAAATATTCCGCAGCATTTCCTTTAGCTTCTACCATTGAAAAAATATCATCCAGCAAGAGTGCTGCTCACATTCAATCTCTGCTCCTAAACTGCTCCCTCTGAAAGTCCTGCCTGTCCTCATTGCTTGTGTAGGCAGATCAGTGGGGAAAGAGAATGAGTCAGCCTTGGGCCTGGCCCTGGCTGAAGTGGTGTCACTGTCTTTCTCCCATCCTGTTTTTCTTGTGTCGCTGCAGAGCGAGCCGCCCTTGGCCCATTTCCTTTCCCACCTCTGCTCCTGTCCTACCTGATGGCTTCAAATCCCGGTGACCTTTGGGACCAGCCTCATGGCTCTACCCAGCAGTTCCCCAAATTTCATCTCTTTGTAAGCCATGGTCACCATTTTGCTAGATTGAGTGGTAGTTATTAATACTTTCCTTAAATTGAGTTAATTATTATTTTTTGAGATAGTCTCGTTCTGTTGCCCAGGCTGGACTGCAGTGGAATGGTCTCGGCTCACTGCAAACTCCGCCTCTTATGTTCAAGCAATTCTCCTGCCTCAGCCTCCTGAGTAGCTGGGATTACAGGTGCGTACCACCAAGCCCGGCTAATTTTTGTACTTTTTTTTTTAGTAGAGATAGGGTTTCACCATGTTGGCCAGGTTGGTCTCGAACTCCTGACCTCAGGTGATCTGCCTGCCTCGGCCTCCCAAAATGCTGGGATTACAGGTGTGAGCCACCATGCCCGGCCTAGTTTTTTAAATCCATATGGGATATATATATAGACATTTTGCAGTTGGTGAAGTTACTTCTCTTTAATACTCTCTTTATAAAATAGGGATAATAATGGTACTCATCACCCTGTGCCATCTACATGATTTACAAGGCCCAGTGCAAAATTCCCGGCCTGGAGCAGAGCACAGAAGTCAGACTCCCCCTTACTACAGCCCTAATGGATTGCAACTTCCCTGCAGGGATGGGACAGGTGAGAGGCCCCTGCCCACTTGCCTGCCTAATGTGCTGTGGTACCAGCCACCCTGCCCTGAGATTCGGAGGGTGCAATCCCAACGCTGCCTGGGCAAGAGTGGGATCAGGGAGGGTAGGGAGAAGCCCCAGGGCAGCTCGAGTGGGCCAGGGCAACTGAGAACCTGTCCCATTGGACTTCACTTAAAAAACACAAATTCAAAGATAAAATTAAGAATTTCAAGCATGGGATACTTCTGAGTGCCTGGCCCTTTCCACCAAAGTGATCAAAGCCTGCATTGACTGTCCACCCATGAAGCTAGTCCTGCTATCACATAGGGTTGTTGTGAGGAATGAATGAATACTTGTACAGGTTTAAGACTAATGCCTGGCACCTTTGAAGGACAATATAAGTGTTGGCTATTGTTTCTATCACTTCCATAGATGGAACACAGGTATTTTTCAAATATGCATTTGTTCAGCAAACACTTATTATTCTGTGCCAGGTACTGACACATTTCATTTTATCTTTTTAATTTTTTCCTTGATTCTGCATTAAAGGAAAGAAATTCTAGCAGGGAAGAACTTTTATTATTTGCTTACTCCTGCCACGAAATATCTAAGAGGCCTCCAGGAGACACCATGCCTTGACTTTCAGTACTGACTGTCAATGAGTATGCAACTCAGCATCCACTGATGTGTGGAAAAGTCTCGGGAAAAGGTGTCAAGCTAGAGGGCAGTAGATTCCCGGCCTGCCCAGGCTCTCATCATCCTCTAATGCTATTTTCCACTGCCAGGATCTCAAAACGAGTCAGCCTTTCAACTTTACTCAGTAATTATTCTTGACCACTGAAAATCTCACAATTCACTACCTGGGGTCAGTGCATCTACAGCAAAGGTACCAGTGGATGGGGAGGAATCAGGAAGCCTCGAGTGTGTGCTATGATGCTCCTTGGAAGGCACCACAACCTTTCCTCAGCTCTGTCCCAGCATTTTCTATGAAGTTGGCAATGTTCTATTATGTGCTATCTCATACAGTAGCCACTGGCCACACACAGGCTACTGAGCATTTAAAATGTGGCCGCTGTAATCGAGGAACAAGTTTTTTTTTTTTTTTTTTTTTTTTGAGACAGAGTCTCGCTCTGTCACCCAGGCTGGAGTGCAGTGGCGCGATCTCGGCTCACTGCAACCTCTGCCTCCCAGGTTCAAGCGATTCTCCTGCCTCAGCCTCCTGAGTAGCTGGGACTACAGGTGCATGCCAACACACCCAGCTAATTTTTTGTATTTTTAGTAGAGACGGGGTTTCACCATGTTGGCCAGGATGGTCTCGATCTCTTGACCTCGTGATCCACCCGCTTCGGCCTCCCAAAGTGCTGGGATTACAGGCGTGAGCCACCGCTCCCGGCCGAGGAACTCAATTTTTAATTCAATTTAAAAGTACTGAATTTCAATTGATTCAGTTAGAAATTGAGGAATCCGGCCGGGCACGGTGGCTCAAGCCTGTAGTCCCAGTACTTTACGAGGCCGAGGCAGGTGTATCACAAGGTCAGGAGTTCAAGACCAGCCTGGCCAAGATGGTGAAACCCCGTTTCTACTAAAAATATGGGAGGGGGGTGGGGGCGGGGAACTTAGCCGAGCGTGGTGGTGGGCACCTGTAATCCCAGCTACTCGGGAGGCTGAGGCGGGAGGGAGGATCGCTTGAACCCGGGAGGCAGAGGGTGCAGTGAGCCGAGATCGCACCACTGCACTCCAGCCTGGGCGACAGAGCAAGACCCGGTCTCAAAAAAATAAAAATAAATAAAAACAAAAACACACACACAAAAACATATGCGTGCTGTTGTATTGGATAGCACAGCTCTGGATGTCTGGCGTTAGAGGGCTAAGTTACTTAACTCTTACTATCACTGATATGCTGGCACTCTGTTCATTACAAGGGCTGAAAAGGTCTTTAAGAGATCATCGGGTGACTTTAAAATCCCCATCTCACAGGCAGAGGTGAGCGGAGGCGCCGCTGGTCCGCTGCGCGCAGGGCCCACGCCCTCCCAACACCCGCCGGCGCTCCACTCCCGCACTGAACGGCTGAAAAGCAGAACAGTGCTGGCTCCGTTTCGTGTGTGGAGTTACTACAGAGTTCCGAAGCCCGGACGCGCACACGTCCTTCACCTAGTTAGTGGGAGAGCATAGAGGCGCGGTGCGGGAGCGCGCTCAGGCACGCGGGGCTGCGGGGGGCGGTCTCGGCTGGGCCGCCGGAGTAAAGACCCAGGCGCAGCCAGGCGCCGCCCGCCCGCCAACAGCTCGCGTAACCTCCCGGAACGGCCAGTGCCCTCCCAGCCCGGCCCCCACCGCGCCCGCGCCGGCGGCCAGCGGGGACACGCGAGTCCGCCGCGGGACAGACCCGGCCCGAGCCTACCTGCGCGCGCCGTGCCGTCCCCGCTGTCCCCGCCGCCCAGCCCCGCGGCCGCGCGCAGCGCGCTCCCGCAGCTCGCCGACAGGTTCCCGGTGGCCCTGCGTGCCAGGGTCAGGATGGGCGCCGACCAGCCCTCGGCCGCCCGCGGCCTCGTTGCGCTCCGCAGGTCGCCTGGGCCGGGCAGCTGGCTTCGGTCCACGATCTCAAACTCTTCTCCCGGCTCAAGCGCTGACCCGGGCCCCGGCCCCGGCTCCAGCTCCGGCTCCAGCTCCCGCCCCCGCCCAGCAGCGCAGCCGCCTTCCCGGTCGGCCATCTTGGCCGTGTCATGTGACCCAGCGGGCGGGCGGGCGCGGGGTGGGGGCGGGCGGGCGGGCGCGGGGTGGGGGCGGGCGGGCGGGCGCGGGGTGGGGGCGGGCGGGCGGGCGGGCGCGGGGTGGGGGCGGGCGGGCGGGCGGGCGCGGGGTGGGGGCGGGCGGGCATCGCCTTTGCCTTAGGTGGGGGAGATTTTTCTCCCTCTTCACCGCCTCGCCTTCCCTCTGTTTCGAAAGGTTCGGGAAAGTCCAAGTCATAACATAAAAAGTGTGCGTATTCCCGGCCGCCGGCAGGACCTGTTCGCGGGGAAGTTCCTCTTGAACTTTCTCCGAGGACAGTTGTGCACCCTGCCCGGCGCTTCACGGGGTTCCCTGGCCGTCGTTGTCTTTGTGACACCATTTCCTCTTTTAAATTTTCATTTCATGGTCTATATTTTCCACTTCGTCATTTTTCTGTAGCACTCATTAGAACAAGCCCCGAAAGGGCGACTAAGGAAACGCACAGGCGAGGCAGGAAAGCAGGAATTTTTTTTTTTTTTAATCTAATGACTATGACGGCTTGGCAAGAAAGAGTGCACGATAGTGGACTGGAAATCAGAGGTGGCTTCTCCTATTGATTAGTTAAGTGGGATAACAAAAACCGACCTCATTATTAAATAAGATTTGCAGTAAGGACCACATGGCAGATGTTAGCGATTGTGACTACTATCTCTAGTATCCAACTGTGTGGCCTGGGTAAGTCACTATACACTCAGTCTGTTTCTTCACTTGGAAAAGAAAGGAATTTGAGTAAGTACAAAGGAAAATTTTGGCCGGGCGCGGTGGCTCACGCCTGTAATCCCAGCACTTCGGAAGGCCCAGGCGGGCCTTTAGTAGGACGAAACCCCGTCTCTACTAAAATACCAAAACAACAACAACAACAACAACAAAAAACCAGCCAGATGTCGTGGCGGGACAGCTCTACTCCTGCTCCTTGGGGGGCTGAGAGTGGGAGGATCGCTTGAGCCCGGGAGGTCGATCCCACAGTGAGCGGAGATCATGGCCACTGCACTCCAGGCTGGGCGACAAAGTGAGACCCTGTCTCAGAAAAACACTAAAATTTACTAGCACTTAACACTTTGCAAAGTGAGGCAACATGAGCCACACCAAACCAGCAGAGCTGTTTTGATTCCCAGAATGTTTACAAATCTTAAAACTTGTTGCCAATATTTAGAAATCAAAAGATTTCACATAAGAATCTGGATTTTAGCTTTCTCTGGAATCACTGGAATATTTGGTAACTCATGGCATATTCCCAGATGGCAACAAACTGTTGGGAATAAACTGTGCTGCCCCTTTAGACGCCCAGCTGCTCCCTGGACCTGTCTTGGTCCAGCCCACTTCACTAGGTTGCATGATATGTCTGGTCCCTGAAAGGCCAGTTCTCAGTGAAGGGATACCACTTCATCTAGGAGTGTTTTGGGAATTTGTGGAGTTGGTGTTTGAGTTGTGTAATGACTGAGGGCATACTACCAGTCTTTTTTGTTTGTTTGTTTTCGTACGGAGTCTCGCTCAGTCGCCCAGGCTGGAGTGCAGTGGCGCGATCTCGGTTCACTGCAAGCTCCACCTCCCGGGTTCACGCCATTCTCCTGCCTCAGCCTCCCGAGTAGCTGGGACTACAGGTGCCCGCCACCACGCCCGGCTAATTTTTTTTTTTTTTTTGTATTTTTAGTAGAAACGGGGTTTCACCGTGTTAGCCAGGATGGTCTTGATCTCCTGACCTCGTGATCCGCCAGCCTCAGCCTCCCAAAGTGCTGGGATTAGAGGCGTGAGCCACCACGCCCGGCCTGGTCTTGTTTGTTTGTTTTTGAGGCCAAGTCCTGCTCTGTCACCAAGCTGGAGTGCAGTGGCGCAATCTCGGCTCACTGTAACCTCTGCCTACCGGGTTCAAGCGATTTTCCTGCCTCAGCCTCCCAAGTAGCTGGGACTGCAGGGGCGTGGCGCCACACTTGGCTAATTTTTGTACTTTTAGTAGAGACGGGGTTTCACCATGTTCGCCAGGATAGTCTCGATCTCTCGACCTCGTGATCCCCCCGCCTCGGCCTCTCAAAGTGTTGAGATTACAGGCGTGAGCCACTGAGCCCGGCCCTACTAGTCTTTACTGGATGCATAGACAGGGATGAAGATAGTCTAGAATAACAGCATTGTCCCGAATCCTTCATGACTTTCCAATGCTACTGGACATTTATGTAGGTGAAAAGTTTGTTTATAATGATCAGGGCGTGGAACCGAATTCCATTTTGTATAAAAACATTAACTCTTTTTTGGGGGAACAGTTTCAACATTTATCAGGCAAGGTTATTCTTCAGTAACAACCCCCAAATCTCAATGGCTTAACCTAAAAGCTGGTTTCTCATCATGCTACATGTCAATGTAGATGGGGTGAGTACTCTGCCCAACTCATTGTAGTCTCTCAGGACCCAGCCTGTTGGGAGTTTTGCATAAATATTACATGCTCCAGTCCTGCATGACAAAGGTCACTTATGCACATTTCATTGGTGAAAGCAAATCACATGGCCACGTTTAATTTCTAGGGAGTTGGGAAGTTCAGACCTATTTCTGTCTGGGAAAACCACAACTGGGAATCTTTGTGAGCAGTGTAATGACTACCATAAGTGTACCCTAAATTTTCCTGGAACGTAGCTAAATTGATTTGTTCAGAATTACACGTGCAAATGTCTATGTTATTTCAGTGGTAGTTGTGCCTCGTTTACATATTGAAATATATCTCATTTTATAGTGCTTCGCTTTATTGCTTTTTTAACAAATTAAAGTTTTTGGCAGCCGGGCACGGTGGCTCACGCCTGTAATCCCAGCACTCTGGGAGGCACAGGTGGGTGGATCACCTGAGATCAGGAGTTCGTGACCAGCGTGGCCGACATGGCGAAACCCCGTCTCTACTAAAAACACAAAAATTAGCCAGGCGTGGTGGTGGGAGCCTATAATCCCAGCTACTCTGGAGGCTGAGGCAGGAGAATTGCTTGAACCTGGGAGGCAGAGGTTGCAGTGAGCCGAGATCGAACCACTGCACTCCAGCCTGGGCGACAAGTGCAAAAAAAACTGCGTCTCAAAAAAAGAAAAAGTTGCTGTTGGCAACCCAACAGCACGTGCTTATTTTGTGCCTCTGTTTCACATTTTCGTAATTCTCAAAATATTCTAAACTTTTAAACTACCCTTACATCTGTTATATGATTTGTGATCTGTGATCTTTGGTGTTACTATTATTAATTGTTTTGGGGCACCACAAACTGCACCCATATAAGATGGTAAACTTAATTGATAAATGTTGTATGTGTTCTTACTGCTCCACCAACCACGTGTTTCCTTCTCCCTTACCCTCTCCTTGGGCCTCCCTGTGCCCTGAGACACAATATTGAAATTAGGCCAATTAGGCCGTGGCTCAAACCTGTAATCCCTGCACTTTGGGAGTCTAAGGTGGGCAGATCACTTGCGATCAGGAGTTCCAGGCCAACATGGTGAAACCCTGTCTCTACTAAAAATACAAAATTAGCTGGGTGTGGTGGCAGGCACCTGTAATACCAGCTACTGGGGAGGCTGAGGCACGAGAATTGCTTGAACCTGGGAGGCGGAGGTTGCAGTGAGCTAAGATTGCATCACTGCACTCCAGCCTGGGCGATAGAGTGAAACTCCATCTCCAACCAAAAAAAAGAAAAGAAAAAGGAAAAGAAATTAGGCCAATTAATAACCCTACAATGGCCTCTGAGTGTTCAGGTAAAAGGAAGAGTTGCATGTCTCTCTCTTTATATCAAAAGCTAGAAATGATTAAGCTTAATGAGGTAGGCACGTCAAAAGCCGTGATGGGCCAAAAGCTTGGCCTCTTGCACACAGTTAGCCGAGTTGTGAATGCAAAGGAAAAGTTCTTGCTGGAAATTAAAAGTGCTACTCTGGCCAGGTGTGGTGGCTCATGCTTGTAATCCCAGCACTTTGGAATGCTGAGGCGGCCGATCACATGAGGCCAGGAGTTTGAGACCAGCCTGGCCAACATGGTGAAAACCTGCCTTTACTAAAAATACAAAAATTAGCCAGGTGCAGTGCTGCGCCTGTATTCTCAGCTGCTTGGAAGGCTGAGGCATGAGAATCGCTTGAACCAAGAAGCAGAGGTTGCAGTGAGCCAAGATCAGGCCACTGCACTCCAGCCTGGGCAACAGAGCAAGACTCTGTCTCAAAAAAAAAAAAAAAAGTGAAACAGCCTTATTTCTGATAAGGAAAAAGTTTTGGTGGTCTGGATAGAAGATTAAATCAACCACAACATTCCCCTAAGTCAAAACGTAATCCAGACCAAGGCCCTCAACATCAAGGCAACACCCTCCACTGGCAAAAAGATTATGATTCACTGAAGGCTCAGATGGCCTTTAGCATTTAAAATTTTTTTTTTAATTTTTAATTTTTTTTTGCGATGGAGTCTCGCTCTGTCACCAGGCTGGAGTGCAGTGGTGCCATCTCTGCTCACTGCAGTCTCTGCATCTTGGGTTCAAGTGATTCTCCTGCCTCAACCTCCTAAGTAGCTGGGATTATAGGCGTGCGCCTCCATGCCCAGCTAATTTTTTGTATTTTTGGTAGAGACAGGGTTTCACCATGTTTGCCAGGATGGTCTCGATCTCCTGACCTCGTGATCCGCCCACCTCAGCCTTCCAAAGTGCTGGGATTACAGGAGTGAGCCACTGCGCCCGGCCAGCATTTTTTAGTTATATATATATATTTTGAGACAGAGTCTTGCTGGGTTGCCCGAGCTGGAGTGCAGTGGTGCGATCTCGGCTCACTGCAAACTGTGCCTCTTAGGCTCAAGTGATTCCCCTGCCTTAGCCTTCTGAGTACCTGGGATTACAGGTGTGCACCACCATGTCCAGCTAATTTTTGTAGTTTTAGTAGAGACGGTTTTTTTCCATGTTGCTCAGGCTGGTCCTGAACTCCTGGACTCAAGCGATCTGCCCGCCTCAACCTCCCAGAGTGCTAGTATTACAGGCGGGCGTGAGCCACCGCACCTCGCTGTAAACCATCTTTTTTTTTGAGACGGAGTCTTGCTGTCGCCCAGCCTGGAGTGCAATAGTGCAATCTCAGCTCACTGCAACCTCCGCCTCCTGGTTCAAGCGATTCTCCACCCTCAGCCCGTAAACTGAGACTACAGGCACCTGCCGCCACACTCGGAATTTTTTTATTTTTAGTAGACACAGGGTTTTACCATGTTGGCCAGGCTACTCTCTAACTCCTGACCTCAAGTGATCTGTCCACCTCGGCCTCCCAAAGTGCTAGGATTACAGGTGTCAGCCACCACGCCCAGCCAGTGAAATCATTTTCTGAACGATGCTATATGAAGTTTTCTTGCCAAAAATGTTTGCCTAGGCTGGGCACGGTGGCTCACGCCTATAGTGTCAGCACTTTGGGAGGTTGTAGCGGACGGATTTCTTTGATTCAGGAGTAGAGACTAGCCTGGGCAACATGGTGAAAACCTATCTCTACAAAACACAAAAATTAGCCAGGCGTGGTGGCTGGCACCTGTGATCCCAGCTACTTGGGAGGCTGAGGCTGGAGGATCGCTTGAGTCTGGGAAGTGGAGGTTGAAGTGAGCCAAGGTCGTGCCACTGCACTCCAGCCTGAGCAACAGAGCAAGACTCTGTCTCAAAAAAAAAAAAAAAATTAAGTCTGAGGTATGATCATGAAAAGCAAAATGGTAAAAAAAAAAAAAAAGTTTGCTTAAAAACACATCAGGTATCTGGAGCAGCACTGTCCAACAAAACCTTCTGAGGTGATGGGAATGTTTTTCATTTGCACTGTCCAGTAAGATAGCCAGTGGCCACAAGCAGCTACTGAGCACTTGACATGTGGTTTGCATGACTGAGGAGCTGAATTTTACTTCAGTTCAATTAATTTAAATTTATATGTGCCTGGTGACTACTGTACTGGCCAGCACAGCTTGAGATCTAGCTTCCAGTTTGCAGAAAACGTAGAGGAGAAAGGAGGAAGTGAAAACAGCACCTGTTGTAAACCCCAAGAGACAACCCTGATGAGATCAGAGCAATCTGCTGGGAAAGACATTTTTTAATTGGGGAACTTTGAATATGGGCTAGATACTAGGTGATATTATGGAATTACTGTAAATTCTGTTAGATGTGATAATGGATTGTGCTTGCATAGGAAAATTCCCTTCTTTTTAGGAGCTGCATTAGTCTCTTAAGTAGCAGCATGTCAGGATGTCTAGACCTCACCTTAAAATACTTCCAAAAAATAAAATAGATGATGCAAAAATGGCAAATTGTTGAAAACTTTTAAATTTAGGTAATGAGTATAAAAGAGTTATATTCTGTTTACTTCTCTGAATGTCTCAGTTTTCATAATAAAAAGTAAAATGGGCCGGGCGCGGTGGCTCACACCTGTAATCCCAGCACTTTGGGAGGCTGAGGCGGGCGGATCATGAGGTCAGGAGATCGAGACCATCCTGGATAACACGGTGAAACCCCGTCTCTACTAAAAATACAAAAAAATAGCCGGGCATGGCGGCAGGCGCCTGTAATCCCAGCTACTCGGGAGGCTGAGGCAGGAGAATGGTGTGAACCCGGGAGGCGGACCTTGCAGTGAGCCGAGATCGTGCCACTGCACTCCAGCCTGGGTGACAGAGCGAGACTCCGTCTCAAAAAAAAAAAAAAAAGTAAAAATGATGGGCTGGGTACAGTGGCCTACGCCTATTATCCCAGCACTTTGGGAGGCCGAGGCAGGTGGATCACGAGGTCAGGAGTTTGAGACCAGCCTGGCCAACATGGTGAAACCCTGTCTCAATTAAAAATACGAAACTTAGCTGGGCATGGTGGCTCACACCTGTAGTCCCAGCTTCTCAGGAGGCTGAGGCAGGAGAATTGCTTGAGCCCAGGAGGCAGAGGTTGCAGTAAGCCAAGATCGCACCACTGCACTCTCCAGCCTGGGCGACAGAGCAAGACTTTCATCTCAAAAAAAAAAAAAAAAAAAAAAAGGCCAGGCGCGGTGGTTCACGCCTGTAATCCCAGCACTTTGCGAGGCCGAGGCGGCAGATCATGAGGTCAGGAGATCGAGACCATCCTGGCTAATACAGTGAAACCCCGTCTTTACTAAAAATACAAAAAGTTAGCCGGATGTGGTGGCGGGCGCCTGTAGTCCCAGCTACTCCGGAGAGGCTGAGGCAGGAGAATGTTGTGAACCCTGGAGGCGGAGCTTGCAGTGAGCCGTGATGGCACCACTGCACTCCAGCCTGGGCAAGAGTGGGAGACTCCATCGCAAAAAAACAAAAAGTAAAAAGATGTATAAAAAAGTGAGTCCATATGAAACAAGAATCAATGTTTCATAAATGGTGAAAAGCCCCTACAAAAACCTTGACTGAGATTTTATTTTGGATAATAAAAACAAAAATTATGAAAATAAGTTTATCTTATATATAACAAAATTTAGAATATGTTTGCAACTGTGTGCTAGTTTTTAGAACGAATCAAGAATGAACAAGTGTTGACTTTTGTGCATAATTTTTCTGGAAAATTACATGATTCAAGATATCATTCATTTTACATCTGACTCACGGTAGAGTCAGAAAGAGAGTCTAAAAATATTTAGACTTCATTTTCCTCTCAAAGTCCTCTTTAATTCTTTGGTAGTCAATTTTTTGGTGTCTCTATTTTCATTTTATTTACATCTCTTTGGATTTAGCTAGTCCTCAGCTAATTGACCAAAAGTGGTAAAGTAATTATCCCATTCACCATGTTATTAGTCATTCTGGATTTTTTTTTTTTTCGAGATGGAGTCTCACTCTGTCGCCCAGGCTGGGGTGCAGTGGCGCAATCTCGGCTCACTGCAAGCTCCACCTCCTGGGTTCACGCCAGTCTCCTGCCTCAGCCTCCTGAGTAGCTGGGACTACAGGCGCCAGCCACCACGCCCGGCTATTTTTTGTGTTTTTAGTAGAGACGGGGTTTTACTGTGTTAGCCAGGATGGTCTTGATCTCCTGATGTCGTGATCCACCTGTCTCAGCCTCCCAACGTGCTGGGATTACAGGCGTGAGCCACCGCACCTGGCCCATTCTGGATATTTTTATGGGATATCTCATAGAAAAAGCCATTTTATGATATTGCTGTTCCCTTTATATTTTGAGCCTAAGCTCACTCTTCACTTTAATTCATTTTAAATTTATTGCTTTTTTCAAACCATTCTATTTTGAAGCTCCTGGTGAGTCATCAGCGTTAATTTCCTTCTGTTCACTTGTTGATTGGTCCATAACTCTGCTGACCTCGCCTGTCGGTGGCTTTGTATGCCACTCGAGTGGGGCTTTAATGTCACTTGTTGATTCTGTGAAATCTTGCATTGTGTGTAAGATTCACAATTTAACCGTCCAAATGACTGGCATCCTAGACATCTGAGAACGAGTGAGAGGCTGGCTGGCCATTGGTATGGGACATGGGGATCGATGCTTTGGGGTTCAGCAGGGAGTAAATTTTGAATAGGGATCAGTTTTTAATTGGTTAATTCATTAGTGAATATGTTATCATTACGAATACCTTTGCTTCTCCAAATGGTCTTGTAGCTGCAGGGACTTGGGGAAAGTATCTTCAGATAAAGAGGACCCTGTCTATCTTGAGTTTGGAACATCAGAGCTTTTTGTGGTGGTTGTAACTAAATGGGGTGTAGGTGCTATTGCTAGGATAAATCAGAACATGGCAGTTATTTTATGAAAATAATCTTGTATTTATTAAAGGACTTGCAAAAAAGTTAACCTGAGGATTTGTGTAATGTGTCTCTAAGAGAGAGCTGTCATTACGTTGGTGAAGTGACCAATCCTTTCCCTGTTTGGCACCTCATACCAGCCACAGGGTAGTAAGAATCTCAAGTGCAGCTGAACTCCTGCTTTCAGAGGAAATACCGGGAGACAGTATGAAAAGAAAGGTGGGCTTTACGCCCCTTCCAGTGGCTTCTACAACAAAAGACTTCCTGATTTGGTGACATTTTTCCATGACACGTCATATTGATTTGTCTTGTTCTCCTCTCTGCCCCACACCATTTTATTATAAACAAATCTGAGGCTGGGCGAGGTGGCTCACGCCTGTAATCCCAGTACTTTGGGAGCCGAGGCGGGCAGATTACGAGGTCAGGAGTTCAAGACCAGCCTGACCAACATGGTGAAACCCCGTCTCTACTAAAAATACAAAAATTAGCTGGGCCTGGTGGCGCGTGCCTGTAATCCCAGCTACTCAGGAGGCTGAGGTAGGAGAATCGCTTGAACCTGGAAGGTGGAGGTTGCAGTGAGCTGAGATCGCACCATTGCACTCCAGCCTGGGCGACAGAGTGAGACTCCATCTCAAAAAAAAAAAAAAAAAAAAAAATTGAAGATAAGCCGGGTGCGGTGGCTCATGCCTGCAATCTCAGCACTTTGGGAGGCCAAGATGGGTGAATCACTTCAAGTCAGGAGTTTGAGACCAGCCTGGCCAACATGGTGAAACCCCATCTCTACTAAAAATACAAAAATTAGCTGGGCGTGGTGGCGCATGCCTGTAATCCCAGCTACTAGAGGGGCTGAGGCACAAAAATCGCTTGAACCCGGGAGGTGGAGGTTCCAGCGAGTCTAGATTGTGCCGCTGCACTCCAGCCTGGGCAACAGAGCGAGACTCTGTCTCAAAAAAAAAAAAGAAAATTGAACAGAGATTATAACACTTTTACCATATCTATCCATTTATCATTCCTAATTTCATCTATTACTCTTACTCTTTGGTGTATTTCAAAGGAAATTCCAGACCCTAATAGTTTAAAAAGCTTTTTGTTATTTCAATCCTACAGAAGAGTTACGAGAATAAAGATGGCACAAAGTACAACTGTATGCCCTTGACCCCAATTCACCTGGAGCTCACGTTTACTTCATTCGTGTCATCATCTGCATGTGCTCCCTCTCTAGATCTGTATGGATATAAGCACATTTTTCCTTGGACTTTGTGAGGGTGAGTTACATACATCATGACCTTTTATTTTTAAACTTTTCAGGATATATTTCTTTTTAAAAAATTATATTCAAATTTTATTGCATTAAGATGATGCATTGGTTAGGACTTGAAAAACTTTGTTTTGGCCAGGCGCGGTGGCTCACGTTTGTAATCCCAGCACTTTGGGAGGCCAAGGTGGGGAGATCACGAGGTCAGGAGTTCGAGACCAGATTGGCCAACATAGTGAAACCCCGTCTCTACTAAAAATACAAAAACTTGCCGAGTGTGGTGGCACGTGCCTGTAGTCCCAGCTACTTGGGAGGGTGAGGTAGGAGAATTGTTTGAATGCGGGAGGCGGAGGTTGCAGTGAGCCGAGACTGAGCCATTGCACTCCAGCCTGGGCAACAGACTGATACTCTGTCTCAAACAAAAACAAAAACAAAAAAAACCCTGTTTTATAGAGATACATCTCTTTTTGTTATTTTTCAGCTTTATTAAAGCTTAACAGACATATAAAGATTATATATATTTATGCTATATGATGTGATGTTTTGGTATATGTATGATTAAATCAAGCTAACTAGCATATTCATCACCTCACATACTTTTCATTGTTTTGTGGTGAGAACATTTGCAGTCTACTCTCTTAGCAATTTCTTTTCTTTTTTTCTTTTTTTTTTTTTTTTTTGAGACAGAGTCTTGCTCTGTCACCCAGGCTGGAGTGCAGTGGCACAATCTTGGCTCACTGCAGCCTCTGCCCCTCGGGTTCCAGCGATTCTCCTGCCTCAGCCTCCTGAGTAGCTGGGATTACAGGCGCCCGCCAACATGCCTGGCTGATTTTTGTATTATAAGTAGAGACGGGGTTTCGCCATGTTGGCCAGGCTGGTCTTGAACTCCTGACCTCACATGATCTGCCTGCCTGAGCCTCCCAAAGCGCTGGGATTACAGGTGTGAGCCACTGCACCCGGCCAGCAATTTTCTTTTTTTGTTGTTTTTGAGATGGAGTCTCGCTCTATTGCATACACTGGAGTGCAGTGGTGCGATCTTGACTCACTGCAACCTTCACCTCCTGGGTTCAAGTGATTCTCCTGCCTCAGCCTCCTGAGTAGCTAGGACTACAGGTGTGCACCACCACACCCGGCTAATTTTTGTATTTTTAGTAGAGATGGGGTTTCACCGTGTTGCCCAGGCTGGCCTCGAACTCCTGACCTCAAGCGATCTGCCGACCTTGGCCTCCCAAAGTGCTGGGATTACAGGTGTGAGCCACGACGCCTGGCCTCTCTTAGCACTTTTCAAGTGTACTATTACACTTGAAATACACTTGTAATACACTATTACATATAGTCACCATGCTATATGTACATTAGTTCTCCAGAAACTCCGTTCCTTTCATCATCATCTCCCCATTTCCTACACCCATTCCCCAGCCCTCCCCTGATAACCGCCATTCTACTCTGTCTTTCTATAAGTTTGAGGTTTTAGATTCCACATGTGAGATCATTAAGTATTTGTTTCTCTGTGCCTAGTTTATTTTACATAGTATGATGTCCTCCGTGTTTATCCAAGTTGTCACAGTGACAGAATTTCCTTTTTTTTTTTTTTTTTTTTGAGGCTGGGTCTTACTCCCTCACCCAGGCTGGAGTGCAGTGGCGCTGTCTTTCCTCAGCTTCCCCGGGTTCAAGTGATTCTTCCATCCCAGCCACCCAAGTAGCTGGGACTACAGGTGTGTGCTACCACACCCAGGTAATTTTTGTATTTTTTGTAGAGACAGGGTTTCTCCATGTTGCCCAGGCTGGTCTCAAACTCCTGAGTTCAGGTGATCCACCTGCCTCAGCCTCCCATAGTGCTGGAATTACAAGCATCAGCCACTGCGCCTATTGGATTTCCTTCTTTTTAAGGGCTGACTTGCATTCCTTTTTAAAAAAGAGATGGAATCTTACTGTATTACCCAGGCTGGAACTCTTGGCCTCAAGCAATCCTTTGACTCTCCCTTCCAAGTAGCTGGGACTACAGGCACGAGCCACCTCGCCTGCCTTCCTTCACATTTACACACAACACATTTTCTTTATCCATAAATCCGCTTAGGTTTTTTCAATATCTTAGCTACTGTGAATAACGCTGCAATGAACATGGGAGTGCAGATAGATCTTCAACATACTGATTTCATTTCCTTCGGGTATATACCTAGAAGTGGAATTGCTGGATCACGTGGGTAGTTCTATTTTTAATTTCTTGAGGAACTTCCATACTGTTTTCTATAATGGCTGTACTAATTTACATTCCTACCAACAGCAGGACCTATTTTTCGAGAACTGGGATATTCTCTTATGTAACCGTGATAAAGTCTCACCTTCAGTACATTAAACATTGATACATACTTTTAATGTAATCTTGCATTTTATTCAATTCTTAATTTAAAAAAATGATTATATTGTCTGGGCACGGTGGCTCACACCTGTAATCCCAGCACTTTGGGAGGCCGAGGCAGGTAGATCACGAGGTCAGGAGATCGAGACCATCCTGGCTAACAGGGTGAAACGCCGTTTCTACTAAAAATACAAAAACAAAATTAGTCAGGTGTGGTGGTGGGTGCCTGTAGTCCCAGCTACTTGGGAGGCTGAGGCAGGAGAATTGCTTGAACCCGGGAGGCAGAGGTTGCTGAACGGAGATCGCGTCACTGCACTGTCACCCAGGCTGGAGTGCAGTGGTGCAGTCATGGTTCCTTGCAGCCTCAAACTTCTGAGCTCATGTGATCCTCCCACTTCAGCCACCTGAGTAGCTGGGGCTACAGGCATGAACCATCATGAGTGGCTATTTAATTTAAATATTTATTTAGAGATGGAGCCTCACTCTGTCATCCAGGCTGGAGTGCAGTTCTCGGCTCACTGCAACCTTTACCTCCCGGGTTCGAGCAATCCTCCCACCTCAGTCTCCTGAGTAGCTGGGATTACAGGCATGCGCCACCACGCCTGGTTAATTTTTTTCATATTTTTAGTAGAGACGGGGTTTCACCATGTTGACCAGGCTGGTATTGAACTCCTGAACTCAAGCAATCCACCCACCTCAGCCTCCCAAAGTGCTGGGATTACAGGTGTGAGCCATCACCCCCAGCCTATTTTTTTTTAAACCTTTAATCAATTTTATTCTTCATATTTGGGTAAAGGTACAGATTCTAGAGCATGTCTATGAAGTCATGGTGATATCACCGTGCTAAAGATGATGGCTGTAGGCGAGGCGCGGTGGCTCACGCCTGTAATCCCAGCACTTTGGGAGGCCGAGGCGGGTGGATCACGAAGTCAGGAGATCGAGACCATCCTGGCTAACATGGTGAAACCCCGTCTCTACTAAAAATACAAAAAATTAGCCGGGCGTGGTGGCGGGCGCCTGTAGTCCCAGCTACTCGGGAGGCTGAGGCAGGAGAATGGCGTGAACCCGGGAGGCAGAGCTTGCAGTGAGCCGAGATCGCGCCACTGCACTCCAGCCTGGGCGACAGAGCGAGACTCCGTCTCAAAAAAAAAAAAAAAAGATAATGGCTGTAGGTTGGCTGATAATTTAAAATGCGAGAAAAATGAGAAGCAGCACATCATTGCTTCTTATTCTAGGACATACAGAGAGTTTCTTCACTAAGTGCCACTCCAATTGTCTTCACAATTTAATGCTACGGAAACCTAAATATTTCTACTTCATCTACGAAATCATTCAATTGGCAGGCAAAACATTTTTTATCACCTATTTATAAAAGTATGAGAAAGGGAAGAAAAGTAATAAAATGAATCAACTCATGCTATCGTAATTCTCCTGTCTAGCTATAAAAGCATACGGTTGTAGGAATTGCTATCTAAAATTTTTATGAGCTGCAGTAGCTGCATTCCATTTTCATTACCATTTTTAAAAATCTTTTTGCTCGGTCATCTAAAGACGTTTTTCAAATTTCAAAAGATCAGCTATTATTGTCCTCCTTGTGCCCCTAGGAATTAATAAAATGCACATTAATTTCCTTCTTTCTAAATGTTCCAGCTAAGAACTAAAAAATAAAAAAATGGGAAACATTTTCTTGGACCATTTTTGTTTTCACTGTAACAACAAAAAATGTGCAAGATAAACAGAACTCAAGTTTTGTTTTATTTTTCTTTTTGTCTGTTTTTTAACAAGTCTGTCCAGAATACTACAGGTTACATAGCTGTAACCATCTTAAGGAAAATGACATTAAGTTTGCAACAAATACCTGCTGGTGAAAACACATTACTAGCATTTCAAAAATTTAACAAAATATCCTAAACAGCTATCTTTATATTTGTAAACGAAGTATAAACAACTGGCTTAACCAGTATCCACTGCACGTCAAACAGGTGGCAAAGTGATAGAGATCATCTTTGATTTTTTTTTTTTTGAAAATCTTCACTTTTCTAGGGTAGGTGGTTCTTCCTAATCGTTTCTTGAGCCAATATTCTCAAACTTTATGGTCTTTTCATTCCTTTATTAGGACCAGAAATTCTCACTCTCTAAAGCTGTGCCTCTTAATCTTTTTCACATTATGATCCCCCTGGGACATGATACTATTTGTTGTATAACACAGCGTTGTAAATGGACGAGCCTGCTTGCTGCAGAGGTAACCCTCGGGACCTGGGACACTGTTTGTTGTATAACACAGCGTTGTAAATGGACGAGCCTGCTTGCTGCAGAGGTAACCCTCGGGACCTGGGACACTGTTTGTTGTATAACACAGCGTTGTAAATGGACGAGCCTGCTTGCTGCAGAGGTAACCCTCGGGAAGTCTGGTTCCCCCGAATTTTACCTGCTCATCTCTGGGCCAAGGGCATAATATCTCTGCACAGCTAATAGCCCGATGGCCACACTAGTCCAGAAGCTCCGCTCTGCACAGAGTTGGAAGTTCATCTACTTCTCAGTGAACAACATCATGAGTTCTTCAAAATTGATGCCGGTGTAGGCCAGGTGAGGTGGCTCATGCCTGTCATCCCAGCACTTTGTGAGGCCAAGGTGGGCGGACCATTTGAGGTCAGGAGTTCGAGACCAGCCTAGACAACATGGTGAAACCCCGTCTCTACTAAAAATACAAAAATTAGCCAGGCATGGTGGTGGTTGGGAAACTATCCACAGTCATCCGGGTGAGAGATGAGGACTGAACTGAGGCAGAAGCAGTGGGGATTTCACAAGGGAGTCTAAGACCACAGATGCTGGAGAAGGGCGATGGGGAGGCTGTGGTTGTTGGTTGGACATGGGCTACGGGAGGAGAATGAAGTATCCACTGGGCTTGCTGAGCTGGGCATGGGTGAGTTGGGGGGCAGAGGACACATCCAATGTGGACATCCAGGTGGATGCTCAGGCCTGGGAGTACCCCAGGAGTGCAGCTATGTGTGTCTCCTGCCCCACAGACAACCATGAAGGGATGCTGGTGTACGTCAGCCCAAGGTAGGAGGAAGGGCTGGGCAAGGCAGGGAGAGGAGGCCCCAGACCTTTCTACCAAAGCCTATTTACCCGGAGGAGCACAGACCAGACTCTCGTTCCTGTCCTCCCTGTCGTTCCTGACTCTAGGTAACCTTGGTGGACCCCTGTAACTGTCTGGCTCTAGGATTCCTCTTCTGCACAAGAGTGATGCTACCTCATGAGCTTGTGGGGACTCTCACATGCTGAGCTTTTTACATAAAAAAATAGCACAGGACTACATGAGTATATTCTCATTGCAAAAAATCAAAACATGGAAAAGCAAAAGTGCAAGTTTCTGTTCTCCAAACTTCCTTACCCCCTCCGCCCCCCACCTGCCCAATTCCTTCCCTTCCCTTTCTGGGTATCCATATAGACAGTTTCCTTCACATTTACTTACAGACGTAGACTTATATGACAAATAGTTTTGTTTTTGGTGTTTCCCTCTAACATTTTGTCCAGAAAATCATATAGAAAAGTTGAAAGAATTGCAGAATGAACACTCTTACAATCACCTAGGTTTTAGAGTAAACACTTTGCTGTACTGCGTTATCACACGCCTCCTTATTTACCCATGCTTCCTTTCCTCCATCTGTCCTTTTACACTTTCACTTTAGCATACGGTGAGTTGCACCAATCTAGAGTCAACATTGTGTAAGGGTTTTTTTTTGTTTTCGTTGTTGTTTTTTGAGATAGGGTCTTGCTCTGTCTCCTCGGCGGTGGCATGCATGATCTTGGCTTACTGCAACTCCTGCCTCCTGGGCTCGAGCGATCCTCCCGCCTCAGCCTTCTAAGTAGCTAGGACCACAGGCGCCCACCACCACGCTCGGCTAATTTTTGTATTTTTTGCAGAGATGGGGTTTCACCATGTGGCCCAGGCTGGTCTTGAACTCCTGAGCTCAAGCTATCTGCCCACCCAGGCCTCCCACAGTGCTGGGATTACAGGTGTGAGCCACTGGACCTGGCCTATTTCTTTACTTTAAAACCTCAGAAGATAACTTACCTCAAATAAAAAATTACTAAAATTAAGGATTTCTAATTGGCTGATTCTTTTTGTTTTTAATTTGTGGTAAGAACATTTAACATGGGATCTACCCTCTTCACAAATTAAGTGGGCAGTGCAGTATTATGAACAGGCATGACGTTGTGCAGCAGATAACACGTTCATCAATGGGCTGAAACTTTCAACCCATTGAACAGCAACTCCCCACTTCCTCCTCCCCTCAGCCCCTGGAAACTACCATTGTACTCTCTGCTTCTGTGAGTTTGACTATTTTATTTTAATTAATTCATTAATTTTTTTAGACAGAGTCTCGTTTCGTCACCCAGGCTGGACATGATCTCGGCTCACTGCAACCTCCACCTCCCAGGTTTAAGTGATTCTCCTGCCTCAGCCTCCTGAGTAGCTGGGATTACAGGTGCCTGCCGCCATGCCCAGCTAATTTTTACAATATTTTTAGTAGAGACGGGGTTTCACCATGTGGCCAGGCTGGTTTCGAACTTCTGACATCAAGTAATCTGCCCACCTCGGCCTCCCAAAGTGATGGGATTACAGGCATGAGCCACCACACCCAGCTGGTTTCCTTTTTTTCTTTTTTCTTTTTCTTTTTTGAGAGGGAGTCTCACTCTGTCCCCCAGGTTGGAGTGTAGTGGAATGATCTCAGCTCACTGCAACCTCCGCCTCCCAGGTTCAAGTGATTCTCCTGCCTTGCCTCCTGAATAGCTGAGATTACAGGCATGCACCACCACGCCCAGCTAATTTTTGTATTTTTCGTAGCGAGAGAGTGGGTTTCACTATGTTGGCCAGGCTGATGTCAAACTTCTGACCTTGAGTGATCCGCCTGCCTCTTCCTCCCAAAGTGCTGGGATTAGAGGCCTGAGCCACCGCGCCCAGCCGGTGGTTTCTTTCTAGGTAGACGGTGATATCATCTTCGAATTATGACAATTTTCTCTCATCTTCCAATCCTTACATCTTTTCTTTCTTTTTCTTTCCTTAGGGCATTGACCAGGAGAATGCAGTTCTGTGTTAAACCACAGGGGATTACTGAGTATTTTTGTGTTAATTAATCCTGACTTAAAGGATTAATTAATTAAGGATCTTTGCAATTTTCTTCCTCAAGTAAAATTTTGATGTAAGCTTTTGGTATATGAAATTTACTAGTTGAGAAAGTTTCTTCCAGTCTTAATTAGTTAAGAGGGAAAAAATCATAAGTAGGCTTTAAATCTTATCAAATTTCTTTCTGAATAGACTGAGATAATTATATGTTTTTTTTCTTTTTACTGTGGTAGCTCATGTTAATAGATTTTTTGATGTTGAAAAATTCTTCCCAGGACTCCGGGAGTCTGAAGCAGGAGGATCGCTTGAGCTCAGGAGTTTGAGACCAGCCTGGGCAACATAGTGAGACCTCATCCCTATTTAAAAAAAAAAAAAATATATATATATATATATATATATATATATATGTGTATATATACATATACACACACATGTATACCTATATAGACACACATATATACATATATATACACACATACTATAAAAAAGAAAAATTCTTATATTCCTAAGCTAAGTTTTACTTGATTTTATATGCAGTTGGCCCCTCGTATCCTGGGGTTTTACATCTGTGGTTTCAATCAACCGTGGATCAAAAGTATTTGAAAAACAAAAGCAATAAAAAAAAAACAAGAAAAAATAATATAAATAAAAAAATCAATACAACAACTTTTTTTTTGAGACAGTCTTGCTTTGTTGCCTAGGCTTGAGTGCAGTGGTACCATCACAGCTCACTGCAGCCACAACTTCCTGAGCTCAAGTGAGCCTCCCACTTCAGCCTCCTGAGTAGCTGGGACCACAGGCTGGTCTCGAACTCCTGGGCTCAAGTAATCCTCCTGCCTCAGCCTCCCAAAGTGTTGGGATTACAGGAGTGAGCCACCATGCTTGGCCCCAACAGCTATTTACATAGCATTTACATTGTATTAACTAGTAGTGTAAATAATTTAGAGGTGATTGGGCCGGGCATGGTGGTTCACGCCTGTAATCCCAGCACTTTGGGAGGCCGAGACGGGCAGATCACGAGGTCAGGAGATCGAGACCATCCTGGCTAACACAGTGAAACCCCGTCTCCACTAAAAATACAAAAAATTAGCTGGGTGTGGTTACAGGCGCCTGTAGTCCCAGCTACTCGGGAGGCTGAGGCAGGAGAATGGCGTGAAGCCGGGAGGCAGAGCTTGCAGTGAGCCGAGATCACACCACTGCACTCCAGCCTGGGCGACAGAGCAAGACTCCATCTCAAAAATAAAATAAAATAAAATAAAATTTAGAGGTGATTTAAATTATACCTCTAAATAATTAACCTGGGACAGAGGATGTGCATAGGTTATAGGTTATACGCAAATACAGATGCTCCTTGACTTATGATGGGGTTACAACCAAATACATCCATCGTATAGATTGACCATATGGCGAGTTGAATTTACAATGGGTTTATCCAGATGTAACCCTATTGTAAGATGAGAAGCGTTCTGAATGCCCATTGCTTTCGCACCATTGGCAAGTCAAATCCCAATTGAAGCCATCATAAATTGGGGACTGACAGTACAATGCTACTTCATATAAGGGACTTGAGCATTGTGGATTTTGGGGGGAGGGTCCTGGAACGAATCCCCTGTGGATACAGAGGGACTGCTGTATATATACATCTACAGGGCAAGATAGTTTATTTTTAAAAATTATACCATGTCGATTGTGATGACTGGCATATAGATTATGATGGTTTTTCTCTGATGTTGTATACTGAAATGTTTTCATAGGACCAAGAATGTTAGAAAAATAAAGATCTTAAATACAATATGATAAATTTATATATATACTATTTGATTCTGTTAGCTATATTTTGTTTTATATCAGTGATCATAAGTAAAAAATGGTTTTATAATTTTATTTTTATGTTAACCTTATCTGATTTGAGAATTAAAAATTCTAGTTTCATAAAATGAACTGGATAATTTTTATACTTTTTCTATTTTCTTGTACAGCACACTGTCCAGTAGAAATATAATGCAAGAACACATGTGACTTAATGTTTGTAGTAGCCACTTAGAAAAGTAAAAAGAAATATGTGCAATGAGTTTTAATAATATATTTAATTCAATACGTCCAAAGTAGTGTCATTTGAACATGTTATCAACATAAACATGAATGAAATATTTCACCTTCTATTTTTGTACTAAGTTTTCGAAATCTGTTATTTTATATTGATAGCACTTCTTAATTCAGACACGAAATTTTCATAAGAAGTACATGATTTGTATTTAGGTTTCATAAAATTTACAATTCAAAAAGTAGATTCACATACGCGAATCGTTTCAAACATACCTCTGGGCCCAGCGCCTCGCCCTGTCCTCGCCGGGTGAAGTCGGCCCTGACTGCAGCCTGCGAAGCACCCGCCCATTGTCCCCGGAGAGGGCGCCCTGGACGCAAGCGCAGAGCCCCGGGAGGCGCGGGAAGCCGGAGGAGGGCGATGGGGGCGAGGCAGGAAGAGTACGTGGGGCCGAGGGGGGCGAGCGCTGGGCCGCCCGCAGCCGGAGAGTGTCGCCCCTCCTGAAGGCCCTGGGCAGGTGAAATGAGGACCAGCGCTGACAAAGGGCAGGATGCAGAAGACTCCTGACTTTGGATCTCAGATCACCCTCGGAAGCTCCGATTCGGATCCGCGTCCACAGACCCGGCGACCTCAGACAGACCGGGCGTCCGGGGAAGAGGCGGCGGCAGTGAGCACCGCAGTGAGGAAACCAGGCTCCGGCGATCCCCAGGCCTTACGCCCGACCCCAGGGCATTTGGGAGCAGGTCTGCGTCCGGGACCAGCACACTCTGGACGGGAGCTCTGCCTTTCTGGGGTCCTCCAGCTGAAGGATGTGAGTTGCAAGAAACCCATTCTGTAGACCTCGAAATCAGCGGGGAGCCCCAGGCACTTGTGGGGGGACTTTGATGTGGCTCCCACGCATCCACCCGGCACCGCGTGGATTGCCAGGGGCAGGACGAGCTTGAGTGGACGCTGGGTTCGCTGAGCCCCCCAGAGGCTCCTCGCCCTGGGTCACCTGTGCCGCCTTGGACCACCCAGAGAAACCTTTCCTCCCACCAGGTGAGCCGCAGGCCAGGCGCCAGGCCTGAGTGTGCCCGGGACGGGGATTTCTCTGTGAACGGCCCATCATCCCATAATATCCACGTTGTCTTAGCCTCATGTTCTGAAGAAACACGAATTTCATACACAAGCGTGGATTTTTGCATGTTTTAAATTGTAAATGCGACTAACTCCAAGGAAGTTGGAACTTGAAGCAGGCTCAAAGCAAACTTAGTCGCGTCATCCGCCACCATCCTCCAGGGTAAACCGAGGAGCACAGTTAATTGGTTTTCCACGGGTATTTGCCACTTGTCAGATGGGCTGTTATGGACGTAACCACGTAATTCCTGGAACCCAGTGAGAGTCAGCTTCCTTTACGGGCGTCTGACAAGATGTGCTCAAACACCTTGAAGATCTTTATGGAAACAACTTTTGGCTCTTTATCAAGATGTCATTCAGGGCTCTGAACAGTCGAATACGTTGTGGATGGGTTTGCTGTAGTTATACAGTGTGCATTTGATACTTGTCAATAGCGCTAGTAATGTTATTGCAAAAATAAAACCTTCTTTAAAAAAGAGGCCGGGCGCGGTGGCTCACGCCTGTAATCCCAGCACTTTGGGGAGGCTCAGGCAGGTGGATCACGAGGTCAGGAGATGGAGACCATCCTGGCTAACATGGCGAAACCCCGTCTCTAGTAAAAATACAAAAAATTAGCCGGGCGTGGTGGCGGGCGCCTGTAGTCCCAGCTACTCGGGAGGCTGAGGCAGGAGAATGGCGTGAACCTGAGAAGCGGAGCTTGCAGTGAGCCGAGATGGCACCACTGCACTCCAGCCTGGGCGACAGAGCGAGACTCTGTCTCAAAAAAAAAAAAAAAAAGAGAAAAAAGAAAGAAAGAAAAGTGGCCCGGCACAATGGCTCACGCCTGTAATCCCAGCACTTTGGGAGGCCGAGGCTGGCGGATCGCGAGGTCAGGAGTTCGAGACCAGGCTGGCCAGCATGGTGAAATCCTGTCTCTACTAAAAATACAAAAATTAGCCGGGCATGGTGGCCCGCGCCCAGGCAGGCTGTTCTGGGAGAGAAAACTTGGCTCTCCAATGCGGTGTGGCCATTTGGCTATGACATCACACTGCATAGTTTAATGAGTGAAATCAGACCTCTTCTTGTTATTGGAGATGACTGGAGGATTTTTTTTTTATTTTCCTGAATGTAAGTAGGTAAGCCATGAAGATCCCAGATTTCATTCAGGGACTCAGAACCAGCAGCAAGGAGCAGGCTGCGTGGAGAAAACAGAGTTGGCTCTGGAGTACCCCATGAGTCCAGCTTGTTCAAAGTAAAAGTGGCAATGGCTTTGGGATCACAAAACAGCCCTTGAACATCAAAGTCAATTAGTAGAAACCCCTAAATATCATGGGGCAAAAAATATTTCAAATTTACTTAAATATTCGGTTTATCAGATGGGACTCACTTTTTTTTTCTTTTTTTTTTTTAAACAGATTCTCACTCTGTTGCCCAGGCTGGAGTGCAGTGGCGCCATCTTGGCTCACTGCACCCTCTGCCTCCCGGTTCAAGCAATTTTCCTGTCTCAGCCTCCTGAGTAGCTGGGACTACAGGCACGAGCCACCACGCCCGGCTATTTCTTATATTTTTAGTAGAAATGGAGTTTCACCATGTTGGCCAGGCTGGTCTCAAACTCCTGACCTCAAGTGATCTGCCAGCCTGGACCTCCCGAAGTGCTGGGATTGCAGGCGTGAGCCACGGTGCCCTGCCGGGACTCAATTTTTAACACCTATTTTTAACACTAGCTTTTGTGCTAGTAAATTAAATTAATTCTTTTAAAAAAACCCAATTGTGTGTACTTTAACAAGTAAAACTAAGTTGGTTATAATGTGACAAAAATACAAGCAATAATAATAGCAAAATTATCCAATAGGAACCATGCAGAGAGTTTTATATTATAACTCATGTCCCCTTTCCTGCAATGTTATTAACTTCTATCCCCATTTTCCACATCAAGGAAATTAAGTTTGGAGACACAGAGTGACTTACCTAAGTCACAGGTCTGGTAGGTGGAGAGTTTCTCTCACTCCAGGGACCACAATCTACAAAATAAACTTGCATATTCTACAAAATATTTGTTACCATTGGAAGTAGGTAGGCAGAGTGTTACTAGCATCAAATTATGGCAGGAATAAAAAGAAAGGGTGGTGGGCTGGTCTTGCTTCTGCAGTTTAAGGGGGATCCCTGCGCCGAGATGTCTGGCTAAGTGGTCGTTGTAACAAGTGGCAGAGATGGTGAAAACATCAGGGAGCAGGTGGTGGCTGTTCCAGTTTCTTATCTCAGGAGGGAAGAGCTGCAGATGTCTTTACTGTGAATGAGGGAGAGAAACGCTAAAGCACAGAAATGTTCAGAACCAAAGAGCTGGATCACTCATGCTTCTAGAAAAGACATTGGCATCTTCTCATTGCTCATCTACTGTGCCTGGCACAGCCTTATTTTCTAGCTTTCTGAATGTGAGTTCCATCCATATCCTTTGCATAACGGTGGTACTGGGCTGTGGAGAGCTTGGAATGTGTGTCCATGGGGAAATGGGCTGTTCTGGTTATTATAAAACGGCCAAGGGAGGGCTCCATGGCACACCTCTGAGTAACCCAGGACACTCCTGTTTGGGAAATGCAAACCATCCATACGGCAGGGGCACAATTATAAAGATTGATCCTGTCACGGGAATGGTTTCAAATCTGACCAACCTCATGGCATACATTGGGGAAGCAATTGTGAAACCCCTTGATTCTTTGGATCTGGACATGCTGTACTGTGACAATGGTTTGTGTGTGACAGAAAATGTAGCTGTGTCTACCGGGAAAGACTGGGGAAATTTCTTCCTGTGGAGTTCTTTATAAAGCAAAAGTGCATGAAACTGTCAGTAATATTGTAGTCTATAAAGGGAAATTGCTCTTAGAGGCTAATATTGCACAATGACTACTTTTTTTGCTTATTTGGAAAAGATCTTTATCTCTTGGAGTATTAAGAAGTCAACATATAATTGCCACCCTATACATTGTGTTCTGGAGTGCCTGATTTATTGAAATCAGTGTGAAACCTATTTTAAATAAATATCTATTTCAAAACCAAGGCCAGACATGGTGGCTCATGCCTGTAATCCCACACTCTGGGAGGCTGAGGTGGGAGGATCACTTGAGGCCAGGAGTTCAAGACCAGCCTAGGCAACACAATCTCCACCAAAAAAAAAAAAAAAAAAAAAAAAAAAAAAGCAATTAGCCAGGCATGGTGGCACATACCTGTTGGTCCCAGCTACTCGGGAGACTGACGCAGGAGGATCGTTTGAGCCCAGGAGTTCAAGGCTACAATGAGCCGTGATGTGCCACTGCACTCCAGCCTGGGTGTGAGACCCTGTCTCCAAAAATAAAGAAGTCTGGAAATATTGACAGTATTTTTCTAATAGATTGAACCCACTTATTCTTCTGGGGTAAAGGCATAAGTTTACACCCGGGAAGTTGGACACATAAATCATCTGCAGCAATGTATGGTGGACGCAGGTGCAGCAGATGATGGGAACGTTGCTTTAAGGCACACCATGCATTGCGGTTTTGCACAACCTGTTGAACTAAGAATTCCTAGTGAGGGGCAGCACATTAAACATGTCATAACAATAAACTATTTATTATGGACAGTAGTCTGTTTTCAGACATTGTGGCTACCCCAAACAACTTTAAGTCAAAAGACATGATCATTTAGTTTAAACCTGTATAAAAAGTCAGTTTAAAAAGGGTGCAGTACTCTGTAATGTATTTTCTATATGGAAATCTTTCCTAATTGGTCCGTTTTTCTGATGATTAAACATCTGGCACACTATAAAAAGAATACAAGCCAGTGGTGTACTAGAGGACACTCATGACCGTGTTTCATCATTTTGAGATTCAATGACATTGAAGGGAGTAAAATAGAAAATATAATAGGTATAAATTTGTAATTATAAGGAATAGGAGGGAAGTTCTTGTTGGAACAAATTGGCTGCAAGGGCCCTCGTGTCGACTTTGCTCCTTTTGAAGAAAGGAGTGTGATGCTTTCACCCTGAGGGATAATCTGAGAGACTTCACCAGTGACACATACTTGACAGATGATATTAAAGCAGACTTTAACAAGCCAACGACAATGTGTTACTTATGAGCAGTAAGAAATACACAGTCTAACCAAAGTGCACCCTTTAGAAAGTGCTGGGCATATAAGTAGTGAGGCCTTTCATTATTCTAATACACATGTTGACTAAATGGACACTTTCTTCAATTCGGATGATAAGACGCCTCTTCCCAGTAGTTGGGATGGCTGTGCGTCTGTCTCAGGCACACATTCCGTGAGAAGCTGTGTAAGATTTCAGTTTATTTGGAGCATCACATCCTTTTTAAACCCTTTACTGAATATAAAATGAAGCCTGACCTCCTGAGTCTTGGAAAATGTGCATTTCTTAGAATTATTTAAACAATGAATCCTCCGGCTGGACTTGGTGGCTCACGCCTCTAATCCCAGCACTTTGGGAGACCAAGGGGAGTGGATCACCTGAGGCCAGGAGTTCGAGACCAGCCTGGCCAACATGGTGAAACCCCGTCTCTACTAAAAATACAAAAATTAGCCAGCTGTGGTGGTGCATGTCTGTAATCCCAGCTACTCGGGAGGCTGAGGCAGGAGAATCGCTTGAACCCAGGAGGTGGAGGTTGCAGTGAGCCGAGATCACACCACTGCACTCCGGCCTGGGTGACAGAGCGAGACTCTGTCTCAAAAAAAAAAAAAAGAAAAGAAAAGAATCCTTTTAAGTAGTTCATCAGCTTAAGCCATGTTGGCTGAACATTAAGACTTTGTCAAATCCTGGAAACATAGGTAATATCATTTGAAGGTATTAAATTTTAAGGAACAAAATAATATTAAAATTAGGAAGAATTATTTTGCCATAGGATAAAATAGAAATACTGCCATACATTTGACTTATTTGTTTGAAAATCTTTATGTGATTGTTGCTTCATTTTAAAAATCAGACCTCACAAACCTGAGCCAAGTTATGTGCAAAATAATATGCCAGTTGCACAGCCCTGGAGGCCAGTGTGAGCCCTGCCTCCATCTGCCTGCATGTGGGGTCTCCCTAGAAGGAAGCCTTTGGTAGGTGGGTGGGAAGATTAGGGTGCTCGAATGGGTACTGTGAGGAGGTGCAGTGGCACCAGGCTCTAGCAGCCTCCTGCCTCCAGGAGAGGCCCAGGTTGGGATCACTGCAGCGACCAACGCCTCGGATCACTCGAGGGCTAGAAGGCACCCACCAGGTGTGTGGACAGGAGCGCTCAGGGGCCTTGCACATTGGGCATATTATGGCGTCAGTTTCGGAATCAGCCTGCATGGAGTCGGACCAGGACACCCAGCCAGGATTCCGTCGTCGGGGAGGGGAACGCCCATGTGGCTTGTGTGAAGGGTGCTTCAGGGGACGCAAAGGCTCTGGTGGCTGGGAGGAGCTGAGGGATGACAGATACCCCAAGGATTCTGTGGAGCTGGTCGGGTTTGGTGATAGGGTGCTTGCAGGTGGCCGGTGTGAAGGGTGCTTCAGGGGACACAGAGGCTCTGATGCCTGGGAGGAGCTCAGGGATGATGGAGACCCAAGGGACTCTATGGAGGTCTTCGGGACTGATGACGGCATGGAGGCCAGAGGAGCCGGGGGAGCCCGTGGGGACACATGGAAGCTGGTGGGAGAAGCTTTCCCACGCCCCCCACGTGGCCGGTGGTTCCTAGCAGGTGCTGGTTTGTACACTGCCCCTGGGCGGACTGGGCGTGGAAGGTGATGGGAGCTGCCCTCCCTAGAGAGCTTCTTCAGGCGCCTGCAGGAGACAGGAGGCACAGGCTGCAGCCGGGAGCACTGGGCACCTGTGGACCTCCAGGGCCCCCCTGCTGACTTCACAAAGCTCTGCCTACCCCTGCCCAGGGCTTTAGTGACATAACGGCCGTGATCTCCCCTCCCAGATCAGCCCCAGGCCCTGGGGTGGCATCCTAGGTCCTGGTAGGAAGGAGGACACGGGAGAGAAGGGGAAGAGCCTCACTTTTCCAGCAGGAAAGTGTAGACCTCAAGGTTCTCCAATTCTTTCAAGAGAATTCTGCAGTCTGGAAAGCAGGAGATGGGTTATGGTGGCGAGGGAGGGAACTGGGACTTACAGGAGGCCGAGTGCGTGTGCCCTTAGGGGAGACCCCGGGATCGGGGATTAGACCCTGGAGCCCCAGCATCCCTGTCCAAGGCCACAGGGCCCCAGGAGTGATAGCCAGATGCCCGGTGGGCAGCGTTTTCTCATTTATAGGGTGCCTCCTGACACGCCCCATCATGGGGGTCACGACCACCTCCTGAGGAGAGAGGACAGGGTGGCCTCAGAGAGGGCTCAGCCATGTTAAACAGCTGCCCACATGGACCTGCAGCCCCTCCTGCATGTCCAGGTGGTCACTGGTCCCCTCCCCCACACGGTCCCCTCCTGGGCAACACCTGCTTCCTGGACCCCATGGCTTCATCCCATGGAGAGGGATCCCGGGTTCCAATTTCTCTCCTAGGAGGTTCCCTTCAGGCCTCTGAAAATGAATTCCTTGGAGACAAGCAGCATGTTCCTAGGATCAGGTGAAGCTGTCATCTCTGGGGGCTTCTGGGACCCTCAGAGCCTTACCTTTCAAAGTGATATATTTATTTCCGATCCTGAGCCATTCCCCCACTTCAGCTTGATCCTGAGAGACAAGAAAGAGGGTGCAGGCCGGGTCTCAGTCTCCTGTCCCCACAGCTGCAGACCCAGTGCTCGTGAATGACACACTTTCTCCGCCCAGCTCATGGAGCCTGTGTGCTTCTCTTTCACTGGTTTCTAAAGTGCGTAATAACCTTTTCTGGTTTCCTTCTCTGGAAAGCATGGAGGGGTTTTCTATGTGAGGCCTGCCCTGGGCATCCTCAGTCCCTGTTCCGCTGCTTGGGAAACACACACTCTTGGGTCTGCAGGTGCCTCTGAGCTGGCAGGGAGGATTCTGCTTCCGAGGAGGCCAGGGGCGACTCCAGTCTCAGGTGGGAGGCTCTCAGGGGCTCAGCACAGCCCCCAGAGCACCTCACACAGAGGCTGGGCCCCGAGGCACCTGCCCGGGAAGGCGGCTGATGAGCCCGGGCTCAGGGCCTGTCCTTCCACAGAGACCTCACCCCTCTCATGACCGGGTCCTCGCCGCTGAGTCCTGGGGTTTGGTTTTGCTCTGACGCCTCCCGTGCACCTCCACAGATGGTCTGGGGGCTTGGGTTGGAAATCCTATGCCCACTCCAACCCCTGCCTGCCCTGCTGTCCCTAGAGGGATGATGAGAGTTCCCATCACAGGAGCGCCTCTGGCTGATGTGGAAAAGTGGAAAAGAGAGCAGGAAAAATAGAAGCATTCTCTGCTGGGTGTGGGCTGAGGGCTCCTTACATTCTCGCTGTCCTCCTCTCTGGGAGGCACTGAGGACGGCTCCCTGGGAATGTAGAGGCGTAAGATAATCAGGATCACCAGGCTGAACACAACAAAGAGGACGAAATGGATGATCTGGGGAATGGAGCTGGGGCACAGCTCTGTACCGATAACACTGTGCAGAGGAAAGAGAATATCCATGTCAACTGCACTGCTGTCCTCAGGCAGCTGAGCCCTGGGCATCCCCTCTGGGACAAGTTACTGGGGCCCAGGTCCACATCACAGAGCTGGGGCCTCCCCCTCACAAAGGGCTCCTAAGGGTGGGGTGGGCAGTGGGAGGAGGAGGCTAAAGCCCAGCCCCACCCACCACCACCCACCCCTGCAGTTCCCTCCACCCTCCTGGCCTTCCGGATCCCTCCTTCCCACTCCACCTTCTCAACCTGTCAGAGACAGACCTGGCCCGTTTTCCGTCCTCTCACCCTGGCACACAGATGATACCTGGTTCATTGGAGAACTCTGCTCAGACTCTCTCAGTTTCACAGTTTTTGAGGATCTGGATTTGTCCCCGAAATTCCTGTTATTTCCAGGGATTATTGCTCCAGGGTCTCCTCTGCCTGCAATTCTAACCTCCCCACACAATATGTTCTTGCCTTGCTTCAACTCAGACATAGAGCTTACATTTTTATACTTGTTTATCATTGTGAGTTTTGAATAAATTTTTATAATTTTTGCTTCAATTAATCTTTACTGTCTTCAGCTAGACTTAATCAAAAATTAAATCAATTCTTTATTATTAAAATTCATAGGACTAAAAAAGTATAAAATTGAACTAAACCTTCAAAGAATATTTTTATATATTTGCAATATTTTTGCTTCTAAAATCAATAAAAGTTAAAGTGCATGAGAAATTTTGGAATATTTGGCATACACACACACACACACACATATACACACATACCCTGTGACAAATCAATTCAGTATTTTCAAATAGAAGAATCAAGCCTTTCTTTCAGTTCAGAAGCTTTCTTTTAGTGTTTCTTATGAGGTAGGATGGCTGGCAGCAAATTTTCTGTCTTTATCTGGGAATATCTTTATTTTTAAAAGATAGATTTGCTGGACATGGCATTTTTAGTTGACAATTTTTTTTCTTTCATTCTTTGATTATGCCATCCCATTGCCTTCCCATCTTTCTTTCTTTCTTTCTTTCTTTCTTTCTTTCTTTCTTTCTTTCTTTCTTTCTTTCTTTCTTTCTCTTTCTCTCTCTCTCTCTTTCTCTCTTTCTCTCTCTCTTTCTCTCTTTCTTTCTTTCTTTTTGAGACAGAATCTCCCTCTGTTTGTTGCCCAGGCTGGAGTGCAGTGGTGTGATCTCAGCCCACTGCAAACTCTGCCTCCCAGGTTCAAGCGATTCTCTGGCCTTAGCCTTCAAGTAGCTGGGATTACAGGTGTGCACCAACATGCCTAGCTAATTTTTTCTTTTTTTTTCTCTTTTTTTGAGATGGAGTCTCACTCCGTCGCCCAGGCTGGAGTGCAGTGGCGAGATCTTGGCTCACTGCAACCTCCACCTCCCGGGTTCATGCCATTCTCCTGCCTCAGCCTCCCAAGTAGGTGGGACTACAGGCGCCTGCGACCACGCCTGGCTAATCTTTTGTATTTTTAGTAGAGATGGCATTTCACTGTGTTAGCCAGGATGGTCTTGATCTCCTGACCTCGTGATCTACCCACCTCGGCCTCCCAAAGCTCTGGGATTACAGGCGGGAGCCACCGCGCCTGGTCTAATTTTTGTATTTTTAGTAGAGATGGGGTTTCACCATGTTGGCCAAGCTGGTCTCGAACTCCTGACCTCAGGTATTCCACCTGCCTTGGCCTCTCAAAGTGCTGGGATTACAGGCGTGAGCTGCCGTTCATGGTCTCACCATTGTTTCTGATCAGAAATCAGTGGCTAATTTTATCGTGGTGCTCTTGTACATGAGGAGAAGTTTTTGTCTTACTGTTTTCAATATTTGCTCTTTGTGTTTTCGTAGCTTGACACAAGGTGTGTAGGAGTGGATATATTGGTATTTATTTTACTGAAAGTAAACATTGATTCTATAGATTAATGTTTTATATCAAATTTGGTAAGTTTTCAGCCATTATTTCTATAAATAATTCTTTCCCCTTTTCTTTCTTTCTGAGACTCTCATTCTACATATGTTGTGCTTGACGTTTCATAAGTCATTTTTCTTTTTCTTTTTTGTTTGAGACAGAGTTTCGCTCTTGTTGCCCAGGCTGGAGTGCAATGGCGTGATCTCGGCTCACTGCAACCTCTGCCTCCCAGGTTCAAGCGATTCTCCTGCCTCAGTCTCCTAAGTAGCTGGGATTACAGGCATGCACCTGTAACCTCAGGTGATTTGCCCGCCTCGGCCTCCCAAAGTGCTGGGATTACAGGATTGAGCCACCGTGCCTGGCCCTTTTTAAGTTCTTTTAACATAAGTAACTGCTTTGAAGTCTTTGTTTGCTAAGTGTGACATCTGGGGACACAAAGACAGTTTTCCCCCACACTTGCCTGTTTCTTTTTGTCTTGTAACTTATCATTGAACACTGGATACTTTAGGTTATAGACTCTTCAACTCTGGATTCTGAATCTTTTCCGCTGAGAGTTGTTACTGTTTGTTCGTTTGTTTGTAACCAGCCTGTACTAAATTTGTAAATTCTGTGAGCAGCGTGTATCCGGAGCCGTCTCTGCTCATTTTTTGTTTGTTTCTTATGCATGGCTTCCCAGGAACCGCTCCTTTATCTGCGTGCTTGGTATTCTGCCAACAGTTGTCTGAATTTGTACACGAACACCTTGAGTCGGTGAGGCTTCCACTGTTGCTGATGGATCTACCCGTGGACTAGGGCGTGCACACACAGCTCAGGCCATCTGCTTTCCACAGGCATCTCCCCTCGCTGTGTCTTCTCTTCGCATGAGCTCAGGAACCGTCATCTGTCAGTGATGCTGGGTGGTTTGGGCAGGTTCTGGTCTCTGAGGAGAAGAGCAGAGCTACTGGTCCTTCCTGTTTGTTTGCATCAATATCCCTATTTGAAAATTCTCCAAATCATGTGAGTCCCTCTGGTGGTAACAGCAAAGCTGCTGGTTTCATGGCGTTCAACAAATGTGTTTTATATTTAGGTCTATGGGCCGGGAGTGGTGGCTCAGGCCTGTAATCCAAGCACTTTGGGAGACTGAGGTGGGCAGATCACCAGAAGTCAGGAGTTCAAGACCAGCCTGGCCAACATGGTGAAACCCCATCTCTACTAAAAATACAAAATTTAGCCAGGCATGGTGGTGGTCACCTGTCATCCCAGCTACTCAGGGGGCTGAGGCTGGAGAATCGCTTGAACCTGGGAGGCAGAGGTTGCAGTGAGCCGAGATTGCACACAATAAATAAATGATTTAATGCCCATACAATGGAGTGCCGTGCAGCTCTTAAAAAGAATGCCACGAGGATGGTCAACACATGCTGTTCTCCTGGATGAGGATTATTACCATCAGCTCCATTTTTCAGGTGAGAAAACTGAGACTTAGGGAGGCTACATAATTTTCCGAAGGTCACTCCCTACTGAATGTAGGAGCAGGGATCTGACAGCCACCTAATGACACCCTAGAACAGCACTCTCTCCTCCGCTCTCCTCCATGTCCCCCTCTGACTCCCGGGAGACCTCCCCAGCTTGCAGTCCCCAGGGCCCTGGTGTCCATAACCCGAGGAAGGGGAGGGGCCCATGAGATCTTGGACTTTCTCACTCTCTGAAAATGAGCAACTGAGAACGAGACTTGACTTTGCTTAGGAAGTATAAACAAATGCGACATTTATTGCCTATCAAATATTAGAAGCAGTTCGTCTATTTAACGTGTGTTAGTATCGGTGTTCCTTTTTATTCAAACTCTCTCTATTGAGCTCAAGAATCAAAGTCAGATAACTTTGTCGATAAATCCCTTCCTTTCTACACCCTTGCTACTCACTGTCTCAAGACCCAAACTCACTGGGACAAGGCGCTGCCCCTCCTGATTCAAGCCTGGTGTCTGCCTCTCACTATGCAAATCAGGAGCCAGACAGCCGCGGAGAGGGCGGCGGTGAGTGCACAGAGCACACGCATGCGTTCGGCTTGCCCCCACGCCGCCCCCGTTATCTCTGTGCGTGTGAAGATGAGAAATTTTCACTTCTCCAGTGAGTTACTGTACTGCTTTGACTCTCACAAGCGTGTCGACTTGATGGATTTTTGTAAATATAGCCGTCAGCGGATGCCTCTTGTCCCCATCTCGGGAACCATAACCCAGATTCCCAAAGGGGAGCTTGCCCACATGGATGGAAACTGAGGCCCTCAGAGAGGCCATCGGCCTTGATCCCTTGCTCCTATTCAAAGATCTCAACATTATTGCAGCCTTCCTTGGGGCAGCCAGACATTCCCGTGTGGAGGAAGCGTCCACTCACGTGCCATGGGAACTTTGTAGATTTCACTGTGATGCAAACAGCTGCCCGTGAGGCCCTCAGTGCCCAGGGCCCGTTGTTGGGTGCTTTTGAGGGTGGGAGGTGGAGGGGTTTCCATTTTGCTTGGGGGATCAGCATCACCCATTCTTTCTCCTTTTCCTCTGGGCTGGTGCTCAGATGGTGAGAGCACTGTGCTGATGAGGTGGGCCCTGGGGTGGAACCCATGGCCCCCTCCGACTCCCAGGAGACCTGGCCAGCTGCAGCGGCCCCCGTGGACCAGCAGAGGGACAAGAGAGGAGCTGACGTGGAGGAGCCGAGGCCCACTGGGGGCTCCTGGAGAGTCCGTCCGCCTGTGGACAGCAGCTCAGGTGTTCAGCTGCTTCCAGAGAGGAAGCACCTCTTCCTAGACTGAGGCATCGTTTTGGTAAAAAAAAAAAAAAAAAAAAAAAGTTGATTTTTTTCACCTTGGTGTAAATTTTTGTTTGTAACTATATGTTAGTTGTGACAGTTACCACTATTTGTTTTTCTTTTCTTTTTACGTTTTTGAAATTATTTATAGAGATGGGCTCTTGTTACGTTGCCCAGGCTGGTCTCAGACTCCTGGCCTCAGTGGTCCTTCCACCTTGGCCTCCCGAAGTGCTGGTACTACAGGTGTGAGCCGTGGCACCTGGCCTGTTTTTCTTTATTACCACAGATATTATATGGAGCCTTAAAGCCTCCTGGAGTGAGAGCTAGTTCATAACCATGCTGTTTGGAGAGAAGAAAACCACCTGGAATTCTTGTTCTCCAAAGATGTGGAATTATCATCCCAACAACAGCCGTCCTTCACTCTGTCCGGGGGCCTTCAGGTGTGGCCCATCCACCCCCTCAGTGTTTTCCTCGGTCCTGAGGTCACTCAGGTGTGGCCCATCCACCCCCTCAGTGTTTCCCTCTGTCCTGAGGATGCTCAGGTGTGGCCCATCCACCCCCTCAGTGTTTCCCTCTGTCCTGAGGATGCTCAGGTGTGGCCCATCCACCCCCTCAGTGTTTCCCTCTGTCCTGAGGATGCTCAGGTGTGGCCCATCCACCCCCTCAGTGTTTCCCTCTGTCCTGAGGATGCTCAGGTGTGGCCCATCCATCCCCTCAGTGTTTCCCTCGGTCCTGAGGATGCTCAGGTGTGGCCCATCCACCCCCTCAGTGTTTCCCTCCGTCCTGAGGATGCTCAGGTGTGGCCCATCCACCCCCTCAGTGTTTCCCTCTGTCCTGGGGTCGCTCAGGTGTGGCCCATCCACCCCCTCAGTGTTTCCCTCTGTCCTGAGGATGCTCAGGTGTGGCCCATCCATCCCTTCAGCGTTTTCCTCTGTCCTGGGGATGCTCAGCTGTGGCCCATCCCCTTAGTGTTTTACCTCCCACGTTCTCTATTTTTTGTTTCCAATCTTCCCACACAGGTGGAGAGAGGAGGGGATCCAATTGCCTGTGAGGAGGACACAGCTCCTGGGTGGACCCTGCAGATTGTGAAGTTCAAGTCACAGCTCCTGGGAAGGTCTCTGTGTGTAAAGATTGTGGGGGCGAGATAGATTCAGGGACCACACTCTGCTCTGCTCTATATCTCTGAGTGTCGATCCAGCTGCCTTGTGACCAGGACACTTGGAAGAACCATGGACCCTGCAAGAGGGCAGGTTCAGAGAGTGAGATGAGCACACTTGAGGGATTAAAGTGTAACTTGAACCACTGCCTTGCAAACTGCGTGAGGGCATGCAGGTGTGTGTCTGTGGGTGTGTGTGCTGGGAAGATGTTTAGCAGCCTCATGGAGGGGTAACTGACATACAAGAGAACAAGGCCAGGCATGGTGGCTCACGCCGTAATCCCAGCACTTTGGGAGGCCGAGGTGGGTGAATCACCTGAGGTCAGGAGTTCGAGACCAGCCTGACCAACACAGTGAAACCGCATCTCTACTAAAACTACAAAAAATTAGCCAGGTGTGGTGGTGCATGCCTGTAATCCCAGCTACTCTGGAGGCTGAAGCAGGAGAATCACTTGAACCCGGGAGGCGGAGATTGCAGTGAGCCGAGATCACGCCACTGCACTCCAGCCTGGGCAACAAGAGCGAAACTCCATCTCAAAAAAAACAAATTTTTTTGATCAATGTTGACACACGTACGCACCCGCAAAACCATGACCAGGAGCATCACGACTCCCAAAGCTTCCTCATGATTCTTTGGAATCCCTCCCTACAGCCCCTCCCACACCACCCCATCCCAAGCAGCCACTGATTTGCTTTCTGTCACAGTCAGTAGATTTGCAATTTCCTTAATACCATGTCTGAGCCCAGTAGGCAAATACTTTCTTTTTATTGGGTGGACATTTCGTGGCATGTTCAAGCTTTTGAATTCAGAGAGTGAGAGGATGAGAAAGAAAAGGCTGGTCTGGGTCACTCCTGGGAGGCCTGGCCCTAAGCACCGTGTGGCTCACGTGCCCTGGAGCCCCTGTGCACCGGTCATCCCTGACTGCCCTGCCGCAAGCTTTATAGCTCCCCCATCACCTTTCCCGGACCAGCTGGTACAATCTCAAACTTTTCACCAATTCTGACATCTAAACAACTAACGCCAGAGACAGGCTCTGTGGGACCAGCAGCTGCGACCTCACCTCCGGTCACTGGAACACTGAGCTGTTAAATGAAAGGTGCGTCCTTTCTCCCTTTCCAGGGAGAATGCTCTGCTCTTCTTCCTGCTGGATCCCTCCTCTACCTGCTTCTCTCCCACCTCCTGCAGCCCCCGGAGCCCCGTGGCGATGCAGGCAGACTCATCTGTACCCTCATTCTGTTTGCAGAACCACATCTCTGGGCTGGCTCTGCCCAAGGACACCACACCTTCTCCATTCCTCTTGCCCTTTCCCCGTGGGGTGCAGGTGGGGCTGGGCCCACGATGGCATCAGGCCCACTCTCTCTAATGCAGGAAGGGATCAGATGCCGGGAGCCATGGAGATTGTCCTCATCCCGATCATCTCCCAGCTTAGCAAATGATGATGAAGAAGTTTTCCCACAAGATAGGCATAGCCTCTGGGACAGTGCCTCGTTTATTTTCTAGCACAAAATAGACGTTAGAACAGTGGGGCTTTGTGGGCATATGGAGATTTTTAAGGCTCCTTAGGAGGCAGGTAAAAATTTCTTCAATAAGACAAAACACTATCCCCAAAGAAAATGATTGATAAATGTGGGGAAAAGCAAGAGAGATCAGATTGTTACTGTGTCTGTGTAGAAAGAAGTAGACATGGGAGACTCCATTTTGTTCTGTACTAAGAAAAATTCTTCTGCCTTGGGATGCTGTTAATCTATAACCTTACCCCCAACCCCGTGCTCTCTGAAACATGTGCTGTGTCAACTCAGAGTTAAATGGATTAAGGGCGGTGCAAGATGTGCTTTGTTAAACAGATGCTTGAAGGCAGCATGCTCCTTAAGAGTCATCACCACTCCCTACTCTCAAGTACCCAGGGACACAAACACTGCGGAAGCCCGCAGGGACCTCTGCCTAGGAAAGCCAGGTATTGTCCAAGGTTTCTCCCCATGTGATAGTCTGAAATATGGCCTCGTGGGAAGGGAAAGACCTGACCGTCCCCCAGCCCGACACCCGTAAAGGGTCTGTGCTGAGGAGGATTAGTATAAGAGGAAGGAATGCCTCTTGCAGTTGAGACAAGAGGAAGGCATCTGTCTCCTGCCTGTCCCTGGGCAATGGAATGTCTCGGTATAAAACCCGATTGTATGCTCCATCTACTGAGATAGGGAAAAACCGCCTTAGGGCTGGAGGTGGGACCTGCGGGCAGCAATACTGCTTTGTAAAGCATTGAGATGTTTATGTGTATGCATATCTAAAAGCACAGCACTTAATCCTTTACATTGTCTATGATGCAAAGACCTTTGTTCACGCGTTTGTCTGCTGACCCTCTCCCCACAATTGTCTTGTGACCCTGACACATCCCCCTCTTCGAGAAACACCCACAAATGATGAATAAATGCTAAGGGAACTCAGAGGCTGGCGGGATCCTCCATATGCTGAACGCTGGTTCCCCGGGTCCCCTTATTTCTTTCTCTATACTTTGTCTCTGTGTCTTTTTCTTTTCCAAATCTCTCGTCCCACCTTACGTGAAACACCCACAGGTGTGTAGGGGCAACCCACCCCTACAGATACATTGGATGATAGTAAAATTAAGAATTTTTTCATCAATAAGAGAGTAAAAAGATGGGGCCGGGTGTGGTGGCTCACGCTGTATCCCAGCACTTTGGGAGGCCAAGGCGGGAGGATCACTTGAGGTCAGGAGTTAGAGAACAGCCTGAGCAGCTTAGCAAGACCTCGTCTCTACGAAAAATGAAAAATTGGCTGGGCGTGGTGGTGCATGCCTGTGGTCCCAGATACTTGGGAGGCTGAGGCAGGAGGAACACTTGAGCCTGGGAGGCTGAGGCTGCAGTGAGCCATGATTGTGCCACTGCACTGCAGCCTGGGTGACAGGGTGAGACTCTGTCTCTTAAAAAAAGAGGTGGGGAATGGAGGAGGGTAAAAAGATAAATCACATGTAGAGTATAAAGAGAATTCCTGTAAGTTAATAAGAAAAATGCATGCGGGACTTAATACCTAGGTGACGGGTGGATAAGTGCAGCAAACCACCATGGCACATGTTTACCTGTGTAACAAACCTGCACGTTCTGTACATGTATCCCAGTACTTAAATAAAGTTTTTTAAAAAATTAAGAAAAAAGCTGGCAGACCAATAGGACAATGGGTGAAAGAAATGAAGAGGGACAAAAAAGGGAAGGAAGAAAGGGAGGGAGGGGGGAGGGAGGAGGGGGGAAGGGAGAGGAAAGAGCAAATGAACATCCAAATGGCCAAAAAGCATTTAAAACATGCTCAGCCTCATAAGCCATCAAATTTAAACCACAGTGAGAAACCAATATTACACCTACCAGAATTGCTAAAATTAAAAACACTGTTGATACCAAGTTTGGGCAAGAATGTGGAGTAACTGAAACTTCATATACTATTGGGAATGTAAAATAGCACAACTACTTTGGAAAACCCTTGGGTAATACCTACTAAAGGAGACCACACATGTGATCCCCACATTCCACTCTTACGCATAGACCCAAAAGAACTGTGCACTGTGCACGTGTTCACCAAATGACGTGCGACGTGCACTAGGATGTTTATACCAGCACCCTTCACAATAGCCCCAACTTCCAACAGGAGAGTGGATAAGTACCTCTCAGTATATTTATAGAGTAAAATTCTTACAGCACTGAAAATGGATTCACAGCCACCATGCACAGTTGGTGAATCTCAGCAACATACTGTTGAGCAGAAGCAGCCAGACACAAATGAATGCGTACGGCACGATTCTGTTTCTGCGAAGCCCTAAAACAGGCCAAAGAAACATCTGGTGAGAAGTCAGGATAGCGATTATCTTAGTGCTCTGGGGGAGGGTGGCTCTGGTAATATTCTATTTCTTGATCTGAGGGCTGGTGTCCCAGACGTATTCACTCTACGATAATTTACCAAGCTGCCCTCTGGGGATTGGTGGCTTCTCTGTATGAATATTACACTCAATTAAAAAAACACACTCAATAACAAAAACCTAACAATCAAATTCAGAAATGAGCAAGGCTGGGCGCGGTGGCTCACGCCTGTAATCCTCGCACTTTGAGAGGCCGAGGCGGGCAGATCACCTGAAGTCAGGAGTTCGAGACCAGCCTGGCCAACATGGTGAAACCCGTCTCTACTAAAACTACAAAAATTAGCCGGGTGTGGTGGCACATGCCTGTAATCTCAGCTATTTGGGAGGCTGAAGCAGGAGACTCGCTTAAACCTAGGAGGTGGAAGTTTCAGTGAGCCGAGATCACGCCACTGCACTCCAGCCTGGGTGACAGAGTGAGACTCTGTCTTAAAAAAAAAAAAAAAAAAAAAAAAAAAAGGCTGGGCGCGGTGGCTCACACCTGTAATCCCAGCACTTTGGGAGGCCAAGGCGGGCGGATCACAAGGGCAAGAGATGGAAACCATCCTGGCTAACACGGTGAAACCCCTTTTCTACTAAAAATACAAAAAATTAGCCAGGCGTGGTGGCGGGCGCCTGTAGTACGAGCTACTCAAGAGGCTGAGGCAGGAGAATGGTGTGAACCCGGGACGCGGAGCTTGCAGTGAGCCAAGATCGCGCCACTGCACTCCAGCCTGGGTGACAGAGCGAGACTCCCTCTCAAAAAAAAAAAAAAAAAAAAAAAAAGAGCAAAGGACTCGAATGGACATTTCTCCATACTCAGCATCACTAATCATTAGGGAGATGGAAATGACAACGAGATTCCTTTTCACTCCTACTACATTGACTAGTATCAAAGAAAACCCAGAATATAACGAATGTTGGTAAGGATGTGGAGAGACTGGAACCCTTGTGCACTGCTGGTGGGAATGTAAAATAGTGCCGCCCCTCTAGAAAACAGTAAGGCAGTTCCTCGGAAATTACACCTAGGGACGCTCCAGCAATTCCACTTCTGGGTATATATCCCCCAAAAATTGAAAGCAAGGAAATAAAGAGACACTTGCCCATCCCTGTCGATAGCTGTGTTATTCACAATAGATAAAAGGTGGGAGCAACTCAGCCGGGTGCGGTGGCTCACGCCTGTAATCTCAGCACTTTGGGAGGCTGAGGCAGGCGGATCATGAGGTCAGGAGTTCGAGACCAGTCTGACCTACATGGTGAAACTCCATCTCTACTAAAAATACAAAAAAAAATGGCCAGGCGCGGTGGCTTATGCCTGTAATCCCAACACTTTGGGGGGCCGAGGCAGGCAGATCACCTGAGGTCAGGAGTTTGAAACCAGCCTGGCCAGCACGGTGAAACCCTGTCTCTACTAAAAATACAAAAAAATTAGCTGGGCGTGGTGGTGGGAGCCTGTAGTCCAAGCTACTCAGGAGGCTGAGGCAGGAAAATCACTTGAACCTGGAAGGTGGAGGTTGCAGTGAGCTCAGATTGCGCCATTGCATTCCAGCCTGGGCAACAAAAGTGAGACTCCATCTCAACAGAAAAAAAACAAAAAAATTAGCCAGGTGTGGGGACACGTGCCTGTAATCCCAGCTACTCAGGAGGCTGAGGCAGGAGAATCGCTTGAACCCGGGAGGCAGAGGTTGCAGTGAGCAGAGATCGTGCAACTGCACTCCAGCCTGGGTGACAGAGTGAGACTCTGTCTCAAAAAAAAAAGAATTCTAGCTTGTTGCTTAGTGTGTGTGTGTATACATATATGCGCATGCACACATACACACACATATAAAACGGTGTGTTAAAATACATTATTTCATATGAATGCTGGAAAATCATAGTTTTTTTTTTTTTTTTTTTTTTTTTGAGACGGAGTCTCACTCTGTCGCCCAGGCTGGAGTGCAGTGGTGCGATCTTGGCTCACTGCAAGCTCCACCTCCCAGGTTCACGCCATTCTCCTGCCTCAGCCTCCTGTGTAGCTGGGACCACAGGCGCCTGCCACCAAGCCTGGCTAATTTTTTGTACTTTTAGTAGAGATGGGGTTTCACCGCGTTAGCCAGGATGGTCTCGATCTCCTGACCTCATGATCTATCTGCCTGCCTCAGCCTCCCAAAGTGTTGGGATTACAGGCGTGAGCCACCGCGCCCGACCAAAAACTTAGTCTTTTAAATAATCATTAATAATAATGATAGGCTGGGCACGGTGGCTCATGCCTGTAATTCTAGAACTTTTGGAGTCAAAGGTGGTCAGATCACTTGAGCCCAGGAGTTCAAGACCAGCTTGGGCAACATGGGGAAACACCATCTCTACAAAAGATACAAAAAAAAAATTAGCTGGGCATGGTGGTGCATGCCTATAGTCTCAGCTACTGAGGAGGCTGAGGCAGGCGGATCAGTTGAGCCCAAGAGGTCGAGGCTGCAGTGAGTGCTGATCTGCTACTGCAGTCCAGCCTGGGTGACAGATTGGGACCTCATCTCAAAAAAAGGGAGAGGGAGAGGAAGAGGGGAGAAGAAGAGGAAGAGGAAGAAAGAAGAAGGAGGAGGAGGAGGAAGAGGAAGAAGAAAAAAGAAGAAAAAGAAGAAGAGAAGAAGGAGGAAGAGAAGAAGGAGGAGGAGGAAAAGAAGAAGAAAAAGAAAGAAGAAAAGGAAAAAGAAAAAAGAAGAAGAAGAAGAACAACAACAACAAGAAGAAGAAATTAATAATAGTAATCATCATCATCATCATCATCTGGGCTTACTTCCAGTGTCACTATGGTTCTATTATTCTGGAGAAAATAAGTCTTGTTTCTCATTTATAACAGAATACATACATGAAATAGGCTAGAGCAGACTGGAGAAATTATTTTGAACCCCGGGGTCTTAGGCAAAAACGTTGTTTGCTAAACTATGTAATTCCTGGAGTCTTGGATGTCGGCGCACCCAGCACTGCGATGCTCTGCACATTGCGTGTGTTTGTGTTTGTAATTCGAACATTGTGTTAGAATGGGCTGACACTGTCACAGTGGGGGACATCACTGGCTAAGCCTTATTTATTCTGGGAATCTGCCTCTTGGGATCTAAATTTTTACATGTCAGAAACAAATGTTATAGGGAAAATTACACCAGTGGACTTCTGAGAACTAAATGCAATGATCATATTCTGAAACACATGTGTCTAGAGTGTGTGCATGTGATCAAGTAGATTCTAGGTACTGCATAACGGTTGCACTTCCTCTGTTTCACTAACGGCGATTTCCAGACGTATGTTTTGAAGTGTTTAAGAAGCAATTTAGAACTCCAGAGAGCATGCATTAGGACACTGGAAAATCTACAAGAAACTGGAGCAACTTGTTTTTGAAGAATGCTTCATGTTAACATGGAGCTGTAAACTGTCTTTGTGAAAGTTGCTGTTCTGATTGCTGTATTTTTCTTCATCTTTCCCAATGAGTACAGCAGTTTTATGTCTACGTTGGCTTCTTTCTTTCTTTCTCCTATCAAAAACATTGTAGCTTTATGAGAACTTTATTTTGTCTTGTTATGGTTCTTTACCTACACCAAAATAAATGCAGATGATTTTCTATTGACATAGGACATAGGAAGTCTTTTCTACTTACTTATCAAGTAATGTAGATTTACAGTCTATTTTCATGAGGTTCTTTCAGAGGATACAAGTTTTTTTGTTTTTGTTTTTGTTTTTTTTTTTTGAGATAGAGTCTCGCTCTATCGCCCAGGCTGGAGTGCAGTGGCGTGATCGCTGCTCACTGCAAGCTCCGCCTCCTGGGTTCATGCCATTCTCCTGCCTCAGCCTCCTGAGTAGCTGGAACTACAGGTGCCCGCCACCATGCCCGGCTAATTTTTTTTTGTATTTTTAGTAGAGACGGGGCTTCACCATGTTGGCCAGGATGGTCTCGATCTCCTGACCTCGTGATCTGCCCGCCTTGGCCTCCCAAAGTGCTGGGATTACAGGCATGAGCCACCGCGCCCGGCCTAGAGGATACAAGTTTTAACTCTCACACCAAAGCAAAATTTCATCCAATTAATTCATCCAATCATATTTTTAAATATGTTGGGTTCAGCAAAGATATATGCATAGTTATACAGGCATTTACCCTTCATTGCTTCTTATTATTTTTAATTCCATCTAGATATCACCACATAAAAATTCCATTATCATTAAGAAATAAACACAGAAACATCTGCTAGAAACATTTGAACTCACATAGTTGAACTCTAGTTAATGTTTTGATCCTTGAGTAGTTTGAATATGGAGCATGGAATCAAGCCCTGGACAACTGCTTCTGCACACTGCTTCTGCACACTGCTTCTGCAAACTGCAAGCAAACTGCTTCTGCACACTGCTTCTGCAAACTGCTTCTGCAAACTGCAAGCAAACTGCTTCTGCACTCTTTTTTTTTTTTTTTTGAGAAGGAGTCCACTCTGTGGCCGGGGCTGGAGTGCAGTGGCGCGATCTCGGCTCACTACAAGCTCTGCCTCCCGGGTTCACCCCATTCTCCTGCCTCAGCCTCCTGAGTAGCTGGGACTGCAGGTGCCTGCCAACACGCCTGGCTAATTTTTTGTATTTTTACTAGAGACAGAGTTTTGCCATGTTGGCCAGGCTGGTCTCGAATCCCTGACCTCAGGGGATCTGCCCGCCTCGGCCTCCCCGTGTGCTGGGATTACAGGGGTGAGCCACTGTGCCCAGCCAGAAGAAAGTAAGCTTTTTAAGGTAAGACTGTGCATTTCACTTCCTTGTTTTTACCTAGTGATTTCTTTTCTTTTCTTTTCTTTTTTTTTTTTTTTTTGAGACGAAGTCTCGCTCTTGTCCTCCAGGCTGGAGTGTGATGACGCGATCTCAGCTCACTGCAACCTCTGCCTCCTAGGTTCAAGCGATACTCCTGCCTCAGCCCCCTGAGTAGCTGGGATTACAGGCACCTGCCACCATGCCCGGCTAGTTTTGGTATTTTTAGTAGGGATGGGGGGTCTCACCATGTTGGCCAGGCTGGTCTCGAACTCCTGACCTCAGGTGCTCCACCCACCTCGGCCTCCCAAAGTGCTGGGATTACAGGCATGAGCCACCGTGCCGGGCCACCTACAGTGATTTCTACATAACAGGCTTAGCAAAATATTTCTTAACTGTAACAGACTTTTCCAGACAACACTGACAGGATTATTGCCTTCAGATCCCACATGGACCAGGTAAGATTCTTAGGAAAACCTGGCAAAATCAGTGACAGTGATGGTCGCCCTCCCAAAAAAATTGCACTTAGGGGTTATTTTATAAAAAGTACTGTTGTTTGGCTGGGCGTGGTGGCTCACGCCTGTAATCCCAGCACTTTGGGAGGCTGAGGCAGGCGGATCACGAGGTCAGGAGATCGAGACTATCCTGGCTAACACAGTGAAACCCTGTCTCCACTAAAAAAACACAAAAAAATGGCTAGGCACGGTGGCTCACGTCTGTAATCCCAGCACTTTGGGAGGCCGAGGTGGGTGGATCACGAGGTCATGAGATCAAGACCATCCTTGCTAACATGGTGAAACCCCGTTTCTACTAAAAATACAAAAAAAAAAAAAAATTAGCCAGGAGTGGTGGCGGGCACCTGTAGTCCCAGCTACTCGAGAGGCTAAGGCAGGAGAATGGCATGAATCTGGGAGGCGGAGCTTGCAGTGAGCCGAGATCATGCCACCACACTCCAGCCTGAGCGACAGAGCGAGACTCTGTCTCAAAAAAAAAAAAAGTACTGTTTTTTGTACCGTTTAAAATCTACTGTGAAATGTTACTGATTAATATATATGTATATATAACACATATATTTATATATGTATAATATATATGTCTATGTATATATGTATATATCTTTTTTTTTTGAGATGGAGACTCACTCTGTCACCCAGGCTGGAGTGCAATGGTGAGATCTCGGCTCACTGCAACCTCCGCCTCTCAGGTTCAAGCAATTCTCTGCCTCAGCCTCCCAAGTAGCTGGGATTACAGGTGACTGCCACCACGCCTGGCTAATTTTTTTTTTTTTTTTAGTAGAGACGGGGTTCTACCATCTTGGCCAGGCTGGTCTTGAACTCCTGACCTCACGATCCACCTGCCTCGGCCTCCCAAAGTGCTGGGATTACAGGCGTAAGCCACTGCGCCCGGCCTATATATATGTATATATCTTAACTTGAGGCGTATGAGAGGGATTTACACAGGAGAGAAATCCCTATATTTTCCTATTCAGTAGCCTTTCCTCCTATACTGAATAAATAGCAACATCATTTAACAAAGAAATTTTCATAAATATTTCTGTTCAATTTTCCAAGAAATAGAAAAACTGTCTTTTTCTCGAACCAGCCAGTGAAATCCACACAGTGTAAAGGGTGTCAGGGTCTCCAAAGCAGCCCAGAAACCCCATGCTCCTGGAAGGAACATGAGCCTCAAGACAATGCTGAGAACCCCCAGGCTGAGCCCTCATCCTGCACTGAAGCATGGGGAGACCAGGAAGAGGAACGGCCAGCCCAGGGCCACGAAGGCATTGGGAGCAGTGGCTGCAGTGCTGTCCTGAAATTCTCTGTCCAGCCAGCGAGTCTTTCTCCTGTCTGTTCACACAGGGTGGTGGCTCACCAGGGGAGCAGTCCTGCGCCTTCCTCTCAGGCTTTCCTCCAGCATGGCTCTTTTCATGGAATCCGGTGTCTTCAGGGCCAAGGGGAGGTGCCCACCTGGAGCCCTCTCCCACAACCCCTGGATCATGCTCTGGGTACCCCAGGCCCCACGGTTCCCTGCCCCAAAAGCCCCAAGCCCCTTTCAGGGCCTAGCGCAGGCCTCTTGCATGGATCTCTCCTGAAGGGTGGACCACAGAGCTAGTAGGCCTGAGAGGTGGGCATAAAACAGCTGTTTGCAGGGCTGCTTGGAGCCGGGGCTGACCAGAGGTCGGGGTGCTGGGCCCTCCCCACTGCAGTCCAGCATAGAACCCGGCGGCGGCCAAGAATTCTCAATGGGAATAAAGTCACTTTAACAGCAGATTTCTCCAGGGTGGAGCTAGAACATATTTTATTTACCAATTTGTTCATTAATTTATAAGTTGATTTATAAATATTTAGACCAGCAGTTCTCAAACATTTTGTGCTGAGGATCCCTTTGCATTCTAAAAGATTGTTGAGAACCCCAAAGAGTTTTTGTTCGTGTGGGTTACATCTATCAATGTTTACCATATTGTAATTTTAAACTGAGGCATTTTAAAAATATTTATTCATTAAGTTTTAGAAAAATAACAATAAGCCCATTATACAGTTATACAAGTAACACACTTTTTGTTTTGTGTTTAAGAAAACTAACTCTATTTTCCAAGACAACCAAAAAACTGTAGTGAGAAGAGTGGTTGGAGAGCTTTGCAAATCTCTTCACGGCCTGGATGAAGAGCAGACAGCTGAGTTCTCATCTCTGCTCGGCCTTCAGTCCGTGTTGCGATGTGTTGTCGGGCTGAAGCATACGAAGAAATTCCAGACTCCCGCAGAGAGGAAACTAGAAAAGGGAGCCATGTTTCAGAGCTGTTTCAGAGCTTTTTCAGAGAGCTGCGGGTGTTCTGATTTGATGCTACTCCAGAACTCAACGAGTAGCAGTTTCCCAAGGATTAGCTGCTGGGGCCAGAGAAGGGTTTGGAGAGTGAGGCCCAGGGTGCAAACTCAGGGAGGCGCTGGTTCTCAGGGGTGTGCAGCTGCTGACCCGGCACCTCGTTCCCTTCAACCTAATACCCACCCTGCTAGATGCAAAGTGAAATTTGAATCCAGAGTGATAAACTTTTGCTCTCTGCTCCATCAAAATTCATTCATTGTTCTTGGACTTTGAGTGGATCTTTTGCCCATGCATGTTTGCACGGGCATGGAACCGTCAGGACTGGGATTTCATCTTACTCCACTACAAACTAATCATTAACTTGTTACTGTTGCATGGATGCTGGCAAAAGAGTTGAGATTCCTGTGTCAGAGACAAAGGACTTTATTATTCACAGCATGCTCACACAGCAAGCAGAGCGGGCAGCAGCCTGTTTTGCACTTGTTCCCTCTGTCCCCCAAGTCCTGCAGAGGTGATGCAGAGGATCTGAGATAGATGCTACACACACAGTGGGTTTGCGTTGCAGCTGAGGAGCACTGAGCTTGGAGGCCCATCGCTTTTGTAGCATGCAGTAAGCAAGCCTGCTGTTTGTCCCGGAGGGAGACAGTAGCTCATTCCTCAAGGCTGCTCACTACAAATATAAATCTTAGAAACAGTTTGGATGAAAAGAGTGCCCAAGCTTTGCATTCTTGGCACACCCAGAAAGACCTGTGGGAGCGTGAGAGATCCACAGAGGATGATCTTTTCCTAACGGAAGCATGAAGCATTGGTCATCTGGAAAATATTGGTTCACTGAGTTATGTGGATCCTCCAAATGTTGACACGTTTCTTTGCACAACATCAAAAAAGCACATTTATTTTTATGTATTTATTTATGTGTGTACTTTTTTTTTTTTTTTTTTTGAGATGGAGTCTCATTCTGTGGCCCAGGCTGGAGTGCAGTGGTATGATCTCAGCTCACTGCAACCTCCGCCTCCTGGGTTCAAGCGATTCTTCTGCCTCAGCCTCCCGAGTAGCTGGGACTACAGGTTAGCGCCACCACACCCAGCTAATTGTTGTATTTTTAGTAGAGACGGGGTTTCACCATGTTGGCCAGGATGGTCTCGAACTCCTGACCTCAGCTGATCCACCTGCCTCGGCCTCCCAAAAGCAACTTTTCTTGACATTGGGAGTGTAGAGCAGTAGGGAACACAGAGCTGGCACATCGGGGATCCACTGCCTTGATCTGAATTAGTTTTACCCACGGTCATTTTGTACCTTTTACACTAAATGTCAACATGATGAAAAGGGCAAATAATGTCTTAACAGTCACATGAAAATACTTTTACTTCACAGACCTCTGAATAAGTCGTGGGAGCCCTCGGGTCCTGCAGACCACAAGGGAGGAGCGACTGATGTTCACTTTGGAGACGCGGGCTTCTGATTGCACCCTTGCCCCAGGCCCCGTGAACTCCAGGAAAGGATCTTCCAGGGACACAGACAACAGAACAAAATACTTGTTTGTCTTCAAGGACTTCAGGGTCTTCAGCATGTTCAAACCCACAGGTGCCTTCGGGGACCAAGAGGCAGAGAGATGGGAGGAGCGGCTGGGTGGGGCCCGGGCAGAGCGGAGGACACAGGTGTGAATTTGTGCGCAGCCGCTGCTCCCTCCGGCCAGCCGTGGCCAAGTGGACATTCGGACCCAGAGCGGCCAGATCTTGTAATTTCCAAGAAAGCCAGAAACCCAGATTTTTATATAAAATTTCTGAAATGTTGAAAGTTGGCAACTAATTGTCTTTTTTTTTCCTTTGAGTCGGAGTCTCGCTCCGTCGCCCAGGCTGGAGTGCAGTGGCACAATCTCGGCTCACTGCAAGCTCCGCCTCCCGGGTTCACACCATTCTCCTGCCTCAGCCTCCCTTGTAGCTGGGACTACAGGCGCCCGCCACCACGCCCTGCTAATTTTTTTGTATTTTTAGTAGAGACGGGGTTTCACTGTGTTAGCCGGGATGGTCTCGATCTCCTGACCTCGTGATCCGCCCATCTCGGCCTCCCAAAGTACTGGGATTACAGGCGTGAGCCACCGCGCCTGGCCGGCAGCTATTTATCTTAACAAAACAAATCTGTGAGGCTAAACAGAAGACCCCCAGGCTGGGTTCAGGCTATGGGTGCCAGTGTGCAGCCTCTGGTCTCGAGGGAGAGCCAGACACATACATCATTACAACATGAGCTGATGTGGGGTTACAAGGTGCCCTGGGAGCAGAGAGAAAGAAGGGCCTGATAATCACAGCTTCCCTTTCCTGAGAACTTGCAGGTACCGGGGGGTCTACACACCACGGCTTCACGTAATCCACTTGGCAACCTCACAAGGTAGGAATCATGATGACCCGCGCTATTTTATAGAGGAGGAAACTGAGACTTAAGGTGCATAAGTAACTGACCAGGCCACAGCTCTCCCCTCGCCTCCCGCAGCTCTCCCCTCACTTCCACCTCTCTGTCCCTCTGGGTTTCTTGCTGCACTCATAGGAAGCAGGCTTCTGCCTTGGGGCCTTGGCATATGCTGTCTCCTTCTGTCTGGATGGTTCTTTCCCCAGAAGAACTTCCCCCTCCACTGCATTCAGGCAGCTACTGAAAACCACCTTCTCACAGAGCCCTTCCCTAACTCCCTGTCCCATGATAACCACACACACACACACACACACACACACACACACTGTACACCCTCACCCTGCTTTATTTCCTTCTGTGTATAATTTCCAGAAATTACTGGATTCCTGTTCCTGTTTATTTTCTATCTGCTGTCCCTGCCAGTGCCATCCCCACTAGAATGCAGCTGCCTGCGTGAGGTCACCTGGCACCTAGGACAGCGCTGGTCCCTGTGAGTGCTCCCTAACTGTGCCGCCTGGATGGAGGGAGACCTACCGCTGGGCTCAAGACGCAGGAACACGAGGCACACACAGTTATGACTCATCAGACCCTTGCAATTTACTTCAAAAGAGTCTAATGACAACGAACTGTAAAACGCTGTGAGAAATCGGCACAGGGAGGGAGAGGTGAGCTGAGTGTGAGATCGGGACAGGCCCCGTCTGGGGGGATGTGGTGCTTGGGCTCCAGAACACCCCCCCGGGGTCTTTCCCACAGGCACAGCCACCCAAGGAGAGCTCACCTCGGCCGGCCACAAGCAGGTTACCTACTCAATTCTTCATGCACAAACAGTAGTGACAGACTCACAATATGAAATTGACTGACAACCCAATTTCAAAAATAACTTATGGGAGCCTTCCCAAAAGAAGATAGCAAGTGGCAGATACATGTATGAAAAGGGGCTCAACCTCACTCTTCATTGGGGAAACTCAAATGAAAACCACGCTGAGATACTGCAGTGCTCCAGCAGAATGGCTGAAATTAAAGGCTGGCTGTACCCCGTGTGGGTGTAGATGTGGGGCAGTTAGGACCCCCGTGCACGGTTGGTGAGCATATTAATTGGTACCACCACTGCACAGAAATGTCTGGAAATCCCTCCTCTTCCCTAACATATGCGGGTCCTTTGACCCACATGTTTCTCTCTTGTTCTATATTGAAGAGAAATGAGTGTGTATGTTACAGAAACACCAGGGGTTTGTCTAGGTGCTGCTGCTCGCCACACAAAAAGCCAGTCACTGAGACAAGGAGCATTGCCAGAGAAGAAGCTTTAATCCCGTGCTGCAGCCCAGGAGATGGGAGATCAGTCTCAGCCCATCCCCTGACCCACGAAAATCAGGGGTTTATGTAGCAGAGAAGAAATGTAACCATGTGTGTGAAAACAGGAATCAGGGAGGGGCGAGGAAGAGTCGGTCACCAGGAAGCAGGTGGTGGGTTAGGCAATTCCCAGGCTGGAGGGTGTGGGGGTCTTGGGAGTTTTTTTTTATTCTATCTGGGAGGCCTGATAGGTGGTTTCTTGGGAAAGGAACTCAGATAAGACAAAGAGGATCTTATCTTGTGAGACTGGAAGGATCATTTCTATGTTTATTCAAAGAAACCATAAACATCAGTTCTATGGGGCAATTGGGCCGGTTTCACTTCTCTCCGATAACGAACACATTGAAGAATGTTCATCATAACTTTATTCCTAATAGTCAAAACCCCAAACACTCATCAGTAAATGAGTAAGTGAACTGTGGCCTGTGCATCTGAAGGAGAACTACACACACACAGCAGAGAACAATCTCAGCAGCGTGGTGACGCTCACGCTGGGTAAAAGAGGCCAGACACAAAAGGGGATGTACCGAAAGATTCCTTTTATATAAAGGACAAGAGTAGGCAAAACTGTTATGTGGAAATGAGAACAATGGTTACCTCCTAGGGCAGAGGAGCGTACAGACCAGGAAGGCAGAGGAGGGGCTGTCTTGAAATGCACCTGGGACTTTGTTTTCCTCAGCTCTGGTCAGATGACAGCCTGGGAGACACTGCCTTTGAATGAAGAGTTGATGACTTTCCAGCATGGGGAAGCACCAGGTCAGTCCCGAGGCAGAAGGAGCAAGGGGAGGGCCCAGGCTGGGCCTTCACTGGGGTCTCTGTGGGAAGGAATAGATGAGGGTGGAGGTGAGCTTGAGCAAGCTTCGGGTGGCCCCGTTTGCCTAATGTTGGCAGGCCCGGAGCTATGGCATGGTCCCTAGTCATCCAGTACCATGCTCTGGAGTGAGATGGGGCAGGGAGAATATTTCCTGGGTGTGTGAGTTAGATAAAGGGTGTGGTGGGGGCAGGGGCTTCTGACTGCTGGTTTGCATAGGGAGGTATGTGCTGTCTCCAGAACTAGCCAGCCCTGGGAGGGGCAGTCCCTTCCCCGCCAGCAAAGCCTCCTGCGATGCCAAAGCGCCATAGAACACAGAAACCAGAAAGCGTGGTTAATCCAGGAGCCACACGAGGACTGATGCCTTCCATATCGGTGTCCTGTATGTGCTCTGCCGTATTCTACCTCCTCTTTTTAAAATGCAAATAGAGAATCCAATCTGAAGAAATAATGCAAAGAAACTCTTTTTGTTGTTGTTTGTTTGAGACAGTCTCGCTCGGTCGCCCAGGCTCTAGTGCAATGGTGCGATCTCGGCTCACTGCAACCTCTGTCTCCTGGGTTCAAGCGATTCTTCTGCCTCAGCCTCCCGAGTACCTGGGACTACAGGCACGTGCCACCACGCCTGGCTAATTTTTGTATTTTTAGTAGAGATGGGGTTTCACCATTTTGGTCAGGCTGGTCTCAAACTCCTGACTTTGTGATCTGCCCGCCTCGCCCTCTCAAAGTGCTGGGATTACAGGCGTGAGTCACCACGTCCGACCGCAAAGGAACTCCTTAGCGCTCCTCAACCACCTCCCTGCCCCTCGCTGTCTTTCTTTCTTTTTTTTTTTTTTTTTTGAGAGGAAGTCTCGCTCTGTCGCCCAGGCTGGAGTGCAGTGGCACCATCTTGGCTCTCTGCAAGCTCCGCCTCCCAGGATCACGCCATTCTCCTGCCTCATCCTCCTGAGTAGCTGGGACTACAGGCGCCCACCACCAAGCCTGGCTAATTTTTTGTATTTTTAGTAGAGACGGGGTTTCACTGTGTTAGCCAGGATGGTCTCCATCTCCTGACCTCGTCCACCCGCCTTGGTCTCCCAAAGTGCTGGGATTACAGGCGTGAGTCACTGCGCTCGGCCTCGCTGTCTTTCTGGTATCAGCATCCGCCTCCTCCTCCCTCCCAGACTCCAGGCCCTGGGCTCCAGGCACGGTCCATCCCTGTGGCCTCAAGGCACTGGGCACATCCATGCCAGTTTTAGTCTCTGTAACTACACAGCCATGCAGCTGTGAGCTGAGAATTTAACACACTGTCCCTTTCAGTGTCTGTTTCTCCTTCACTTTCCTGTAGCAAAGCAAAAAGGAGGGAAAATGCATCCCAGGTGCCGCCAGCTGCCACTGTTTTTCTTTGTGTGGTGTGTGTGACAGAGTCTTACTTTGTTGCCCAGCCTGGAGTAAAGTGGAGTGATCCCGGCTCGCTGCAACCTCCGCCTCCTGGGTTCAAGCAATTCTCCTGCCTCAGCCTCCTGAGTAGCTGGGATTACAGGCACATGCCACTACATCTGGCTAATTTTTGTATTTTGAGTAGAGACGGGATTTCACCTTGTTGGCCAGGCTGGTGTCGAACTCCTGACCTCAAGTCATCCACCTGCCTCAGCCTCCCAAAGTGTTGAGATTACAGGTGTGAGCCACTGTGCCTGCCCTGCTGCCATGCTTTCAAGCCACTGTTAGGCTTTTCCACATCCCCCAGCATGCACCCACTCTCCCGGGATGGTTAGGGGGCTCCATCACCATTTTCTGGAAACTGCCTCTAGTCAGAGGTTGCCTGGGGCTCTCCACACAATCATGGAGACGTAGAGGACACAGCCTGATGCTAGACTGCACAGGACCCTCTTCCGCCAGATTCCCTGGACACCTCCATCCCCTCTTCTAGCAATCATGTCAGTGCACGGTAGCGCCTGTGTCCTAAGGTTCCCATGCCACAAGGCTTGAACCCTTCACCCCTGTCTCCCGAGGCCAGGATCAAGCCTGCTTGGCCCAGGGGAGGGGGCGATAAATGTCATGGTTGGAAGCATCAGGTGGGAGAGGGCTTAGTGTGGGGTCGTCAGAGTGACACTGAGAGGCTAAGACACACTGTCTGACACAGCCCAGCCAGGCGCTGCCCACAGCTGAGTTTCCAAAGGACACGTTCTGTGTCACCATATTCCAGGATTCAAATCCTTCCAGCCTGGGACAAGTTCCACGGGGTGCCATGAGGCTGCCCCAATTTGATTTTGAAATGTACAGTGAAATGCCTACCTTGGTGGTGGCCAAGGCAGGGTGGGCCCAGATGCCCCTGCTGATGGACACACAGGCACGACACCCACAGTTCAGGGAGCCCGCTCCAGCCTGCCGTGGAGCCCTGGGCCAGGTCGTGAGCCATGAGCCTGCTCGGGACAGTCCTTCCCGATCCTGGAAGGGAGCGGCCCAATTATAACGGCTCCCTCGAGGCTCTCAGTGGAGCCGAGCCCAGAGAGGAGGCCTGCACTGCCAGATGGGCAAACTCATTAGGACTGTGGCATTTTTTATGCAAACGAAGGCAAATACATCCATGGGAGAAATGTAAACAGCAGACACGCACAAGAGCACGGACTTCACCGGGTTTCAAGAGGAGAGGGAGCTGGGACAGGAGGCCAGGAGAGATCCCCACCCCCAGCACTGCCCTGCAGTGGCCTAGCCCAGGCCTTCTGGATCTGCCTACCTGGGATGCCCAAGAGGGAAACTGAGGCCCCACGAGCCCTGCACGTGGGCGGAGCCTGGCCTGACCTGTAGCTCCTTGGGAGGCTGAGGGAGAAGCATTGCTTGAGGCCAGGAGTTTGAGACCAGCCTGGACAACACAGTTAAACCCCATCTGTACAAAACACTAAAAAATTAACCAGGCATGGTGGCGCATGCCTGTGGTCCCAGCTATTCAGGAAGCTGAGATGGGAGGATCACTTGAGCCCATGACTTAGAGGTTATGGTGAGCTGTGATCGTGCCACTGCACTCTAGCCTGGGCAACAGGGTAAGATCCTGTCTTTTAAAATAAATAACATACAATAATATAAAATAAATAAAAATTATAATAAAAATGACTGTAGCGAGAACTCTTAAGGAGAGTCAAGAAGATATTGCAAAGAAACAATATGAAAAAACCAATCTCTTTAAGGGTTCTTCTCATTACAGTTTTTTTTTTCTGATTCTGTCTTGTTTCTTCACTGGCCCCCCCCGCTCTGATGCTTAGCTTGGGTCCCTGCCGCTCAAGCTACTATGTCCTTCCCATCAGTGCTGCTCAGTGTAGTCTTGGACCCATGGCATTCTGGCATCCCCTGGGTGCCTGTTGGAAATGCAGATTCTTAGGCCCTGCCCCAGACCTCCTGACTCAAATCTCTGAGGTGGAGCCCAGGACTGCATATGTTCCAGCTCCCCAGGGGATTCTGTTGAGACCCGGCCTCTATTCTCGGTGGCCTGGCTTTTCCTGCTTCTGTTGGGGGTGAGGCCCCTCCAGACTGAGCTGGTCAGGATCTAGGCTCTTGGCAGCCTGCATGAGGCAGGAGGCAAGTCCCTCTCTCGGGGAAGGCAGTGGCAGGTAAGCAATGGCAGGTGAGTCGGCCAACAAGGCCCTTGCCACTGAGCTGTCCTATGGAGAAGCCCCGTGCCTTTTTCTCAGGGCGCTCTGCGGGTGTGCCTGGGGTCGGACTGAGCCCCAGCAATCTCCCTGCATGTCAGTTACTGCTCTTACTTTCACTGTGGTCCCCGTGGGCTTTTTCAAGGCTCTGTCCTGGCCCAGGGAAAGGTGGACCATGAGACCTCACAGCCAGAAAGAAGCAGCAGCCAACTGAGTTTCCGAATGGATTTGAAGAGCTCACAGCAGAGGAGATACCAGTTTGAAAATCAAGATGTGTTTGATTTGCTTTGGCCATCAAGAGACACATCCTGAAGGACTCTGTCTCAACATTTTTCTACATAAAAAAAGAGTGGGGAAGAATGCAGGTTGGTGGGAGCTGGGAGATAAGGTCCACAGGCCAGGAGAGGGCCCCCAGGCTGGGTCGTGTGAGGCAGTGTCCATCTGAGAAGGAAAGTCTGCTGGCTGCAGGGTCCCAGCACCCAGGAGCTAGAGGAGAGGGGGTGGGAGGGAGAGCAGCTACGTGTCCCTGGGTTTCTTGAGCGAGGACTGATAAACCCCAGGGGCACGTGTAGCTGCCACAAAAGCATGCACCTCGAGTGCTTCCCCCTCCTAGCTGGCGGGAGAGGAAGGGACCAGGATGGAGGCGAGCTTGGCAAAGTCTTTCTGGAATCAGCATCCTCCTCCTCCTCCTTCCCAGACTCCGGGCCCCAGGCTCCAAGCACAGTCCATCCCTGCGGAGGACTTCCGTGGATGCTGGTGGGCACAGATGCCAGCCCATCATGTGCTACTCAGGCAGATGCTAGGGAGCCAGGGGCCAGTCATCGTTCTCCCTGATGCCAGGGCACCACTCTGAGGAAAGGGAGAGAAGGACAGGTTGGTCTAAATCCACCTGCAGGATCTGAGTGACCGTACATGGGGCTGGGGGCTGAAATTTTCTGAGAGGGACTGGATTACATTTTCAGAAATTGGAATCAGAAATTAAAACTGTGTTATGAAAAATAATGAGTTACATTTTGCACATGTGATGTTTGAGCCGGATAATTTGTGTTTGCCGCCTTTATACTTGAATGTGAAAGCACCTTGCACAGCACTTGGCATAAAGTCAGTGCCCAGTGATTACTAGTGAATGCCTTCCTAACTGTGTACATGGCCTGAATGCACACGAACACACGATGGAAACAGTCAGGGAGTGGAGAGGGTGTCCTGCTGATTACTAGTGAATGCCTTCCTAACTGTGCGTGGTCTGAATGCACACAAACACAAGATGGAAACAGTCAGGGAGCGGAGATGGTGCCCCGCTGATGCTGTCCTATTATTTTTATTCAGAAGTCTGTTTGCCTTTTTACACATTTTTGATCCTACCATATAAACGATTTTTATAACATTCATGTTATGTTACATTCACATTTATTGCTAATTTTTATAACATTAGTACAAGATGATTGAATTCCTCCTTGGTCAGAAGACCCACGTCTGAATCCTGGATCCACTACTTGTTAGTTGAAGCAAGCAACTGTGCCTCTCAGTCTGTGAAAAGGAGGCAATGCCTAGCTCAGGAGGCTGACAGGATGAAGTCGGAGAGGAATGAATGGAAGTCTCTTGGGACTCAGGCCTGCCTGATACTTTCTGGGCAGCTTAAAATATGTTTTCTGAATGTTAAGGGAAGCACAGAGCAGGCATGCATGCAGATGGGGGTGAAATATTACTTCCATTCTTCCATGTGTGAGTCCTAAACACACACCACCTCCCCCACACACAAACAGACCTACAACACATGCCACACATAACACAGGCACAGGCACACGCACACGCACCGCAGCAACACACACTGCACGCACACACAACACAGACTGTAACACATACACACGTATACCACCTACCACACTACACAAGGCCCCACATTCACATGATACACATGTACCACATGCACATATATGACCCGCATCACCAACAAACACACGTGCATCATGTGTACACATACACATCATAGGTACACATCACATGCACACATGGCCCACAGGAACACACACATATGCCACATACTGCATGCATGCACATCCACACCACACGCAATACAGGCACATACAAGCCATATGTAGACACTGCGTGCACACACATTTACACCACACTACATGCACACACCATATTCACACATACTTGCACACACACCACTGATACACATACTTCCACACATGTCCGCAGCCTGCATGCACAAACCATATTATGCACACACACCCCATATACTATTAGGTTGGTGCAAAAGTAATCGCAGCTTTTGCCATTACTTTCAATAGCAAAAACTGCGATTACTTTTTTTTTTTGAGACACAGTCTTACTCTGTCGCCCAGGCTGGAGTGCAATGGGGTGATCTCAGCTCACCGCAGCCTCTGCCTCTGGGGTTCAAGTGATTCTCCTGCCTCAGCCTCCCCAGTAGCTGGGATTACAGGTGTGCGCCACCACTCCTGGCTAATTTTTGTATTTTTAGTAGAGACGGGGTTTCACCATGTTGGCCAGGCTGGTCTTGAACTCCTGACCTCAGGTGATCTGCACACCTCGGCTTCCCAAAGTGCTGGGATTACAGGCGTGAGCCACCATGCCCAGACAAAAACCGTGATTACTTTTGCACCAACCTGATACGTGTGCACAGACAAGTTCGGTAAGCAGGCATTGCAATAATTAAAGATGACACGAGGTGGCACCATGACACTTTTACTCAGAAATTTTATTTGCCTATTTTTATACAGTTGTGATTATACTCTATATTAGTAGTTCTCAAAGTGTAGCCAAAACTATTTTCATAATAATGGTAAGATGTGATTTGCCTTTTTTCATTCTTATTCTCCCATGAGTATACAGTGGAATTTTCCAGAGATGCTGTGATGTGTGACATTGTAACAGATTGAAGGCAAAAGCAGATCTGAGAATCAGCTCAGACATCTACCTAGAGATTTGCCAGCGGCAATGCAACTCACTAATTTTGCAGAAGATATTGTTGCTTTCCATACAAAATTATTTATTGTTAACATACAACAATGGGTTTGTTGTTTTTAATTTAAAAAATTGAGCAATTTGGATTCTTTTTAAAGCTTATTTTTAATTGAAAATGAAATTATTTAACGTGTACAACATGATGTTTTGAAATATGTAGACACTGTGGAATCATTACTATTTTAAAATAAGTAAATATTTCAAAACCTCCTCAAATTTAATCTGTATTACAGTAAAATTGATAGATGCAATTCACGTAAAGTTCCTTAGGGTCCACAGGAGATTTTCAGAGTATAAAGCTATCCTGAGAAAGAATATTTAACAATCACTCTTCTATATGTAATCACATGTCCACAAATACTTTTGAGGTTAATCATTTATTTTAAATTTATAAGGAACCAACAAGAACAAAGAAAAGGAAAACACTTGTAATCCTATTGCATGGGGACAAGAGACAATCACGACTGACATTTGCCAGGTTTTCTCCTAGTTGTGTTTCAGAGCATCTGTTTCCAGGTTAGTGTGTTCTGAATACAGGCTCTGTGTCCTACGCTCTGAATATGAGCCCCGCGTCCTAGCCTCTGGGTATAAGCCTTGTGTCCTAGGTTCTGGGTATAAGCCCCGGGTCCTAGGTTCTGCATATAAACCTTGTGTCCTAGGCTCTGGGTATAAGCCTTGCTTCCTAGGCCCTGGGTATAAGCCTAGGGTCCTAGACTCTGGGTATAAGCCCCGGGTTCTAGGCTCTGGGTGTAAGCCCCGCCTCCTAGGCTCTAGGTGTAAGGCCTGGGTCCTAGGCTCTGGGTAGAAGCCCCGGGTCCTAGGCTCTGGATACAAGCCTTGTGTCCTAGGCTCTGGGTATAAACCTTCTGTCCTAGGTTCTGGGTATAAGCCTTGTGTCCTATTCTCTGGTTCTCAGCCCCTTGTCCTAGGCTCTGGGTATAAATCTTGTGTCCTAGACCTTGGGTTAAACCCCATGTCCTAGGCTCCGGGTATAAGCCCTGTGTCCTTTCTGCATATAAGCCTTGTGTTTCCTAGGCTCTGGGTATAAGCCCCATGTCCTAGGCTTTGAGTATAAGCCCCATGTCCTAGGCTCTGGGTATAAACCTTGTGTCCTAGGCTCTGAGTATAAGCCCCACGTCCTTTCTGGGTATAAGCCTTGTGTCCTAGGCTCTGGGTATAAGCCCCATGTCCTAATCCCTGGGTATAAGCCCCGGGTTCTAGGCCCTGAATATAAGTTCTGTGTCCTTTCTGGTTATAAGCCTTGTGTCCTAGTCTCTGGGTATAAGCCCCATGTCCTAGGCCCTGGTTATAAGCCCCGAGTTCCAGGCCCTGGGTGTAAGTTCTGTGTTCTTTCTAGGTATTAGCCTTGTGTCCTAGGCCCTGGGCATAAACCTGTGTCCTAGGCCCTGGGTATATGCCCCAGGTTTTAGGCCGTGGGTATAAGCCCCAAGTCCTAGGCTCTGGATAGAAGCCCTGGGTTCTTGGTCCTGGGTATGAGCCCCATATCCTAGGTCACCAACCAGATTGAGAGCCCAGTCAAAGTTCTTTCTCATGGTGTGTCTAGGACGTCAGAAAACCTAGAGATGTGGCCGGACTCTGAGCCCCCTGAAAAGGGTTCCCAGACCTTTTGTGAGAGGGAGGCTTTGTCTGCCCAGAGCCCACCTAGTCTTGGAGTCTTGGAAGGCTGCCCGGCACCTCAGGTAGGCCTGTTTGCACCTCAGCCTCACCCTGGTCTGGGTATCCACTCCATACAGACATGTTTTTAAAAATTGAGGAATAGCTTTGTGCAGTGGCAGTATCATAGCCAATGAGGTTTATCCGAGGCGTGATTATTGCTAATTGAAAAATTGAGGAATAGTTTAGTAAAACACACAGATCTTAAATATATAATTCAATGGCTTTTTACAAATATCTATCTGTAGCCAACACCCCAATCAAGGCAGAAAACATTGCCACCATTGTAGAAAATTCCCCCCAATCCCTTTACAGTCTACTCAACTTCCCTTGTCCCCTAATCCCCAAGCAGCCACTATTCTGATTTGCATTCCAGAAAAGTAGTTTTTCTGGATTTTTTTTTAACTGACTTTCGCTCTTGTCGCCCAGGCTCGAGTGCAGTGGCGCAATCCTGACTCACTGCAACTTCCACCTCCTAGGTTCAATCAATTCTCCTGCCTCAGCCTCCCAAGTAGCTGGGATTAGAGGCGTGCACCACCACGCCTGACTAATTTTTGTATTTTTAGTAGAGACGGGGTTTCACCATGTTGACCAGGCTGGTCTTGAACTTCTGACCTCGGGTAATCCGCCCACCTCTGCCTCCCAAAGTGCTGGGATTACAGGTGTGAGCCACCGTGCCCAGCCTGGTTTTGAATTTAATAAATCTGTATGACATCCTTTGTATGGCTCCTTCAGTTCAAAACACTGTGTTTTTGTTGTTGTTGTTGTAGAGATGGAGTCTTGATCCATTGCCCAGCCTGCTTTCAAACTCCTGGGCTCAAGCAATCCTCTGCTCTTGGCCTCCCAAGTGTTGGGACTGCAGGTGTGAGTCATCGCACCAGCCAGAGTCCAATCGTGTCTCTAGTGAGAGCAGCCACTTTAATATAAAGGCTCAGGAATTCCTCCTCAAGTTTGCTCCAGTGGCACTTGCCCTCTGAGTATCAGTTAGCTATTGTCACACTTATGCTGTGTAACAAACCATCCCCACATCTCAGTGGCAAACAGTAATAATCATTTATTTCTTACTCATGAGTTTGTGGGTTGGCTGGGCAGCTCTGCTCCACATGCCTCTCATCCTCTTCCTGGGACCAGCAGGGGCAGGTTCGTCTCTGGCTGATGGCAGGGCCCTGAGAGACGGCACATCTAACCCCACAAACACATTTCCAGTTTTGCTGTGTCATGCCTGCTGGCATCCCTTTGGCCAAGCCCAAAGTCAAGGGGTGGGAAAGGGAGGCTATGGCGAGGGTGTGAGTGTGGGTGAAAAACTGGGGCGGGTCATTCAATCTATGTTACCAGTTTCCTGACAATGTAAGTTAAGAGAAAGAGCTTTGTGGCTGACGCCTGTAATTCCAGCACTTTGGGAGGCCGAGGTGGGCAGATCACAAGGTCAGGAGATGGAGACCATCCTGGCTAACACGGTGAAGCCCTGTCTCTACTAAAAATACAAAAAATTAGCCAGGCGTGGTGGCGGGCACCTGTAGACCCAGCTACTCGGGAGGCTGAGGCAGGAGAATGGCGTGAACCCGGGAGGCGGAGCTTGCAGTGAGCTGAGATCATGCCACTACACTCCAGCCTGGGCGACAGAGCGAGATTCTGTCTCAAAAAAAAAAAAAAAGGTAAAACTGGTTTGGTTTGCTAGTCCAATTATTTAGTGAATCAGTCCAGTTTATTAGAAATCCCAATGAGGTTGTTTTCAGAAGTGAGACAGGTCTGACCGGATCATTTGCAGAAAGCTCTGTTCTTGCTTTGGGACAGTCCTGCCCGCACTGGGAATGTGAATTTAATCGCCGTTCTCTCGCCGCTGCTCCTGCCCGCCTGGGACCAATTCCCTACCACACTGAGCTCATTGGAGACTTTAGTTTCATATTTTTAAGACCAGTTTAGTGCATCATCTCTGTCTTTATTTCTCCCTCCAGCACTTACTGTAGTTGATCTCTTTTATTTTCTTAGATTCTTTGGGGGGAGTTTATAGGTGGGATGAACCCATATATGCATGAAAATGTCTTTATTTTGCACCCCCAATTTAAGGCTAGATTGGCTGGGTCTTGGATCCTAGATTACGAATAGTTTTTTCTTTGGAATGTTAGAGAAATTGCTCTACTATCTTTTAGGATTCGGGATTGATGATAAGTCTTGATGTCAAGCTGACTTTCATTCTATTGTGACAACCTATTCTCTCGGTCAGAAAACTATGAGGATTTTCCTTTTTTCCTTGGTATTCCAAAATTTTGCTGCAATGTGCCTAGATTTCTAAAATTCCACTTTACTTTTTTTTTTTTTTTGAGATGGAGTCTTGCTTTGTCATCCAAGCTAGAGTGCAGTGGGGTGATCTCAGATCACTGCAACCTCCGCCTCCTGGCTTCAAGTGATTCTCCTGCCTCAGCCTCCCAAGTAGCTGGGATTACAGGTGCGCCACCATGCCAGGCTAATTCTTGTATTTTTAGTAGATAAGGGGTTTTGCCATGTTGGCCAGGCTGGTCTTGAACTCCTAGCCTCAAGTGACTGTCTCAGCCTCCCGCTTTATTTAATTAATTTATTTTGAGACGGAGTCTCTCTCTGTTGCCCAGGCTGGAGTGCAGTGGTGCGATCTCGGCTCACTGCAAGCTCTGCCTCCTGGGTTCATGCCATTCTCTTGCCTCAGCCTCCCGAGTAGCTGGGGCTACAGGCGCCCGCCACCATGCCCGGCTAATTTTTTTTGTATTGTTTTAGTAAACACAGGGTTTCACTGTGTTAGCCAGGATGATCTTGATCTCCTGACCTCATGATCCACCCACCTCGGCCTCCCAAAGTGCTGGGATTACAGGCGTGAGCCACCACACCTGGCCATGAGTTCCCTGTCCTTCTCAGGGACAGGGAGTCAGTGATTCCTGGGGAGACTGTCTTTCTTCTCTGGACCAAGTATTCGCACTTTCTATATCAACTGGGGGCAAATGCTGTGCGATGCTGGTGACCTTGCTGATTTATTCCCAGAACATGATGCATTTCCTTCCCCTTTCTTTCCCTTTTGTGCTACTTCTAATTAAGGAAGATATTTCTGTCATTTATGGGATTTTGGTTCGGAGGGAGGTCAATCAGGGGTGCTTGTTCCTCCATCTGGCCCTGATCTGCGTTTTTAGCAAAACAACTGAGTTTGGAAGTTTGAAACTAATGACATTAGGGCTGGGAAATTTCTTAATGTAAATATATTTTAGCAGAGTTAATGAAAACTTGGAGTGCTTACAAAGTTGGATATCTTACATGTGTGACAAATTATATATAAACCAGATTTCATTTCCTGTTTTTTTTTTTTATTTTTTCTTCTTTTTAATCAGCAAAGGAAAAATGGCAAGAAAACCAAGTCTCTTATCTTATAACTACACATTTTAGGGGAGAATGCATATTGAAACATTTTCAACATTTGCTGTTAAAATGAATACAATTTTACAAAAAGAACCCCCCCACACACACACAAAGCATAAAGTTCTAGGCGATGATGAGCCCCTCATTCAGAAATGGTCCAGGCTTTGCCTCCGGGAGCCCGTTGGCCCCAGCCTGCTGCTGTTGGCAACCGCAGTGCCGTTTCCCTCACACATCTCTCATCACTATGGTGATTCTTGTTAAATAAAGTGAGCAGTCCCGATCATGTGCACTAGTGCCTTCTTCTGCGTTTAATCTGTGGCTGTCAGTTTCCACAACCCATCTATTCAATAAAGATTTGTTGATTATCTACTATGTGCTTGGGCCCAGTGACGCAAAGATGAATAGGACAAGATGCTTGCCCTTGAGGAAGCTTCATGTAGGGGAGAAGAGGCAGAACAGTTAGATTCCATGGATCCTCTGGCATTTGGAGTCCAACTTTACATGTTTTTGTGAAGTGACTGAATTTAACAATGTCTTATGCTTGTATAATTTTTCAAAAAATATGTTTAACTTTCAAATGGGAGATGCATGACATAGTTCAAACCATCAAAATGATATGAAAAGATATCCCCACCTGCTCATTCTCCTTCCCCCACCTCCCCCTCTAGGCAACCTTTTTCTTTGAGACAGTCTTGCTCTGTTGCCCAGGTTGGAGTGCAGTGGAGCGATCTTGGCTCACTGCAAGCTCCGCCTCCCGGGTTCACGCCATTCTCCTGCCTCAGCCTCCCGAGTAGCTGGGACTACAGGCACCCCCCACCACGCCCAGCTAATTTTTTGTATTTTTAGTAGAGACGGGGTTTCACCATGTTAGCCAAGATGGTCTCAATCTCCTGACCTTGTGATCCGCTCATCTCGGCCTCCCAAAGTGCTGGGATTACAGGCGTGAGCCACCACACCTGGCCATATATATATATATATGGAGTGTCGCTCTGTCACCCAGGCTGAAGTGCAATGGTGTGATCTTGGCTCACTGCAACCTCTGCCTCCCGGTTTAAGCAATTCTTCTGCCTCAGCCTCCTGAGTAGGTGGGATTACAGGCATGCGCCACCACGCCTGGCTAATTTTTGTATTTTTAGTAGAGACGGGGTTTCACCATGTTGGCCAGGCTGGTCTTGAACTCCTGACCTCAGGTGATCTGGCCGCCTTGGCCTCCCAAAGTGCTGGGATTACAGGCGTGAGCCACCGCGCCCGGCCGAGTCAGAATATTTCTAACCCTTTCTTATTTCCCAGTACCAACAAATATTTGCACCCTTTTTTTCAAAGTACTGTATTTGTTTTTGGGTACTATTAAAGTTTCTATTCGCAAAAGGAAAGCCACCCGTCAGTGGACAATGTGGTACACTTGCTGTGTGGTGTTCAGATGAGAACGCACTGAGGGAACTAAGTGTCGCAGGGGTGATGTGGAGGGCAGGCTGGCTGGGGTCCACATTCAAGCTGTCGAGCACCCGGAGGGAAGATCAGGGCCAGACTGTGAAGAACGTGAGCTGCCATGCACTCAGAGCTCTGGGTTTTTCCTGCAAGCAATGGGCAGCCACAGAGGGTTTCACAAAGGAGGAAGGAGGAGGCCAGAACTCCGTTAAGGCAGATGTGAATTCCAGTGGCTGTGAAGGATGGGGAAGAGACTGCAGTGATTCTGTAACTTTTAATTGCTCCATTTACCTGCTATGGTAGCACATGAATGCTACCACTCCTTACATGACATGGAGGGGCCTGGGGAGAAACCCTGGGGACGAGGAATCTCTCTACAATGCTTTCCGACTGCAAAGGTTGAGGGCCACTTTCCCACTGGCTTCCTCAAGAGCGGTCCTTGTCATCGCCATGCAGTGCATGTTGATTCAAACACTATGTGAGTCACTTCAGGCTCACAGAGCAGCTGGTGCCTCAGAACCAGGGCTCCGTATCCTCGAATCGAAGCGTGAGATTGTTTATCCCTTTCAAGGGAGCAAACCATTAGTGGGGCAATACCTTGTTCCAGACACGGTGAAGAGGGGGCGGCAGGGCTGAGAAGAGAAGCCCAGCTTCCCGAGGCTCTGCTCAGCTGCCTTCTGCCCACCCAGTGGCCCTGCCAGCTGTGTTCGTCTGGCTCCTCAAGCAGCGATGCTGTGTGCGGTTTCCATGGCAGTGGGCCCCGGAGGGCAGCCGGGGACACAGCCAGGTGGCTCGCAGCTCACCTGACTGGCTGTTGGCAGGAGGCAGGCGGCCTCCTTCTGCTCCTCTGTTCCTGGAGCTTTCAGAATGTCTTCAGTTACTCCCTTTAGGAGTCTGATCTCTGTGTGAGAGAAACTTAAAGTTCTGGGCTTATAAAGGGTACACTTTATCTCCGAGCGATTGCCTGGCAGTCATGCAGAATGCCAGGGCGGAAAAGTACCGGGAAAGCGCACATCTCTGCAAGGGAGGCTGGAACTCAGGGGCCCAGCTTCCCACGGTGGGCAGCAAGAGCACGCTTTGCACAGAGGAAAGACAGGCTCCGCCTGCAAGGGCCACAGGATGACCTTCACAGGGCCATTGGCACCCGGCCCTTGGGGCTCAGGGTCTGGCATCTTTGATTCATGAACTCAAGAAAACTGTGTGGGTCAGAGTTGCCTCCTGCAGCACACAACTGCTGGCTTACTCACTGTCTTCGCTCCAGGGAGGACTCATCACAGGGTTATTAGGAATCCAGAATCTAGTGGGGGAAACAAAAGCTCTCAAACAGAGAAGAAGTCAAAGTCAGGTCCAAGTTCACGTTGAGCCTTTTCAGCAAGTGCTTCCTGCTCCAAGTTGTAGGCTGTGGCTGCTGAGCTCCCAGCCTGGGGTACTGGGCAAGCCAGGCATGGGGCTCGGCCCTCAGGGTGGGTTCTGGCAGACCACAGGCTTTATGCGAGGAGCTAACACTTAAAAGAATTGCTTGACAGGGATGGAGAGAAAGGCCTGGGGCCAAGGACTCAGGCTCTGTCTCCAGAAATGAAGATGTTCCAGCAGTTTCCATCCAATAGAGACATGAATGTTGGGTCCGCTGGAACACGAGACAGAGCAAAGCTCTTCCTATCTGCTTAGGACCCTAAAGAAATGGCCCTGGGGCCACCTGTTCTTCTAGACTTGTTGAAGGATCAACAGCGGAGTGAAACATATTTTAGTATCAAGCACCACCGGGAAACAAAAAATAAAACTCACTGGGCCGGGCGCGGGGTCTCACGCCTGTAATCCCAGCACTGTGGGAGGCTGAGGCGGGCGGATCACGAGGTCAGGAGATCAAGACCAGCCTGGCTAACAGGGTGAAACCCCGTCTCTACTAAAAATACAAAAAATTAGCTGGGCGTGGTGGCGGGAGCCTGTAGTCCCAGCTACTCGGGAGGCAGAGGCAGGAGAATGGCGTGAACCTGGGAGGTGGGGCTTGCAGTGAGCGGTGATCACGCCACTGCACTCCAGCCTGAGTGACAGAGCGAGACTCCATCTCAAAAAAATAAAAAAAATAAAAATAAATAAAACTCACTTGAAGACCACACACGAGACAAAAGCAGATTTCGTTTTCTTAAGGGGCAACATCTTTTTTGCGCTAATCACCTACCATTAAATCATGAACAAAGACAGTGAAATTCCTGTTGGTAACCCCCAAACTAATTAAGTACATTTCTTGGGTTCTGTATTATGAGCAGTTAGAGGAGACGGAGAGGGAGGGGTAAGTCCATTCAATCGCACTGCAGGAAAACAGTTTTGAAGTACTTACTAGGTTTTAGGTTCCAAAGTAGGAACTGAGAGACCTAGCCCATGTCCCCAGTGGCTGGGGTTTGCTGGGCATTCAGGAAAGCAAGCGGCCAGCCAGTAGGTAGATGGAGGCCCAATGCCCTGGTCCTGGGGCAGCGGCTGGAATGAGAGGGCCGGCCGGCATGGGGGTGTGGACTCCATGTTGCCCACAGAAGAGGCCTTTAAACAGGACAGATGGGATTCTCAGAGACCACCCTGGCTGGTGGCTGGGGCAGGGGAGATGAGACTGTCATGGAGACAGAGAATCTAGTGAGACGTCTGCAGTGGAAAGCCAGAGGGCAAACAGTGGAGGTGTGAGTGGAGGGTGGGTGCGAATTCTCAAAACCCCTGGGCTGGCCCAATGCCTGGGTATAGGAGGAGAGAGAGGGAGGAGCCTGGCCAGACTCCGCAGCTTCTGGCCTGGGCAGCAGCAAGGAAGACCATGCCATTCACCAGGATGAGGACTGGGAGGGCGCCTCGGGGGGTGTGATGGTGTAGGATAGTGGGAAAGAGAATGATGAGTTTGAATTTAATTGATTTTATTAGGTAGTGTATTGGTCAGGGCTCTACCACAGAAACAGAAGCAGTATGTATATCCATATATACAGAGAGAGAGAGATGCATTGCAAGGAACTGGCTTCCCCAAAGGTGGGGCTGTCAGGGCAAGTCAGGAATCCGTAGGCCAGGGCACTGGAAGGGCAGGCGGGAACTCTCTGGCAGGCGCCGACGCTGCAGTCCAGACAGGGTTTCTCCTTCCTCAGGGAAGCCTCAGTTCTGCTCAAGGCCTTTCATCCTATTGGATGAGGCTGACCCAGGTTACCAAGGATAATCTCCTTTTCTTAAAATTGGCTGACTGCAGACGTGATTTGCATCTACAAAATGCCTTACAGAACACCTAGGCTAGTGTTGAGTTTGTTAGAATCAATTAAAATGAAGACCAGGTCTGAAGAATCCTTGAGCAGACAAAGCCAGTTAGGCCTATATGCGACCTTCACCTTGTTTGATTTGCAAACATAAGTGAAACTTAACTTGAGCTATTTCTTATAAATGTCTATGTTAAAGAGAAACAGAACTTAAGCTCAACTAGTCAGAATCAGCCAAAAAACTTCTCATTATATAACTAAGGACTTTCCAGTGGGATAGACCAAATAAGGCAACTTATAATTATAACCAATTAAATATTTTCTCAGCATCTCTTCCACATTTACCCTAAAACATCTGTGCCTCTGCGTCCTCAGTGCAACCCTCCAACCACCTCTGGTTTGGAGCTGCCTGATTCGTGAATCACTCTTTGCTCAAATAAACTCTTTAACATTTTATTGTCTTGGTTTACTTTTTTAACAGATTAAATAACCGAGTACTATTGTCTAGCCAAGTTGACACCTAAAGCTGACCATCGTGGCCAGGTGCCGTGGCTCACATCTGTAATCCCAGCACTCTGGGAGGCTGAGGTGAGAGGATCACTTGAGCCCAGGAGTTCAAGACCAGCCTGGGGAACACGGCAAAACCCCGTCCCTACAAAGCATGATTAGCTGCATGTGGCGGTGCATACCTGTAGTCACAGCTACTTGGGAGGCTGGAGTAGGAGGATTGCTTGAGCCCAGAGCAAGGCCTCCCCCCCCCCCCTTTTTTTTTTTTTTTTGAGATGGAGTCTCGCTCTGTTGCCCAGGCTGGAGTGCAGTGGCACAATCTTGGCTCACTGCAACCTCCGCCTCCTGGGTTCATGCCATTCTCCTGCCTCAGGCTTCTGAGCAGCTGGGACTACAGGTGCCCACCACCACGCCCGCCTAATTTTTTTGTATTTTTAGTAGAGACGGGGTTTCACCATGTTAGCCAGGATGGTCTCGATCTCCTGACCTTGTGATCTGCCCGCCTCGGCCTCCCAAAGTGCTGGGATTACGGGCGTGAGCCACCGTGCCCAGCCAGCCCTGTCTTAAAAAAAAAAAAAAAAGGACAAAAACACAAAACCAAGTAATTATAATCTGTTGCCCAGGATGAAGTGCAGTGGCGTGATCATAGCCCGCTGCAATCTCAAACTGGGGAGAACTAGCAGGAGTTTGAGATGGGAGGAAAACACTTATAATCACCCTCTACAACGTGTATATATCACTTTATGCTCCTCACAGCTCTCCCTAAAGGAAACCACGGTGAAAGAGTTTCTGTGTCTCCATCCACACATGGGAGGGGGATTTGGACAGGAAACAGAAACGGGGGGTCCTTAGCAACTGGGTAAGATGGGAAGCCATGGGACCCAGGGAGGGTGTGAAAGTCACGAGACACAGAGGAGAAGGGCAGAACTCTGGGGACACCGTGAGTAGGCGACAGGGTGGAAGGGAAACCAGGAGTGGGGGCACATGGAAGCCTCAGTCAATAGAATCCCAACGAGCTGGTGCACGCTGAGTCCAGAGCAGGTGGCCAGGCAGCCCCCCTGGCTGCACGGCAGAGGGACAGGGAGCAGGGGTGCCAGGGTGGATGATGTTCTTCACACCCAGTTCTGCAGGAAGAAACACCCCACCCTGCAGTCAAGGCTGGGGGCCTTGCTAAGAGCAGGTCAAGGGTATGCTGAAGAAGAAGGAATCAAAGCTTCTATGTTGTGCTGCTGACAGCAGGGGGCAAGGGTGGTTGACACTTTGTTTAAGGTTCACCATCATGAGTTTCTGGTTGAGCAAAGGTTTTCCTGGAGCCTTATTTGGGATTGTGCATAAGAATTTGAGGATGAGGGGTTGACACCATGTAAGGAGGGAGGAGGAGACCCAGCCTATGGCAAGAGGTGGCATGAGGAGTAAAGACGATCAGTGAGATCATCTCGCATAGGGTGGTGGTTCAGGGGCTTGGCAGACGTGACCCACTCCTCAGTTTTACACTGTGCCCTGTTGTGTACAATGGTGGACCCAACCCTATGCCCCCTACTTCTCCAAAAGCTGGAGGGACAGTCTGTATAGCATGACAAAAAAAATGTCTACCAAGTGCATGTGAAGGCCTTGGCCACTGTGCTGGGCCCCTGCCAGTTGTGGCGACCCTTACAGGTGCCCTAACTCCTCCCTGGAGCAGGATCTTTCCAGGCCCCACATCAAATGAAGGCCCAGGGCACTTGCAGATATGGTGGTTACTGGCTTAGCCCATCAATCTCTCAGGGGGATTCGAATGGGAAGGAGTACTTCCCTCTAACACGCAGCCCATGTCCTGGACCTGGAGTTGCCTGTTTCCAGTCATCTTCTGAGGCCCAGAGGAACAAGTGCCATGACTTATGTATCTCTTTATGGAGACAGATCTCCTGTCTGCCATCTTTTCTTTCCCAGGCCTTCTCTCTTGATACCCTTGGCTGTTCTGATAAGCTTTGGCCTTTCACTTCCTTAGGCATACTAATCACAAAGTCCCTCTGTTTTATGGTAAAGATTTTTTTTTTTCCCTAGAGTTCATGGGATGAAGCTTCTAAAGCTCTTGGAATTCTCCAAGTGACAAGCATGTGTTTGTTATTCATGGTGACCCTTGGACCACATCTGAGTTTATGCTATCAAGACACAGGATGGGCCAGGCGTGGTAGCTCACACCTGTAATCCCAGCACTTTGGGAGGCCGAGGCAGGAGGATTGCTTGAGGCCAGGAGTCTGAAACCAGCCTGGACAACATAGATCTCATCTCAAGCAAAGCAAAACAAAACAAAACAAAACAAAACAAACCACCACCCAACACCCAGGATTCTCCTGCTAATAGCTGGTCTGGGATCAAAGAACTTACCCAAATATTAGTAACTTAATAGCTATAACTTCAAATTCATACAAAATACTGTAAGAAAAACCCTGAAAAAGAGAATTTCTCTGCAGACGAAGAAAATATGTCAGAAAAGTGTTGCCAAAGGCGGAGGAAAATTGCACTCCAAACTTCCAACATATATTAAGAAAAAAAACCTCAATGAAATAGTTGCAACTATAAAGACCACAAAGCAGAAATGCAAGAACTTACGATAGAAATAGCCAGACAAGAGGAAGAGATGACCAGATAGCAGGTGGACATTATGGACTGGTAGAATTAGAAAAAAAATGAGAAGAAAAGGCCAACTTATTTCAGAACGAACATGAAGTTAAAAGGAGTTTAAGAGAGATAGAGTTGAAAGTATGCTAAGGCAAATAGATGACAGAAATGAGGAAAAAGCATGAACTAGAAGTAAAGGGATGAAGCAGGTTAGAAATACCAGGAAAAGTGGTAAAAGCCTTTGAAATGGACCAGAAGAATGATTAGGTGTCTTCAGTGGAAAACTGCTTTGGATCACAGTGTAAAATGAAGCACTCTCTTCTGGGCCACCCACTTTTGGGTTTGTGCTTTTCATTGTCTTTGTGCTGTTTTGTAATTTTGTAAACTGTAGATAAGCAACAGCAATGCAAAGGATTTTTATCTGTAGATGTGCAAATTAATTCTTTCTGGTAGAAAGAACACTTGATTCCCCATCGTGGCAGGCAGAGTAATGGACCCCCAAAGATATCCACAGTTTGAGTATGTTACTTTACGCGGCAAAACAGACTCTGCATATGTAAATTAGGTAAAGATCTTGAGGTGAGGAGATTACCCTGAATTATCTCGGAGGGCCCGGTGTAATCACAAGGCTCCTTCTAGGAGGAAGGCAGGAGGGCTGGGGTTAGGGCAGGAGATGTGGCTTTGGAAGCAGAGGGTGCAGTGAGGCCTGGCCATGAGCCAAGGGATGAGGGCAGCCTCTAGAAGTGGGAAAGGCAAGAAAACAGGCTCTCTCTCTTTTTTTTTTTTTGAGGCAGAGTCTCGCTCTGTTGCCCAGGCTGGAGTGCAGCGGTGCAATCTCGGCTCACTGCAAGCTCCGCCTCCTGGCTTCAGGCCATTCTCCTGCCTCAGCCTCCAGAGTAGCTGGGACTACAGGCGCCCGCCACCACGCCCGGATAATTTTTTGTATTTTTTTTAGTAGAGACGGGGTTTCACCGTGTTAGCCAGGATGGTCTCAATCTCCTGACCTCGTGATCTGCCTGCCTCGGCCTCCCAAAGTGCTGGGATTACAGGCGTAAGCCACTGCGCCCGGCCAGAAAACAGGCTCTCATGGGGCCTCCCGAAGGAACTCTGCTCTGTCCACCCACTTTGGACTTCCCATCTCCAGAACTGCAAGACAATACATTTTCTGTTTTAAGCCACTTACATTTGTGATAATTTGTTATAGCAGCAAGAGGAAGCTAATGCAAACCCTACCAAAAAAGAGCCAATTTGATATATATTTATACATCCACTTCATGATCCATAGGTGTCTCTGTTCTTTGAATTCTCCTTTAAACTAGTTGTGGTAGCTTACTGATTTTTTCATTCATTCACGAGTTGAGTCAAATATTTTAAATGTGTGTATTTTTATTTATTTGTTTATTTATTTCGGAGACAGTCTCACTCTGTAACTTGGGCTGGAGTGCCGTGGTGTGATCACGGCTCATGGCAGCTTTGAACTCCTGCACTCAGGTGATCCTCCTGCCTCAGCCTCCTGAGGAGCTTGGACCACAGGCACATGCCACTATGCCCGGCTAATTATTTTTTAATTTTTGTAGGGACAGAGTCTCAGCATGAATGAGAAGAGACAGCAGACACGAACACTGAGATGACACAGATGTTAGAATTATCTGATAAGAATTTTAAAGCAGCTGTCATAAAATGGTGCAATGTGCACATTATGAATGCGCTTGAAACCAATGAAAAAGGAGAAAGTCTAGGCAAAGAAATAGATGATATTAAGAAATAAATGAGGCCAGGCACAGTGGCTTATGCCTGTAATCCCACCACTTTGGGAGGCCGAGCTGGGCGGATCACCTGAGGGAGTTTGGGACCATCCTGGCTATCACGGTGAAACCCCGTCTCTACTGAAAATACAAAAAAATTAGCCGGGCATGGTGGGGTGCACCTGTAATCCCAGCTCCTTGGGAGGCTGAGGCAGGAGAATCACTTGAACCCAGGAAGCAGAGGTTGCAGTGAGCCAAGATTGCGCCACTGAACTCCAGCCTGGGCGAAAAAGAGTGAGACTCCATCTCAAAAAAAAAAAAAAAAAAAAAAAAAAAGTAAGGATAAAATATAGAATAACAATATAAAAACTCAATGGATGGGTTTAACAGCAGAATGGAGAGGACGGAGGAAAGAAATCCATGAACTTGGAGGTACAATGATATATATTATCCAATCGGAATAGCAGAAAGAAAATAGCCCGGAAAAAACCAACAACCCATTAGCAAGTCACTGCTGAAGGGCAGGGCCTTCACCTTCCTGTTCACTAAAGTATGCCAAATGCTCTGTCCAGCACCTGGCATACGGTAGGCACTCATATTTGTTGAATGCTCTAATGCCCTGTGCGTGTGGATTCCCCTTTGTCAATGTTTTTGTTTGTTTGGTTTTGGTTTTGCTTTTTACCAGTTTAAGTGAAGTGTTTTTTCTGAAGGCTCTGAGACAGAATTGGATTCATGCCTCTCTCCTGGCTTCTGGTGGCTGCCGCAATCCTTGACCTTCTTTGGCTTTTGGACGCATCACTGCCACCTGTGTCTCCGTCTCCACATCGCCTTCTCCTCTTTGCCTTTTGTCTCCAATGTCCTTCTTCCTTTTCTTACAGCTGTCATTGGATTCAGGGCCCACTTTGACTCCAGGATGATCTCAACTCGAGACTCTTCATTACAGTTGTAAGGACCCCTTTCCAAATAAGGTCACACTCACAGTTCCAGGGGTTAGGAGCTGGACATACATTTTTGGAGGCCTATTCACCCCCTACAGAGATGGAAAACAGACGAGTGGCTGTCAGAGGTTAGGGATGGTGGGGACATGGCTGTGTAGGTGACTATCATGGGGTGGCTCCCAAGGGTGATTTTTGTGGCAATGGGACAGTTTTGTATTTTGATTGTAATAGTTACATGAAACTACACATATGATAAGATGACACACATTGGGTCGGGCTTGGTGGCTCACGCCTGTAATCCCAGCATTATGGGAGGCTGAGATGGGCAGATCACCTGAGGTCAGGAGTTAGAGATCAGCCTGGCCAACAAGGTGAAACCCTTTCTCTACTAAAAATACAAAAACTAGCCAGGTGTGGTGGCGGGCTACGTATAGTCCCAGCTACTCGGGAGGCTGAGGCATGAGAATGGGTTGAACCTGGGAGGCAGAGGTTGCAGTGAGCTGAGATCGCGCCACTGCACTCCAGCCTGGGCGAGAGAGTGAGACTCTGTCTCAAAAAAGAAAAAAAAAAAAAGATGACGCACATTGCACCAATGTCAATTTTCCCGGTTTTGATGTTGTACCATAGTTATGTAAGATATTGTCACTGGGAGAAACTGTGTGAAGTGTAAATGGGGACATCTCGATACTATCCTTGCAACTTCTGTGAATCTATAATTGTTTCCAAATAAAATGTTCAACAAAACCCTACGTGCACATGCACACACAGACACAAACATAAGCAAAGTCAAAAGACAAATGACAAACAGGCAAAAAAATTCTTTTCTTTCCCAGAACAAGACCCAAATTGATTCAGCAGACATTTTAATTAGGAAATCCTATAAATCAGGACCACTCTTAATTTCAGACACTCCGTTATGAAGCGTACATCTACATCTGGAGGATGAACAGGCCATTGAATCTCTTAAAAACTGGCTTTGCTACCTTCGCATTTGGGGGTAGGACCTTCGTAAGACACCATTAAGCTTCAAAGGGCAAAGCCTGTGATTTCTCCTCAGGGAAAGCCACATTTTAAAACCAGCTTCGGTCACAAAGAACAGCTGCATGGGAGAAGGAGACAAACCGCACGGGGAGGATGTGCAGAGCCTGAGGCCCACAGCTTCACAGAGGCCAGCACAGAGCAGAAAAACATCCAGGGTCTCTTGTCCATTCCTACAGACACCAGCAAGGATGGAATAAGAAAGTTGGGCTGGGAGGATGGGAGAGAGGCTCAAGAGATTGTTTAGGTGGGCCCAGTGGCTCACGTCTATAATCCCAGCATTTTGAGAGGCCAAGGCAGGAAGATTGCTTGAGGGCGGGAGTTTGAGATCAGCCTGAGCAACATAATGAGATCCCATCTCTACACAAAAATACAAAAATTAGGCGGGGCGCGGTGGCTCATGCCTGTAATCCTGGCACTTTGGGTAGCCGAGCAGGGGGTGGATCATGAGGTCAGAAGTTCAAGACCAGCCTCGCCAAGATGGTGAAACCCCGTCTCTACTAAAAATACAAAAATTAGCCAGGCGCTGTGGCAGGTGCCTGTAATCCCAGCTACTTGGGAGGCTGAGGAAGGAGAATCGCTTGAACCTGGGTGGCAGAGGTTACAGTGAGCCGAGACCATGCCACTGCACTCCAGCCTGGGCAACAGAGCGAGACTCCGTCTCAAAAAAAAAAAAAAATTAGCCAGCATGGTGGTGGCATGCACCTGTGCTCCCAGCTACTAGGGAGACTAAATCAGGAGGATCACTTGAGCCCAGGAATTTAAGGCTGCAGTGAGCCAAGATTGTGCCACTGCACTCCAGCCTCGGCAACAGTTTTTAAAAAGCCAGTTTTTAAAAGATTCAATGGCTTATTCATCCCCTAGAGGTAGATGTACACTTCATAACGGAGTGTCTGAAATTAAGAGTGGTCCTGATTTATAGGATTTCCTAATCAAAATGTCTGCTGAATCAATTTGGGTTTTATCCTGGAAGAAAAAAGATTTTTTTTTTTTTGCCTGTTTGTCATTTGTCTTGTTGTTTGCCATTTGTGAGACCTTGTCTGAAAACAAAAAAAGGAAAAAGATTGTGACTGCTTCTGAGAAAGCTCCTGGTGTGGCTAGAGTGGCCTTGTGGGAAAAGAACAAATTCTGTAAAGAAGAAAGCAAGAAAAAGCAAGTACTTCTCCCCACACATCCCCTCGCCTGTTTGCGTCCTCTGGAGACTCCAGGCAGTAGCGGAGCACAAACAGGGCTCTTCTCGGCGTGAGACAGAAAAGACACCGCGGTGAGTTAGCTTTCCCAGGAACTGCACGGCCTCCCACCTACAGCCAACCCTGATCTTGAACCGCGACTGGCAGGGTTGAGTCCTTTACAAGCGCACACTCAAATTCAACTCTCAAATTCCCCTTCAAAACTGTCCAGGTCCCTCCAGTCCCCTAAATGGAGTTGACATCTCCCACCTTCTCCAGCCATAAACCGGTGGGAGAAAGGGTCGGCCCCAACCCACCCACGGCCAAGCTTTTACATTTTCTCCCCGACCCCGTAACACCACCTTCACTAAGTTCCTCCACCGAAAATCACAACGAAATGTATGCGTGTCCTCAGTTTTTAGTATTGTTATAGCCCTCAAGATTCCCAACCCTCGGAGCCCTGTCTTTAAAGAATCCAACCTCACGATGCCCCCAAGGGCTAAGACAGGCTCACGGTGATGCCAGCGGCTGCCCCCGCTCTCCCCGTCTATCCCCGGTCTTTGGCCCCGACGGCCACCAGTGCGTTCCTTCCCTGCAGCCCACACCACTTCTCCCACCCAGAGGTGGGGTCTATTTCCTATTCCTTAAATCTGGGCTGACCTTGTGACTTTCTATGACCAAAGGAATGCAGAAGTGACATTTCCTGACGTTGGAATCCAGGCCTTAAGAGGACTGGCAGCTTCTGTTTCCTCCCTCTTGAAAGCCAGCTGCTACGTAAGAAGGCTGACTTCCCTGAGACCACCACGCTGTGAGGAGGCCCCAGCCGAGGTGACGTGGCTATGCAGACGAGCACAAAGGCACTCGACAAGTGAGTGAAGGCTTGGTGGACCATCCAGCTCAGCCAAGCTGCCGGCCAAATGTAGCCGAGTGAGTAAGCCCAGCTGGTAGCAAGTAGAGCAAGAGCCACCCAGCTGTGCCCACTCGACCCGCAGAATCCTGAGGAATAATAAATTATGTCGCTTTAAGCCATTAGGTTTTGAGGTAGTTTGTCATGCAGTAATAGATAAAGATAGCTTTTACTTTCCTAAGAAAGAGACCAAGGACTACAAAGAAAAAATGGGCAAAAGAAAGAAATAGTTCATACAGAATGAAATGCAAATGATCCTTAAACATCAAGAGATGCTCAACCCCAGTTGTAATAAGAGAAATGCAAATTAAATTGCCCTTAGACATCATTTTGCGCAATTCAATTTGGCAAAAATCCAAAATTGTAAAATACATCGTTGGTGTGGCTGTGAGGAAACAGGTTTGGTTGTGGAGAATACAAAATTGTACAAACCTTATGGAGAGCAGTTTGGCATTGCTTATAAAAAATACAAATGTATTGGCCGGGCGCGATGGCTCATGCCTGTAATCCCAGCACTTTGGGAGGCCGAGGCGGGTGGATCACGAGGTCAGGAGATCGAGACCATCCTCGCTAACACAGTGAAACCCCGTCTCAACTAAAAATACAAAAAATTAGCCAGGCATGGTGGCGGGCACCTGTATTCCTAGCTACTCAGGAGGGTGAGGCAGGAGAATGGCGTGAACCCGGGAAGCGGAGCTTGCAGTGAGCTGAGATGGTGCCACTGCACTCCAGCCTGGGCGACAGAGCAAGACTCCGTCTCAAAAAAAACAAAAAACAAACAAACAAACAAAAAAATGTATTTATCCTTTGACCCAGCAATCCTACCTCTGAAAATCTATTCTACAGACAGATATTCACGAGTATAAAATGACCCATGAACGAGGTTATACACTACAGCACTGTTTGTAATGGTAAAAGCTTGGAAACAAGCCAAGGGCCTGCCCATGGGGAGCTGGCTGAATAAACATGAAACACAACTGGAAGAAAGAATAAGGAGCTACTTCAGGATATAGTAAGAAAAAAAAGAAGGTGCAAGATACTGTATCAATGATGTTACCTTTCTGTAAGAAAAGAGTGGAAAATAGGAATAAATATATTTGCATTTCCTTGTTGTAGTTGTATAAAGAAATACAGAAAAATAAACAGAAAATGAATAAAAATGGTTATGTGAGTGTGAGAGAGACAATTGTGGGGAAGATGAAGATGGGAGTTAGAATTTTTTTTGTATATTTTTATACCCCATTTTAATTTTTAATTTTTTAGAGACACAGTCTTGCACTCTTGCCCAGGCTGGAGGTGCAATGGTGTGATCATGGCTCACTGCAGCCTCGAACTTCTGGGCTTAAGCAGTCCTCTTGCCTCAGCCTCTCGAGTAGCTGGGAATACAGGCACACACCACTATGCCCGGCTAAATACAGGCACACGGCACTATGCCTGGCTAAGTTTAATTAAAAATTGTAGAGATGGGGCTTCGCTATGTTGCCTAAGCTGGTCTTGAACTCTTGGCCTCAAGTGATCCTCCTGCCTTGATCTCCCAAAGTGTTGAGGTTATACGTGTGAGCCACCGTGCCCAGCCTATACTTATTTTATGCCTCATCATGTCATTTTGACTTTTGAACCATGCAAACATGCAACAAATTAAAAGCCAATCTCGGCCCGGCACTGGTGGCTCATGCCTGTAAGCCCAGCACTTTGGGAGGCCGAGGCGGGCAGATCACGAGGTCAAGAGATTGAGACCATCCTGGCCAACATGGTGAAACCCCATCTCTACTAAAAATACAAAAATTATCTGGGCATGGTGATGGGTGCCTGTAGCCCCAGCTACTCGGGAGGCTGAGGCAGGAGAATCGCTTGAACCCGGGAGGCGGAGGTTGCAGTGAGCCGAGATCACGCCACAGCACTCCAGCCTAGGTGACAGTGTGAGACTCTGTCTAATAAAAAAAAAAAAGTCTCAGGTGGAGAATGAAACAGAAGGGAGTGGCTGTTGATGTCGCTGGGATTTCTTTTAAGGATGCTGAAAATGTTCTAAAATTAGATGGTGGTGTTGGTTGTACCACCGTGAATATTCTAAAAATCATTAAACTGTATGCTTCACATGGGTGAATTTTATGGTATGTGGAATATATCTCAATAAAGCTGTAAGAAAAGAAGTAAGGCACACATACACCCCAAAACTTTCAGGAGTGAAAAAGAAGATACATCTCAGGTACAGCAAAGATTAAAATGACAGTAAAAAGTACTATGGCTTTGATACAGAAGTGCTGGGAAGGGAAGGGCACGGTCCCTGGCTAGGGCTCCACCCCCAGGCCTGCGCCCACGGACCTAGGTGAGGACAGGCATTTTTGTTTTCCTGCCCATATATTGCATTTTCCAAGACTACCCTGGCCGGCCACGTCCCTATCCTGTGCCTATAGAAACCCGAGACCCTAGCGGGCAGACACGCAGGTGGCTGGACAGAGAAGCACGTCAGCAGAGGAACACACGGGCGGCTGGACGTTGACAGGAGCACATGGGTTGAAGAGCACGCCCATAGGCACAGGCAGAGGCCGGCACGCCGGCAGGCCATTGACCGGGGGAATGACATGGAGTTTGGCTGAAGTGGTCGGAGAAGAGTCCAGCCGCTGAGTGGCTGACTCCAGGGGAAAACCATCTCCCTTCTGGCTTTGCCATCTTCTGACAGCTACTTCCACTCAATAAAACCTCGCACTCATTCTCCAAGCCCACGTGTGGTCCGATTCTTCCGGGACACCAAGGCACCTGGTACACACCTGGGACACAGAAAGCCCTCTGTCCTTGCAACAAGGTAAAGGGTCTAATTGAGCTGGTTAACACAAGCCGCCTATAGATGGAACACCTAAAAGAGCACATGCAGCACACGCCCACTGGGGCTTCAGGTGCTGTGAACATTCACCCCCAGACGCTGCCTGTCTGTATGCTCTCCTAGAGGCTTGAGCAGTGGGGCCCTGAAGAAGCGAGCCACACCCCCTGTCACATGCCCTGTGAGGAGGACAAGGGAAACTTCCCCATTTCAACCTGATGCTCATAAACTCAAAACTGTCTAAAACACCTAGAAAATACAATTAATAAAAACCAGCTTAAGGATAAATAGAAAACCTGAATGAAGAGTCTGATAAAATTTAAAGAAATTAGATTATTAATAAACAATCTTTCACAAAAGAAACAGACCGAGGTAAGTTTAAGACCTCTTTAAAGGAGAAGATGGTTTTGGTTTTATATATAAAGTGTTCTGGAGACAAAGAGGAAACATTCTCCAATTCTTTTTATAGTTCGAAAAAGAGAAAATTGGGAGAAAAGTCATTACAGGCCAATCTACTTATGAACATGGATGTGAAAACCCTCTAGGTAAAATATTGCGCAAATCAAATCCAGGCAAAACACATAGTAGTATAAGAGTTCAGGCCGGGCGCGGTGGCTCACACCTGTAATCCCAGAACTTTGGGAGGCCGAGGCGGGCGGATCACCTGAGGTCAGGAGTTAGAGACCAGCCTGGCCAACATGGTGAAACCCCGTCTGTACTAAAAATACAAAAATTAGCCGGGCGTGGTGGCACATGCCTGTAGTCCCAGCTACTCAGGAGGCTGAGGCAGGAGAATCCCTTGAACCTGGGAGGCAGAAGTCGTAGTGAGCCGAGATCGCACCGCTGCACTCCAGCCTGGGCAACAGAGCAGGACTCCATCTTGAAAAAAAAAAGAAATATAACAGGTCACGTCCAGGTTGTTATGTTCCAGAAACTCAAGGTTGATTTAACATTAGAAAATTGACCTGTGAAGTCACCATATTAATAGGCACAGGGAAAAGAGAGCAGATGATATTCTTTTTTTTTTTTTTTGAGACGGAGTCTCGCTCTGTCACTCAGGCCGGAGTGCAGTGGCGCGATCTCGGCTCACTGCAAGCTCCTCCTCTTGGGTTCACGCCATTCTCCTGCCTCAGCCTCCTGAGTAGCTGGGACTACAGGCGCCCGCCACCTCGCCCGGCTAATTTTTTTTTTATTTTTAGTAGAGGTGGGGTTTCACCGTGTCAGCCAGGATGGTCTCGATCTCCTGACCTTGTGATCCGCTGGCCTCGGCCTCCCAAAGTGCTGGGATTACAGGCGTGAGCCACCGTGCCTGGTCAAGAGCAGATTATATTCTTAATAGATGCATGAAAATAAATTGATAAAATGTAAAAACCACTCATGATTGGAAAAAAACTCAAACTCTTAGCAAATCTGAAGTGAAAGAAGATATACACTAACAATCTATGGGAAACGTCACATTTGACAGTGACATACTAGTCGTCATCCTCAGCCAGTCAGGAATACAATCAGATGCCCAGCACGCTGTTTCCACTGGAGATTGTCCTGAGGGCCCCAGACAGTGCAGACAGAGAAGAAAAAGAAACTCAATGTTTGAGAATGAGAAGAAGGGAAAGCAAACTGTAATCACTGTCTAATGATATGATCATATAAATAGAACCTCCCCCAAACTTGCAGACAGATGACAGAATTAATAGGGTGGTTGAGCTAGTTGGTTGATCAATAAACAAAAATCAATTGCCTTTCTACATTCCAAAAAGCAATGAAAAAATCAATTTACCAAAGTAACAAAAAGTATAGGGTGCCTAACAATAAAGCTAGCAAGCGTTCTGCAAGGGACTTCTAAAGGTCCCAGTTTCGACGGCCTCAGGTCCAACCCAAATGTGGCAACAGAGGAGAGAGACGGCGGAGCACGGACTGACATCTCAGACCCACCCTATAGCTCCTGTCAGATTTCCCCTTCATCAGCCTCCAGCATGGTGTCAGAAGGTGTCGAGTTAAAGAGAATATTAAACAGAGCGTGTAGGCAGCTCCCCAGCAGCCACCATCTTAAAAGCTGGCCCCTCATCCTGCCTTCCCCAAGGAGCAGCTGGCGGCGCTGACCCGGCCCAAGGCCTCTGTGTCCCCCAACAGGTGTCTCCGATGACACCTGGTCCCACTCACAGAGCAGGGGGGCACCAGCCGTGCCTGCTGGGTCGGAGGGTGATAATGGACGCAGCAGCTGGCTGGGGATGCTTCTGCCTCATGCTTCCACGTGTTTTTTTTTTTTTTTTTTTGAGATGGAGTCTTGCTCTGTCACTCAGGCTGGAGTGCAGTGGCACGACCTTGGCTCACTGCAAGCTCCGCCTCCTGGGTTCACGCCATTCTCCTGCCTCAGCCTCCTGAGTAGCTGGGATTACAGGCGCCCGTCACTACACCCGGCTAATTTTTTGTATTTTTAGTAGAGACGGGGTTTCACCGTGTTAGCCAAGATGGTCTCGATCTCCTGACCTCGTGATCCGCCTGCCTCGGCCTCCCAAAGTGCTGGGATTACAGGCATGAGCCACCGCGGCCGGCCTTCCACATGTATTTTTAAGAAGAATTTTATTTTGCCAATGCGTAATCCTATGGTCTGAATGTTGGTGTCACCCCCAGCTTCATATACTGAAGCCTAGTCACCAACGTGATGGTATCGGGGGTGGGAGGGACCTTTGGGGGGTGATGAGGGCAGAGCCCTCATGAATAGGGCTAGGGGCTATCTATGAACCAGGAAGCAGCCCTCACCAGACGCTGAATTTGCCAGCACTTGATTTCGGGCTCCCAGCCTCCAGAATTGCAAGAAAGAAATTTCTGTCGTTGATAAGCACCCAGTCTATGGTATTCTGTGATGACAGCTGAACGCACTAAGAGAGGCAAAGCATCTACGTTGTTAACAAAACAAACCTCAGGGCAGGTGAGAGAGGGGACCCACAGCACATGTAGGAAGTGGCCTGAGCTGCACGCGCCCCACCCACCCCAGGGCCCCGCTTGTCCAGCGTCTCTCTCCTCTGGAGAGGCCCCTGTCCCATGCCTGGGCTTGCCCTGCCTCCACCTTGAACAAATCTCCTAGAGGAAACAAAAGGAAGAAAGAGAGCATTTCCCTGGGCAACCTCTCCACCCTGAGAAGACCACCTAAGCTCCATGATGCCCACTCCCTATCCCACCCTTTGCTCTGAACCTGGTGTGACCCAGGGGCCAGTGGGGGGTCTTCCTGACCCCCAGGGCAGGTCTCCCTATGCTCCCATCCCCAGCCTCACCCCCACTTCATGATAGAACGTGGCTTTCCCTACAACGGGCAGGGACAGGCCATGGCAGACCACAGCAGTGTGGGGGAGTCTGTAGGGACTGTCTGCATTAGCAACACAGGGTCCCCAGAGCTTAGGTGGCTGACCTTCCTTGGCTGGTGTGGTGCAGGTGAGGGGTGGGGCAGAGAGTGGAGGTCATTCCGGCCTCATAGAGCAGCTCCTGCCAAGGCATGAAGTGGGAGGGTGTTTGGGGCCCACACCTCAGACGCCTTTCAAAGTCACCCTGGTCAGAGATGCATGGCTTGGGCCTTCAGATAGAAGAGGCCTGCTGGGTTTTCGGAGCATCCTGCCCTGCCATGGGTACCCCCGCTGGGGACCTGGGAGAGAGTGGGAGGGGCCTTGGGGAGATCCCCCTGTGTGCCTCAGAGGCTAGGCTCCCAGGATGGGGATGTCCGGGAGCAGGGATTCCGCAATAAGCGGGGCGCCTTCCTACTCCCCCCAGGCTCTTGGATCCTGTTTAGCGACCCTGGGCAGAGATGATGGCTGGATCCACCATGGGCTGGGAGCTGAGCTGGGGCAGGGGTGGAGGCTCTGCTCACCCAGGCTCGTGACCTTGTGTGGCCCAGAACCTGAACTATCTGCTGTGCAGACACCAACTGGCCAATAACAGCACCCAAAATTGTCCAGAGCGAAAATGTAGTTTGTTGTTATCGCAGCCTGAAATTTCAGGAGTGGGCAGTGGCCTCGGGTGGGCGTCTGTGTCATCCCGAGAACAGGAAGAGGCTTGTCTCTGTGGGTGCTGATGGAGTGGGACAAACTGTAGGAATTCGGGTGCCCTTGCCCTTCAAATCAAGCCCCAACACGGAATTTAGCATTTTTACACTGATTGGAATTTGTGGCTTATCACTGCTACTCACACCATCCCAGCAAGCATGGCTTAAATGTCAAGATATATTTTTCAAGTGCATGAGACACCAAAGATCACAGCTGCCTGGAAGAGTGAATTTTAATTAGCGAATGGATCCCATAAAACCGCCCAGCCCCACTGGAGCGGCCCTGACGTGCTTTGTTCGGTGCTGGGTGTTTGTTACAGACTCAGATGGTTGGCGATAGTGTCCAGAGGACCCCAGGGCTGCCTTAGTGGGAACTGGTTTTAACTTTCAAACCTTATCAGTTAAGTCACTCATGCCAAATACCTGTGGAGAAAGAAGTGGGCACACAAAGCACTTCATGAGTAGCTAATGGTGTGGGGCGCCCCAGAGGCTTTCACGCACCCTGGTTGCTTAGCAGTTAATTCACACGGTCTAGAGTGAACTCATTACCCCATAGGAAGGCTTGGTGGGCCACTGCATTTGGAAAGGCATTCCCTTACCAGTTCCCAGCTCATGTTCCCTCCTGCCTGCTCCCACTTTTTGCCTCCTAGGTATCAAAGAAGGGGGTGCCAGAGAAAGCCAAGGGCGCCCCCTTCTTTGATGCCAACAGAGACTCATGTAGTTCAGTGACAGTTGGGCTAGCCTTGCCCCAGCAACTGGGCACTGAGATGAGGGGTGAGGTCCTGACCTCTGGCGAGCTCACAGATTCCTGACATGGAAGCATGCAGGCTGTGACAGGGTGACCAGGTGCCCGGGTGACAGCGTGGCCGCGGTGGACAGCGAATGCAGAACACAGTGGGGAAGGCACGTGTGGGCGTGTTGGGAAGGTGGTGAACTGGGTCAGTATTAGATGGATTTTAGATGATGAATACGAACTTCCTAGGCAAAGGGGGACAGCAAGGCCTGGAGGGAGGGCTGGGGCCTATCGGTCCTCAGTGCTCAGAGCTGACTGGCGAAAGTGACAGTAAAACAATCAGGCATCAGGTAGGAGCCAGAGGCAAGAGTCAGTGACCCCGAAGAGCACGTGGGTGTTCCCAGCGGCTCCACAGGTACCTAGGGTTAAGGTAGGAAAAGTTAAACAGGTCACTGATACCGAGAAGTCAGTGTTGATCAATAACTTTGAAAAGAGAGGATAGGGCTGAGCGTGGTAATCCCAGCACTTTGGGAGGCCGAGGTGGGTGAATCACCTGAAGGTTGGGAGTTTGAGACCAGTCTGGCCAACATGGTGAAACAACCGTCTCTACTAAAAATACAAAAAAATTAGCTGGGCGTGGTGACGGGCGCCTGTAATCCCAGTTGCTGGGGAGGCTAAGGCAGGAGAATCACTTGAACCAGGGAGGCGGAGGTTGCAGTGAGCTGAGATCATGCCATTGCACTCCAGCCTGGGCCACAGCAGTGGAGAGGATAGGTCCAAGTGACAGAAAGGGAGGATTGGAATTCATTTTTTTTTTTTTTGAGACGGAGTCTCGCTCTGTCCCCCAGGCTGGAGTGCAGTGGCGTAATCTTGGCTCACTGCAAGCTCCGCCTTCCGGGTTCACGCCATTATCCTGCCTCAGCCTCCCGAGTAGCTGGGACCACAGGCCCCTGCCACCACACGTGGCTAATTTTTTGTACTTTTAGTAGAGACAGGGTTTCACTGTGTTAGCCAGGATGGTCTCAATCTCCTGACCTTGTGATCCACCTGCCTTGGCCTCCCAAAGTGCTGAGATTACAGGCGTGAGCCACCACGCCCGGCTGGGGAGGATTGGTATTCTTACTGAGTCCTTTGCATCTAGGGGAAATGATCAATTCCAGCCTAAGGAAAACGAGTGCAAGGTGAGCTGGGAACAGCTTGTTGTACCCCAAAGCAAGGACATTACTGAGGATCACGAGGTCACATTAATAAGGCTCAGGGGCCACTTGAAGAGTTCCTCCTGCCCCAAATGGGGTCAATTTGAGCATCAGTAATAATAACTGCAATGGACTGAAACTCATCATATGTGTTTGAATCCATGTTCATAAAAAAAATACAAAAGCCCAAAGCAGCACACCCAATTTGTGGCAGATTAAAGATGGCCCCAGAGTTTTTGATAGTCTTCCTTCCAATGGTGGGGCCTTTGTCCCCATCCTCATGAATGTGGGTGGGCTCATTGACTGCTTTGACTGGTAGAATACAGCAAAAATGAGACATGTGTGGGCCCAGGCCTTAAGAAACTAGCAGCTTCCACTTCCTCTGTTGGAAGCCTGCAGACACCCTGAATTGCCCTGTGGGAAGGTGCCTGTCCCAAGGCCCTCATGCTTCAGTGGCTGCGGGTGGGCACTGTGTGGCAGTGCAGCTGCATCTGGCCTTCCCGTCATGCCCATCAATGTGCCAGCCAGGTGAATAAAGCCTTCTGGGGTCCGAGACCATTCATCTGCTGGTGAAAAACCATCCAGTGACCTCAGTCGGTGCGATGAGGAGCAGAACAATGCTCAGCAGGGCCTTGCTGCATTCTTGGCCCACAAAACCATAAAAACCATAATGACAGTTGTTGTCTAAGTTGCTGACATTGGGGTGATTAGTTGTACAGTAGCAGATAACCAGAATGCAGTGTGTCACACACCTAGGGAGGTGGTAGGGAGCCAGTCATTATTTTGAAAACTGATGAACAAAGGAAAAGACTCAAGCTTTAAAAAAAGAGAAGGGGCAGCCGGGCGTGGTGGCTCATGCCTGTAATCCCAGCACTTTGGGAGGCCGAGGTGGGCAGATCACAAGGCCAGGAGATCAAGACCATCCTGGCTAGCACGGTGAAACCCCGTCTCTACTAAAAAAATACAAAAAAATTAGCCAGGCGTGGTGGTGGGCGCCTGTAGTCCCAGCTACTCAGGAGGCTGAGGCAGGAGAATGGCATGAACCTGGGAAGTGGAGCTTGCAGAGAGCCGAGATTGTGCCACTGCACTCCAGCCTGGGTGACAGAGCAAGACTCTGTCTAAAAAAAAAAAAAAAAAAAAAAAAAAAAAAAAGAGAGAGAAGGGGCATCACTTACAGAAATACAAAGGATTACAAAGGAATATCTGGACAAGTATTTGCTGAGAAATTAGATAACTTAGATAAAATGAACAATTCATAGATGGAGACAAACTACTGAAACTGACTCAAGAAGAAATAGAAAATTCTAATAGACCTATGGCACATAAGCAGATTGACACCAACAGCACAGGCAACACAAATCAGTAAAGCTAGAAAAAAGATGAAAAACAGGCTGGGCATGATGGCTCATGTTGTAATTCTAGCACTTTGGGTTCGAGGCCAGCCTGGGCAACATTGTGGAACCCCATTTCTACAAAATAAAAATTGAAAAAATTTCCATTGTGCACTTGCTTCTGTGTGTACTCAGCAATGAAAGGAAATAATAGATAAATTGGACTTTGTCAAAATTAAAAACTTTTGTGTTGCTGATATGGGAACAGGGCAGGGAAGTGCTGGGTAGAGAAGGGCTGGGTCCCTGGCGAGGCTTCCACCCTCAGGCCTGTGCCCACGGACCTATGTGAGGACAAGCATTTCTGTTTTCGTGCCCCAAAAGTTGCCTTTTGGCCCATCACACCCCCCATCCTGGGCCCATAAAAACTCTGAGACCCTAGTGGGCACACACACAAGTGGCTGGACACTGAGAGGAGCAGAGGACCAGAAGAGCACATCGACAGACACCAGCAGACGTTGGCAGGCCATCAACAGCGGGACGACGTGGAATTCAGTTAGGGGTGGTCGGAGGAGAGTCCGGCTGCTGGGCAGCTCAACTCCAGGGGAAGACCACCTTCCCACTCCATTCCCCTTGTGGCTCCCCATCCATCTCACTGACAGCTACTTCCACCACTCAATAAAACCTTGCAGTCATTCTCCAAGCCCACATGTGATCCAATTTTTCTGGTACACCAGGGCAAGAATCCGGGATACAGAAAACCCTCTGTCCTTGTGATAAGGCAGAGGGTCTAATTGAGCTGATTAACACAAGCCACCTGCAGATGGCAAAGCTGAAAGAGCACACTAACACACACCCACTGGGGCTTCGGGAGCTGTAAACACTCAACTCTAGTCGCTGTTGTGGGGTCGGAGCCCAAAAGTGCTCCCCACGACCTGCCCATTTGCATGCTCCCACTAGGGGTTTGAGCAGTGGGGCACCAAAGAAGTGAGCCACACCCCTGTGAGGGGAGCAAGGGAACTTCTCCCATTCATTGCAAATGACACCATCAGAAAAAGTAAAAATATTTGCATATCTGATAAAGGTCTTGTATACAGAATATAAAAAGAACCCTTACAACTCAATAAGAAAAGACAAGCCAATTAAGAATGGGCATATGATCAGAATGGAAATTTCTTCAAAAAATATATGAATGGCTAATAGGCACATATAAAGATGCTCAACATCATTAACCATCTTGGAATTATAAATCAAAACCATAGAGAGACACCACTTCACACCCAGCGGCATGGTTACAATAAAAAAGTCAGATAATAGCAAGTGTTAGCAAGAATGTGGATACATTGAAACCCTCTTACACTGCTGATAGGAATCTACAACTGTGCTGATGTTTTGGAAAACAGCCCAGCAGTTCTTCAAAAGGTTAAACATAAAGCGACCATGTTACCCAGCAATATTGCTTTTCGGTGTATACCCAACAACAATAACAAAAAATTTTTGCGGGGGTGTGGTGGCTCACGTCTGTAATCCCAGCACTTTGGGAGGCTGAGGCTGGTGGATCACGAGGTCAGGAGATCGAGCCCATCCTGGCTAACATGGTGAAACCCCGTGTCTACTAAAAACACAAAAAATTGGCTGGGCATGGTGGCAGGTGCCTGTAATCCCAGCTACTCGGGAAGCTGAGGCAGTAGAATGGCGTGAACCCGGGAGGGGGAGCTTGCAGGGAGCTGAGATCGCGCCATTGCACTCCAGCCTGGGCAACAGAGCGAGACTCCGTCTCAAAAAAAAAAAATTCGCAAAAAAAAAAAACTTGTACATGAATGTTCATAGCAGTGTTAGTCATGATAGTCGAACAAGAAAAACAACGTTCAAATCCATCAACTGGCTGAATGGAACAAGAGGTGCTATAGCCACATGACACATACTACAACATGGATGAATCTTCAAAACATGCCAAGTGAATAAGAAGCCAGCCTGAAAAGACCAGTGATATGATTCCATTTATATGAATCGCCCACGGGAGGCAAATTCATAGAGCCAGAAAGTGGCTTACAGGTTGCCTAGGGCCAAAGGGTGAATGGGGAGGGACAGAGGGGTGAGGGCTAATGGGACATAGGGTTTTTAGGGGGTAATGAAAGTGTTCTGGGTCTGGTGTGGTGGCTCACGCTTGTAATCCCAGCACTTGGGGAGGCCGAGGCGGGTGGATCTCTTCAGGTCAGGAGTTCAAGACCAGCCTGGCCAACATGGTGAAACCCTGTCTCTACTAAAAAAAAAAAAATACAAAAATTAGCCAGGTATTGTGGTTCACTCCTGTCATTCCAGCTACTCAGGAGGTTGAGGCACGAGAATTGCTTGAGCCCGAGAAGCAGAGGTTGCAGTGGGCTGAGATCCTGCCACTGCACTCTAGTCTGGGCAACAGGCTCTGGAGACAGGAGACTCTGTCTAAATAGTAAAAAAAAAAGTTCTAAAATTGTGATGGTTATGGTGATGGCGAATATACTAAAAACCATTGAATTTACACGTTAAAATGGTGTGAAATGGTGAGTTTTATGGTATATGAATTGTATCTCAGTAAAGGTTTTTTGTTTTGTTTTGTTTTGTTTTTGAGACAGAGTCTCACTCTGTCACCACGCTGGAGTGCAGTGGTGCGATCTCCGCTCACTGCAGCCTCCACCTCCTGGGTTCAAGCAATTCTCCTGCCTCAGCCTCCCGAGTAGCTGAGACTCCAGGCACGCACCACTGTGCCCAGCTAATTTTTGTGTTTTCAGTAGAGACGGGGCTTCACCATGTTGGCCAGGATGGTCTCCATCTCTTGACTTTGTGATCCACTCGCCTTGGCCTCCCAAAGGGCTGGGATTACAGGCGTGAGCCACCGCCCCCAGCCTCAATAAAGCTTTTATTTAAAAAGGAACTCACCAGACAGTGTAGAAGGCGTGCCGGGCTGGAGAGCAGTGTGGTCCAGGGGTGTGAGGAAGCACACGTGGTGTATTTGGGACCCGGTGTGCTGATGGCAGCCTGCAGTGTGGGCGTGGTGGGGGGAGGGTGGCAGACAGGGACTGTGGGGACAGCAGGGACAACAGGCCGTGACGTCAGGATTTTCTCTGGAGGCCGCAGTGAGCCTGTGAACAACTGGAACGGGATAGGGAGAGCAGAACACTTACCCTTTAGACAGCTGGTCCTGGAACAGGAGTATGCGGCTGAAACCAGGGCTGAACCGGGACGGCGGTGCCAGGCATGGGGTGGAGGGAGTGGATTTGAGAGTTCTATGGAAGGCCTAATCAATGGGGTGTGGAGGGTGGGCCCAGGGCCCAGGAGAGATTCCCCAGGACATCCCAGGGAGGAGGGAGGTCCTGGAGTGAGAATGGCCTCTGTCCCCTGCCCTCAGGCTGCTAATTACTGAATCAATGAATCCAACCAACAGGGCCTGAGTGTCACTGCTGCCTGGCCCCATGCCAGGTGCTGGGATGTGGACACAAAGCTGGACCCCATCACCGCCCTGGGGAGGTGCATTTGGGAACTCAGTCTTGAATGGTGTAGGGGATCAGGGTGGAGGGTCCCAGCATGGCAGACGAGCCATCGGGTAGGTGTCCTCAAGTGGGGGCTGGGTGCTGATCCTTTTACAGATGTCTTTTTTTTTTTTTTTTTTTTGAGACAGAGTCTTGCTCTGTCGCCCAGGCTAGAGTGCAGTGGCACAATCTTGGCTCACTGCAACCTCCGCCTCCTGGGCTCAAGCGATTCTCCTGCCTCAGCCTCCTCAGTAGCTGGGATTACAGGCGAGTGCCACCACGCCCGGCTAATTTCTGTATTTTCAGTAGAGATGGTGTTTCACCATGTTGGCCAGGCTGGTCTCAAACTCCCGACTTCAGGTGATCCACCCGCGTTGGCCTCCCAAAGTGCTGGGATTACAGGCATAAGCCACCATGCCTGGCCCCTTTCACAGATTTCTTGTGGATTTTCTTTTAATTGGAAAAGATAATGGAAAAACTCAAGATGAAATTTGAAACCAAACCAACAAATAAAAAGCCCCTAAACCACCTCCCCTTTTCCATGACTGCTGTTCCCTTTCCTGCTGCCTTTGGAGCTTTGGCTTGGGGCCCGCAGCCTGGGTTTGGGACCCCCTTCTTGACCATGGTCAAGCGATGGACTGCTTGATGCCTCAGTGTCTTCCTTTGCAAAATGCACCTGCCTCAGAATGAGAGTGAATGTGACACGTGACAACACAGGTGAGCCATGGAGCACCAGACCTGGCACAGGGTAGCGTGCAGTGAACACCTGCCATCTGGACCATCTTGGCCTACCCATGTGGCTCCTTTTCTATAGCCGGAAGCACCGGACGGGATCCTTCAGGGCTCTGCTTTCCCTTAACTGGGAATCCTGTGTGGTTTGTTTTTCCATTTTTCTTTTCTTTTCTTTTTTTTGAGGCAGAGTCTCACTCTGTCGCCCAGGCTGGAGTGCAATGGCGCGATCTTGGCTCACTGCAACCTCCACCTCCTGGGTTCAAGCCATTCTCCTGCCTCAGCCTTCTGAGTAGTTGAGATTACAGGCATGTGCCACGACGTCCAGGTAATTTTTTGTATTTTTAGTAGAGACAGGGTTTCATTATGTTGGCCAGGCTGGTCTTGAATTCCTGACTTCAGGTGATCCGCCCGCCTTGGCCTCCCAAAGTGCTGGGATTACAGGTGTGAGCTACCGCACCCGGCCTGTTTTTCCATTTTGCTATTAGTCTTTGTATTATTCTGTTGTGCTGACATGTCAACATTTTTTTAGCTAGTCTTGTGCTGTAAGCCGAGGTGGTCTCTAATCTTGCACAGGTGTTGTAAGCATCTCTGTGCACTGTCCTTGTTTAGTCAGAACTCCTGGGTTCCAAATGACAGAGACGACCTGAGCTTGCCAAGGGAAAACTGGAGAGTTACTGGTTTCTATGCCTTCTGGGGAGAAGGCCCGTGCTCAGCAGCCCTGTGTGCCTGTGTGTGCCAATTTCATTGTGTCCTGGCCAGAACTTTCTTATTCTTTGCTAATTTGGTGGATATAAAACAGGACTTCAACGGTGCTTTAACAATAGCAAGGGGTGCATGTATTTGGGTTGCCTGGTCCAGGCTCCTTCCCCATTGGTAATCCACAGTGTTTATTCCCTGGTTCGCTGCCCATGGGGGCTGCCTCCTGACGCTGTTGGGGAAAGGAGGAGGAGGTCCCGGCTTGCACACAGATTCCCTGTTTCTCAAGAATATACAGCATGCTCTCCCACTGTGCAGCCAAGGACAAGGTGTTCTGTGCGGCGCCACGGGGCAGTCTCTGTTTCTGCAGGCTGCCCAAGAGGGGCCGGGGAAGTGATAAGTGAAAATCCATCACAACTTCTAGAACCAGCTCCAAGGACACACTCAGCGGCTGGGGCACCAGCAGGACTCGGTAAAACTCAGCAATGCTTCAGCACAATGATTACATTTCAGCCCCATAGTCCTCGCTGGGGAAGGGCTTTGGAGGACAGCTTACAAAAAGCCTGAGGACTGTTGGAAAGGAATTTTCGTAGCGGGAGGAGAAGGGGAAGGAAACTTGGGCTTTGCCTGAAACCCAGTGGACCGGGTTTCTCCCCTCTGTGGAGTGTCCGAGTAGTGGGCGCATCCCCGGGGGTTTATTTTCTTTGTTTGAACAAACCACGAGCAAACATGGCAAGTGGTCCTGGGGGTGCGGAGAGTGTAAGTCAGTGTGTTTTACACAGGTTTATGTATTGTATTATACAAGGGATGTTGGTCTACACCAATAAAAAGCCTTTGAATTTGAGGAATTTCCATTTGATTCATTTTCCCCAAATCTTCGCAAGAGGAGGATGATTTTTGCAAAAGGGGGATGAACAGAAAGGTTATTCCATTAGTCATTTTTCTCCTTATTAGAGTATTGGGTTTCATCTCCGAGAATGAGCGGCACACGCCCTGGGACTCAGGTATGTTGGGATGTCGAGAACCCCTTTGCAAGAGGCACCAAGGAGATTTGGTGGGAAAAATGAATCCTCCCTCTAACATGAAACTTCCTCTGCTCTGGTTTCTCTTATAAGTTTGATATAATTTGCTGTTTTCCAGAAATCCTCAAAATATATGGCTCACCAAGAGCATGATTCTCATATCCCCATGCAGCTGGGGGAACTTATTCCCTCGAAAGTGATGTATTATCTGGCCATTTCTTAGCTATTTGGGGAGTGAAGGATATGATACAAATATGGTCCCTCATCATGAATTGGACATCTCTGAATCATTTAGCTTTTTTTTTTTTTTTTTTTTGAGACGGAGTCTTGCTCTGTCACCCAGGCTGGAGTGCGGTGGCGTGATCTCGGCTCACTGCAAGCTCCACCTCCTGGGTTCACACCATTCTCCTGCCTCAGCCTCCCAAGTAGAGGGGACTACAGGCACCCGCCACCATACCCGGCTAATTTTTTTGTATTTTTAGTAGAGACAGGGTTTCACTGTGTTAACCAGGATGGTCTCGATCTCCTGACCTTGTGATCTGCCTGCCTTGGCCTCCCAAAGTGCTGGGATTACAGGCGTGAGCCACCATGCCTGGTCTGAATCATTTAGTTTTAAAAATTTGATCCATCAGGACTTTGAGTGAAAGGAGTATAGCTGTGACCTGGCATTAATAATAATAATAGGCCAGGCACTGTGGCTCACGCCTGTAATCCCAGCACTTTGGGAGGCCAAGGCAGATGGATCACCTGAGGTCGAGAGATCGAGCACAGCCTGGCCAACATGGTGAAACTCCATCTCCACTAAAAATACAACAATTAGTCAGGCGTGGTGGCACGCACCTGTAATCCCAGCTACTTGGGAGGGTGAGGCAGGAGAATTGCTTGAACCCAGGAGGTGGAGGTTGCAGTGATCCTAGATTGTGCCACTGCACTCCAGTCTGGGCGACAAGAGCAAAACTCCACCTCAAATAATAATAATAGTAATAATAATAAATCATTAACCAATCAACTTTGTAGTCTTCTCAATGCTCTTTATTGAAAGATCTATGTTTGGCCAGGCGCAGTGGCTCACGCCTGTAATCCCAGCACTTTGGGAAGCCGAGGTGGGCGGATCACCAGGTCAGGAGATTGACACCATCCTGGCTAACATGGTGAAACCCCGCCTCTACTAAAAATACAAAAAAAGTAGCCAGACATGGTGGCGAGCGCCTGTAGTCCCAGCTACTCGGGAGGCTGAGGCAGGAGAATGGCGTGAACCCGGGAGGCGGAGCTTGCAGTGAGCCAATATTGTGCCACTGCACTCCAGCCTGGGCGAGACTCCATCTCAAAAAAAAAAAAAAAAAGAAAGATCTATGTTTGCCCACTGATTTGACATTCCTCCCCCGTTGTGTACTAAATCCCCGTTTATACTTAGCCTATTTTGGAACTCCGTCTTCTGTCCCAGGCCCTCCCTCTCAGCAGCGGGGCCACTCCCTGGAAGGGAGTGCTGGTCCTGCTCTGTTACTTCTCTTTTTCAGAAATTTCCTGGATCTAACTCTGTTTTCATTCTGATACGTTGACATTTAAGTCTCTTACCCTTCCAAAAAAGCAAAAACAAGAGGAAAAAAATAGAAAACACTATCTTAAACCAAACAAAAAACCAACCAACCAACTGAACAACAAGTCAAAGCACAAAACCTCAAACCCAAACAAACTTTTTTAGGACTTTGATCGGGATCGAATTAACCTTGTAGCCAACATGGGAAGAACTGAGATACTTATTAGTGTGCTAAGACTGCCGTAACAAATGACCGCAAACTGCACGTCTGAAGACAGTAAGAATGTATTTTCTCACAGCTCTGGAGGCTGGAGTCCAACGTGAAGGTACTGGAAGCCCATGGTCTTTCTGAAGGTCCTAGGGGTGAATCTGGTCCATGCCTTTCTCTTGGCTTCTGATTTTGCCGGCAACCCTTGGTGTTTCCTGACCTGCAGACACATCACTCCAATCTGTGTCTCCACCTTCACACAGCATCTTCCCTGGTGTTTCTCTGTTTCTTGTCCTTGTCTTATGAGGACACCAGTTGTGTCAGATTAAGGACACATCCTGCTGTACTAAGACCACATCTTAAATTACATGTGCAATGACCCTGTTTCCTAATAAAGCCACATTCTGAAGTTACAGGAAGGACCTGAATTTTGGGAGAACAGTACTAAAACTGGTATAATATTTTTAAAATTCGTGTTGACATTGTATTAAAAAACAAAATATATTATTTAACCAAGACTTTCACATCATTTAGTATAATTTTATTATTATATTATATTATATTTGTTTATTTTTGCTCTGTTACCAGGATGGAGTCCAGTGGCGCAATCTTGGCTCACTGCAACCTCCGACTCCCTGGTTCAAGTGATTCTCCTGCCTCAGCCTCCCAAGTAGATTATCTTATTATTTTTAATACCTTCACAGTCCATTCTTGTGAGTTTTCCAGGTTTATAAATGTATCATCTACATTATAGTAGAGACAGCTCTTTCGAATATTTAAACGTCGTATTTTGTCCTCGTTGTGTGGTCCTGTACCTGTAGAACAATGGGATATCATGGCCACCACCCTTCTTTGTCCTGACTTCATGGCTTCTGCCTTTGGGGGTTGGTGGAGGGTGGGGTCAGGAGAACGTGTAGGGAGCTGTTGCATGTTAAGCTGCTTTGCAACCGAGGCTAGATTCTGGCTAACGGGGCTCTTTTGACCACGTTGAGCCTTTTGCATTACTTCACATCTGGGTGGTGACTGAGGTGGGAAGAAGACAGCTCAGGTTTTCCGGGGGAGGCAGGTTACTCCTCGGGTCAACCCTGGTCAGTGCTGGGACTGCTAGGCCTCTTGGGAGTGGTTCCCACACCCCTGGCGGGCACCCCAGCATGGACAGCTGCTCAAGTTGAGACAGCCAGGTGGGAGGGGGTCCCTGGAGAACCAGCCCACCCGCTGAGACGAAGCCTCGAGGTTTGTGACCTTTGCAGCAGGGAGGAGCCTCGCCCCGCCTCTTCCTGTGTGGAACCTGGGAACCGCCTCTTCCTGTGTGGAACCTGGGAACCGCCTCTTCCTGTGTGGAACCTGGGAACCGCCTCTTCCTGTGTGGAACCTGGGCGTCTCTTCCTGTGTGGAACGTGGGAACCGCCTCTTCCTGTGTGGAACGTGGGAACCGCCTCTTCCTGTGTGGAACGTGGGAACCGCCTCTTCCTGTGTGGAACCTGGGAACCACCTCTTCCTGTGTGGAACCTGGGCGTCTCTTCCTGTGTGGAACCTGGGAACCGCCTCTTCCTGTGTGGAACCTGGGAACCGCCTCTTCCTGTGTGGAACCTGGGAACCGCCTCTTCCTGTGTGGAACCTGGGAACCGCCTCTTCCTGTGTGGAACCTGGGATTAGAATGGGGCGGGCAGGGAGCACTCTAGCAGGAGACTCTGGCCTTGTGGAGAATCCCTGTTACCCACCCTCCTTTTTTCCCTTTTCACCCAATAAAACATTGCTTTACTCACCCTTTAAAGCGTCTGTGAGCCTAAATTTTCATGGCCATGGGATGGACAAGATCCCGTCTTTAGCTAAACTAAGGAAAATCCTGCAACAAAGCCAGCCACGTATCTGCACTGAGGTATCAGGCTTCACTTGCCTTCCATCCGAGTCCCGTGGCTCAGGCGGACTCCGTTTTCCGGGGCTGGGAGTCCCGTATTCCATCCCCTGGAGGGCGACTCGGCTGGGGGTGCCTGATTCAAGCTGGGCCCAGGCAACCTAATATCGGAAGTCTTCTTCAGAGGAGCTCTGCCTCAGGGATTTGAGCGGGGAGGGGGCTGGCCTGAAGCTGTGGAGCCGCACAGGAAGAATAGCCTGCCTCAGGCTCAAGGCAGCAGGAAAGAGCTCAACCCGTGACCACAGCATCTGCTTGAATGGATCCGCCCATGCCTGCAGCTAATTCCTCTTTATTGCCTGAGCCAATAAAGGCTTGTTACATCATCTTGCATTAGGACACGTTAAACTAGAAGATTCTTGAAAAATACCCGTCCTGCCGGGAGCAATGGCTCCTGTCGGTAATCCCATACATTGGGAGGATGAAGTGGGAGGATAGCTTGATCCCAGGAGGTGAAGGCTGCAGTGAGCTATAATTGCGCCACTGCACTCCAGCCTGGGCAATGGAGCAGGATCCTGTCCCAGACAAAAATAAAAAGGAAAAAATACCCATCTTACTAATCTCTCTCCTAAGAGTCAAGCTTGGAAAGTTAGTTCGACCCAGAGCTGTACTCACCTAATGCTCCTAAGCAGAGTGGTCATGGGGCATTTCATGTGTATTCATTCAGCTCATCTGTACTTATTATGTAACAGTATTATTCAAGGAACTTGGGACACATCACTGATCAAAACGGATCAAAATGATCCCTGCCTTCAGGGGGCTCATATTTTAGTAGGAGAGAACAGCTAATGAACTATAAGCGTGATTAGTCAATACATTACTTCATGTGCTAGGAAATGATTGGTGCTATGGAAGAAAGATGAAGAGTGGGGTGAGGTAGTAGGAGGTAGGCTTCAGTATGAAACAGGGTGGTCAGGTTGGGCATCACTGAGAAGGGACCTTCTGGGCAAATCCTCAAGCTGAGTGAAGGAGCTGGCGGAGTGGGGAAGAGTTCCCGGCCCAGGGGAACTGCAGCCCAGCACCCAAGACTGGACCAGGAGAGAGATGGGTGTGGCCCGCTGGAAGTGAGCCAGGGAGAGTGACAGGGGGTGGGTCCAGAGAGATAAAGCGGGCTGGCCCTGACGGTTTCAGGCTGCTGAAAGGACTTCTGCTTTTACACGAGAAAATGGGGAGCCATGGTGGGGGCCATGAGCAGAGGAGGGAAGGAGCAGAAGCAGGTCAGAGGCGGTCACAGTCTTCCAGGCTAGAGGTGATGGTGGGCCAGAACCGGAGGCTGCCATGGAGACAGTGGGACGGGGTGAGTATGGGAGTGTACTTTCAAGGTAGAGCCCAGAGAATCTGCTGATGGATTGGATGGGGGGCGGGGGGGCGGGGGCAGGGGTGTGAAGGAAGAAGAGGAGCTAAGGCACCTGGAAGAAAGATGTTGCCATCAACTGAGATGCAGAAGTTGATGCCTGGAGCAGGTGGGGCCGGGGAAGAGCAGAAATGCAGCTTTGGGCTTATTTCATTGGAGTCAAGGATGAGACATCCAGGAGAGACGCCAGCAGGCAGCTGGACATTTGACCTTGGGCTTTGGGAGCAAGGGCTGGGCTGAAGGCATGCACCTAGGGGTGGGAGGTCTATAGATGGCATCTAAAGCTGTGAGCTGGGAGATCAGTGTGGAAGTGAGTGCAGTTAGAAGAGAGGAGAGGACTGCACTGTGGCAGTCAGAAGCTGGGGAGAAGAGTAGAACCAAGCCAAGTTGGAGGGGAAACAACCAAGGCGGAGGGCAAATGCCAGGGTGGATGTCCTGGGAGCCAAGTGAAGACCGTGGATCCATGAGGAGGGCACCATGGGCTGGGCCAAAGCCACTGACTGCTGGAGGAGGATGACCCAGAGGCCATGAGCCTGCATGAGAACAGCCTTGGTGGAGAGGTGGGGAGAAGCCCGGATGGAGTCACTGAAGGGAGGGTGGGGGATGCTGCTGCAAAGGGCGGGAACTGCATGGAAGCTGGGGGGGGGATCTGGAGTCATCTCAGTTGTGGTCAAGACGGGTGACAGAAGAGCCTATCGATCTGCTTATGGGATGATACAACAGAGAGAAACATGCAGAGAATTGCTGGGCAGCGCGTTGGAGTTGGTGAGTGGATGGGGATCCAGGCCCAAGAGGAAGAACAGAGCAATGTGTCCCTGCCTAGTGCACTCATGCTAACAAGTGAGAGGGCAGAGCAGGGAGCGATGGTGACGGGTGGGAGGGTGGGAGGGTGGTGTGTGGGGATGATGGTGATGGGTGGGAGGGTGGGAGGGTGGTATGTGGGGATGATGGTGACGGGTGGGAGGGTGGTGTGGGGAGGATGGTGACCAGTGTGAAGATGATGTGTGGGGAGGATGGTGATAGGTGGGAGAGTGGTCTCTGGGGGTGCACGTGCTGGGGAGGGGGCTGTTGTGGGTGAGAGCTATGGAAAGCCTCTCCTATTGTTGCAGTGAGCTGGGCGGCCAGGTCCGAAGCTGAGGTTGTGTGTGTGGCTGTTAGGTCCTGGGAGCTGAGCAGAGCAGAGGGTGTTCAGTCGCCAGGTGGGACGGCAGAGTGGGAGGGACCGGGGGTAGGTCAGGCAATTGTGTGTCTTCCCTGTGCCTGCCAGGGGTTCTAAGGTATGGGTCCATGACCCTGGGCCTGGCCTGGGTGTTGTCTGTTCACCTGCAGAGGGTGCTGGAAGGCAGAGGTGGGGTACCCAGGCCTTCGGCTTTGCCCAGGGCTTTGCCTAATGAGAGTGGAAAGCGTGTCGAGAGGCACAGTAGTGGAATTCAGCAGGGACGGGCATGATGGTGGACTGCAAGTCCTGGTTGAGGGTGTTGGTGTCTGGGTTATGATGGTGCAACCTGGACAGACGGGAGCTGGCGGAGCAGAGGGCGATGCCTGCAGAGATCAGCGATGACAGTGCTGAGAAGGCCCTGCGCGCCCTGAGCCAGGGCAGGTCACTGGAGAGTGGGAAGGAGCCCCAGGAGGATGCTGGAACTTGAGGATTGGACAGGGTTGGGGGGCAAAGGGACTGGTCAGTGGAAGGCAGCACAGACCAAGGGCCAGGGCGGCAGCCTTGAGGGAGCTGCAGCTGCCAGGGAGGAGAGAGGGGGCTGAAGGCGGCCATGGTGGGCAGGGTGAGCAGGCCGCGAGTGCACTGGGAAGGGACAGGGAAAGAGATCTGAGGTCTGCAGAGGCGTGAGGCAGGGAGGGGCAGAGATGGGAGAGGCAAGGGGCTTACTGTGGATGTGTAGGAGCAGGGGCTTGCAGGACCCTGAGGGGCAGGATGCCGGGGAAAGGGCTCAGAGGGTGTGAGCCCAGTCCTAGATCTGGACTGTAGGTCATAGGATGTGGCAGAATGGAGATGGAGCAGGTGCATCTGACCGGTAACCCAACCTGGGTGAGCCCAGAGTGCTGAGCTGTGGAGTCTCTGAGGCGCAGGACAAGCCCTGCCTCCTGTGGGGTGCTCCCTAAAACTGGGCCCTGGTGCTTCTGTTCTGGGTCCCTTGGCTACAGTCTACATCTGGCCCGTGTCCCATTAGCTGGGGCATCTCCCTCCCCTGGAGCCTGGCCAGGATTGTGGACCTGGCCTTGCACCTGTCCCTCTGCCCAGTGACTTCCTGCCTGCCTATAGGTGCCCGGGCAGCTCTCTGTTCCAGGATGCAGGTCAGGCCAGCCTCCACCCATATGCAGGGCCCCTGGGGCCTCAGTTTCTCTCTTGAGCATTCCATGTAGGCAGATCCAGAAGGCCTGGGCTAGGCCACTGCAGGGCAGTGCTGGGGGCAGAGATCTCTCCTGGTCTCCCGTCCCAGCTCCCTCTCCTCTTGAAACCCGGTGAAGTCCGTGCTCCTGTGCATGTCTGTTGTTCACATTTCTCCCATGGATGTATTTGCCCTCATTTGCATAAGAAATACCACACTCCCATTCTAATGAGCTCGCCCATCTGGCAGTGCAGGCCTTCTCTCTGGGCTCGGCTCCACTGAGAGCCTTGCCGGCCGGGAGCTGTTATAATTGGGCCGCTCCCTTCCAGGATCAGGAAGGACTGTCCCGAGCAGGCTCATGGCTCACCACCTGGCCCTGGGCTCCACGGCAGGCTGGAGCGGGCTCCCTGAGCTGTGGGTGTTGTGCCTGTGTGTCCATCAGCACAGGGCATTCAGGCTGGCCCTGCCTCTCCCAGACTGTCCTTGGCAGGGTCAGGGCTTGGCCACCACCAAGGTAGGCATTTCACTGTACATTTTAAAATCAAACTGGGGCAGCCTCATGGCACCCCATGGAACTTGTCCCAGACTGGAAGGATTTGAATCCTGGAATATGGTGACACAGAAGGTGTCCTCTGGAAGCTCAGCTGTGGGCAGCGCCTGGCTGGGCTGTGCCAGACAGTGTGCCTCAGCCTCTGTGTCACTGTGACGACTCCACATTAACCACTCTCCCATCACTGCTTCTGTCCATGACATTTACTGCCCCCTCCTCTGGGCCAAGCAGGCTCAATCCTGGCCTCGGGAGACAGGAGCGAAGGGCTCCAGACTTGTGGCATGGGAACATTAGGACACAGGCGCTACCATGCAATGACATGATTGCAAGAAGAGGGGATGGAGGTGTCCGGGGAACCTGGCGGAAGAGGGTCCTGTGCAGTCTAGCATCAGGCTGTGTCCTCCACGTCTCCATGCCTGTGTGGGCAGCCCCAGGCCACCTCTGACTATAGGCAGTTTCTAGAAAGTGGTGATGGAGTCCCCCAGGCATCCCAGGAGGATGGGAGGAAACTGGCGGGGGTTGGCCAGCCTAACGGTGGCTTGAAAAGGTGGCAGCTGGAAACCCCTGGGATGCATTTTTCCCCCTTTTTGTTTTGCTACAAGAAAGTGAAGGAGAAATAGTCAGAGGGACAGTCTGTTAAATTTTCAGTTACAGCTGCACAGCCGTGTCACTGGAGAGGATGAAGCTGGCATGGATGTGCCTGGTGCCTTGAGGCCACAGGGATGGACCTTCTGGAGCCCAGGGCCTGGAGTCTGGGAGGGAGGAGGAGGAGGATGCTGATACCAGAAAGACAGCCAAGGGCGGAGGGGTGGCTGATAAGCATTAAAGAGGTCCTTTGCATTAGTTCTTCAGATTGGATTCTCTATTTGCATTTTAAAAAGAGGAGGTAGAATACGGCAGAGCACATACAGGACACCGATATGGAAGGCATCAGTCCTCGTGCGGCTCCTGGATTAACCACGCTTTCTGGTTTCTGTGTTCTATGGTGCTTTGGCATCGCAGAAGGCTTTGCTGGCGGGGAAGGGACTGCCCCTCCCAGGGCTGGCTAGTTCTGGAGACAGCACACACCTCCCTATGCAAACCAGCAGTCAGAAGCCCCTGCCCCCACCACACCCTTTATCTAACTCACACACCCAGGGAATATTCTCCCTGCCCCATCTCACTCCAGAGCATGGTACTGGATGACTAGGGACCACCCCATAGCCCCGGGCCTGCCAACATTAGGCAAACGGGCCCACCCGAAGCTTGCTCAAACTCACCTCCACCCTCATCTATTCCTTCCCACAGAGACCCCAGTGAAGGCCCGGCCTGGGCCCTCCCCTTGCTCCTTCTGCCTCGGGACTGATGTGGTGCTTCCCCATGCTGGAAAGTCATCAACTCTTCATTCAAAGGCAGTGTCTCCCAGGCTGTCATCTGACCAGAGCTGAGGAAAACAAAGTCCCAGGTGCATTTCAAGACAGCCCCTCCTCTGCCTTCCTGGTCTGTACGCTCCTCTGCCCTAGAAGGTAACCATTGTTCTCATTTCCACATAACAGTTTTGCCTACTCTTGTCCTTTATATAAAAGGAATCTTTCGGTACATTCCCTTTTGTGTCTGGCCTCTTTTCCCCAGCGTGAGGATCACCATGCTGCTGAGATTGTTCTCTGCGGTGTGTGTGTAGTTCTCCTTCAGATGCACAGGCCACAGTTCACTTACTCATTTACTGATGAGTGTTTGGGGTTTTGACTATTAGGAATAAAGTTATGATGAACATTCTTCAATGTGTTCGTTATCGGAGAGAAGTGAAACCGGCCCAATTGTCCCATAGAACTGATGTTTATGGTTTCTTTGAATAAACATAGAAATGATCCTCCCAGTCTCACAAGATAAGATCCTTCTTGTCTTATCTGAGTTCCTTTCCCAAGAAACCACCTATCAGGCCTCCCAGATAGAATAAAAAAAAAAACTCCCAAGACCACCACACCCTCCAGCCTGGGAATTGCCTAACCCACCACCTGCTTCCTGGTGACCGACTCTTCCTCGCCCCTCCCTGATTCCTGTTTTCACACACATGGTTACATTTCTTCTCTGCTACATAAACCCCTGATTTTCGTGGGTCAGGGGATGGGCTGAGACTGATCTCCCATCTCCTGGGCTGCAGCACGGGATTAAAGCTTCTTCTCTGGCAATGCTCCTTGTCTCAGTGACTGGCTTTTTGTGTGGTGAGCAGCAGCACCTAGACAAACCCCTGGTGATTCTGTAACATACACACTCATTTCTCTTCAATATAGAACAAGAGAGAAACATGTGGGTCAAAGGACCCGCATATGTTAGGGAAGAGGAGGGATTTCCAGACATTTCTGTGCAGTGGTGGTACCAATTAATATGCTCACCAACCGTGCACGGGGGTCCTAACTGCCCCACATCTACACCCACACGGGGTACAGCCAGCCTTTAATTTCAGCCATTCTGCTGGAGCACTGCAGTATCTCAGCGTGGTTTTCATTTGAGTTTCCCCAATGAAGAGTGAGGTTGAGCCCCTTTTCATACATGTATCTGCCACTTGCTATCTTCTTTTGGGAAGGCTCCCGTAAGTTATTTTTGAAATTGGGTTGTCAGTCAATTTCATATCGTGAGTCTGTCACTACTGTTTGTGCATGAAGAATTGAGTAGGTAACCTGCTTGTGGCCGGCCGAGGTGAGCTCTCCTTGGGTGGCTGTGCCTGTGGGAAAGACCCCGGGGGGGTGTTCTGGAGCCCAAGCACCACATCCCCCCAGACGGGGCCTGTCCCGATCTCACACTCAGCTCACCTCTCCCTCCCTGTGCCGATTTCTCACAGCGTTTTACAGTTCGTTGTCATTAGACTCTTTTGAAGTAAATTGCAAGGGTCTGATGAGTCATAACTGTGTGTGCCTCGTGTTCCTGCGTCTTGAGCCCAGCGGTAGGTCTCCCTCCATCCAGGCGGCACAGTTAGGGAGCACTCACAGGGACCAGCGCTGTCCTAGGTGCCAGGTGACCTCACGCAGGCAGCTGCATTCTAGTGGGGATGGCACTGGCAGGGACAGCAGATAGAAAATAAACAGGAACAGGAATCCAGTAATTTCTGGAAATTATACACAGAAGGAAATAAAGCAGGGTGAGGGTGTACAGTGTGTGTGTGTGTGTGTGTGTGTGTGTGTGTGTGGTTATCATGGGACAGGGAGTTAGGGAAGGGCTCTGTGAGAAGGTGGTTTTCAGTAGCTGCCTGAATGCAGTGGAGGGGGAAGTTCTTCTGGGGAAAGAACCATCCAGACAGAAGGAGACAGCATATGCCAAGGCCCCAAGGCAGAAGCCTGCTTCCTATGAGTGCAGCAAGAAACCCAGAGAGACAGAGAGGTGGAAGTGAGGGGAGAGCTGCGGGAGGCGAGGGGAGAGCTGCGGCCTGGTCGGTTACTTATGCACCTTAAGTCTCAGTTTCCTCCTCTATAAAATAGCGCGGGTCATCATGATTCCTACCTTGTGAGGTTGCCAAGTGGATTACGTGAAGCCGTGGTGTGTAGACCCCCCGGTACCTGCAAGTTCTCAGGAAAGGGAAGCTGTGATTATCAGGCCCTTCTTTCTCTCTGCTCCCAGGGCACCTTGTAACCCCACATCAGCTCATGTTGTAATGATGTATGTGTCTGGCTCTCCCTCAAGACCAGAGGCTGCACACTGGCACCCATAGCCTGAACCCAGCCTGGGGGTCTTCTGTTTAGCCTCACAGATTTGTTTTGTTAAGATAAATAGCTGCCGGCCAGGCGCGGTGGCTCACGCCTGTAATCCCAGTACTTTGGGAGGCCGAGATGGGTGGATCACGAGGTCAGGAGATCGAGACCATCCCGGCTAACACAGTGAAACCCCGTCTCTACTAAAAATACAAAAAAATTAGCAGGGCGTGGTGGCGGGCGCCTGTAGTCCCAGCTACAAGGGAGGCTGAGGCAGGAGAATGGTGTGAACCCGGGAGGCGGAGCTTGCAGTGAGCCGAGATGGTGCCACTGCACTCCAGCCTGGGCGACGGAGCGAGACTCCGACTCAAAGGAAAAAAAAAGATAATTAGTTGCCAACTTTCAACATTTCAGAAATTTTATATAAAAATCTGGGTTTCTGGCTTTCTTGGAAATTACAAGATCTGGCCGCTCTGGGTCCGAATGTCCACTTGGCCACGGCTGGCCGGAGGGAGCAGCGGCTGCGCACAAATTCACACCTGTGTCCTCCGCTCTGCCCGGGCCCCACCCAGCCGCTCCTCCCATCTCTCTGCCTCTTGGTCCCCGAAGGCACCTGTGGGTTTGAACATGCTGAAGACCCTGAAGTCCTTGAAGACAAACAAGTATTTTGTTCTGTTGTCTGTGTCCCTGGAAGATCCTTTCCTGGAGTTCACGGGGCCTGGGGCAAGGGTGCAATCAGAAGCCCGCGTCTCCAAAGTGAACATCAGTCGCTCCTCCCTTGTGGTCTGCAGGACCCGAGGGCTCCCACGACTTATTCAGAGGTCTGTGAAGTAAAAGTATTTTCATGTGACTGTTAAGACATTATTTGCCCTTTTCATCATGTTGACATTTAGTGTAAAAGGTACAAAATGACCGTGGGTAAAACTAATTCAGATCAAGGCAGTGGATCCCCGATGTGCCAGCTCTGTGTTCCTTACTGCTCTACACTCCCAGAGCCACAAAAAAAATGACTTTACTTAAGAACATGCTGGGTTTTTTTGTTTTCTTTTGTTGTTAAGATGGGATCTCACTATGTTTTCCATGCTGGAGTGTAGTGATGGGATCCTGGCTCGTTGCAGCCTCCACGTCCTGTGCCCCAGCGATCTTCCCGCCAGAGCCTCCCAAGTAGCTGAGACCACAGGCATGTGCCACTATGCCTGTTTATTACTTTTTTTGGAGAGACAGGGTCTCCCTTTGCTGCTCAGGCTGGCCTGGAACTCCTGGGCTCAAGTGATCCTCTTACTTGAACATCTCAAAGTTCTGCCATTAGAGGTGTGAGCCACTGTGTCCAGCAAGAATGTCCCTGATAGCAAAGTAAAATTTATTAGTTTTTAAAAATCTTGACCTCTGGGCACGTGTCTTTTTAGTGTTTTGTGTCATGAAGTGGGAAGTAGGAAACATTTCTGCTACGTTCTCAACTACGTTTGTCTCAAAGAAAAGCACGTGTGCGATTGTTTGAGTTGCAAGCTGAACTAGCCCCTTTTCTCAGGGAATACAATTTCTAGCTGGAGGGTTGGTCAACGGTCATACGATGGTTATTCAGACTTGGATATTTGGAGGACATTCTATTGAAAACCAGCAAAGTAAGCATATCTCTTCAAGGAAAATAACTGACAGCACGGAACAGTTATTTTTAAACAACTCCTAAAGATAAAATTTGAGCTCATTCCTCAAGATGAAATTTGGGCTTTCAAGCAAAAATTAGAATTTTGGCAAACCTGTGTCTGCCACTGTAAGCTTGCTGGTTTGTCGGTACCTAAAGACTTTTCTGATGAGATTAATGATGATGTTAATAAATGTGGTTTTTGATATTGTGCAAAGACATGTGTCAACATTTGGAGGATCTACATAACTCAGTGAACCAAAATTTTCCAAATGACCAATGCATGATATTTCCGCCAGGAAAAAACAATCATCCTCTGTGGATCTCTCACACTCCTACAGGTCTTGCTGGGTGTGCCAAGAATGCAAAGCTTGAGCACTCTTTTTATCCAAACTATTTCTTTCTTTTTTTTTTTTGAGACAGAGTCTCACTCTGTCCCCCATGCTGGAATGCAATGGCATGATCTCGGCTCACTGCAACTTCCGCCTCCTGGGTTCATGCAGTTCTCCTGCTTCAATCTCCAGAGTAGCTGGGACTTCGGGCACCTGCCACCACGCTCAGCTAATTTATTTATTTGTTTATTTATTTGAGACAGTCTCACTTTGTCTCTGAGGCTGGAGTGCAGTGGCATGATCTCAGCTCACTGCCACCTCTGCCTCCCTGGTTCAAGTGATTCTTCTGTCTCAGCCTCTCAAGTAGCTGGGATTACAGGCGCACACCAGCAAGCCCGGCTAATTTTTGTATTTTTACTAGATATGGGGTTTCACCATGTTGGCCAGGCTGGTCTTGAACTCCTGACCTCAAGTGATCCGCCCACCTCCCAAAGTGCTGGGATTAAAGGCATGAGCCACTGTGCCTGGTCCATCCAAAGTATTTCTAAGATTTATGCTTATAGTGAGCAGCCTTGAGGAATGAGATACTGTCTCCCTCTGGGACAAACAGCAGGCTTACTTACTGCATGCTACAAAACAGACGAGTCCCCAAGCTCAGGGTTCCTCAGCTACAGCACAAACCAACTGTGTGTGTAGCATCTATCTCAGCTCCTCTGCATCACCTCTGCAGGACTTGGGGGACAGAGGGAACAAGTGCAAAACAGGCTGGTGCCCGCTCTGCTTGCTGTGTGAGCAGCAATAATAAAGTCCTTTGTCTCTGACACAGGAATCTCATCTCTTTTGCCAGCATCCACGCAACAGTAACAAGTTAATGGATTAGTTTGTAGTAGAGTAAGATGAAATCCCAGTCCTGATGGTTCCATGCCCATGCAAACATGCATGGGCAAAAGATCCATTCAAAGTCCAAGAAAAATGAATGAGTTTTGATGGAGCAGAGAACAAAAGTTTATCACTCTGGATTCAATTTCACATTGCATATAGCAGGGTGGATATTAGGTTGAAGGGAACGAGGTGCCGGGTCAGCAGCTGCACACCCCTGAGAACCAGCGCCTCCCTGAGTTTGCACCCTAGGCCTCACTTGTCTCACCCTAGTCTGGCCCCAGCAACTAATGCTTAGGAAACTGCTACTCGTTGAGTTCTGTAGTAGCATCAAATAAGAACACCCGTAGCTCTCTGAAAATGCTCTGAAAACATGGCTCGCTTTTCTTTCTTTCTTTTTTTTTTTTTTTTTGAGACGGAGTCTTGCTCTCTGTCACCCAGGCTGGAGAGCAGTGGCATGATCTTGGCTCACTGCAAGCTCTGCCTCCCAGGTTCACGCCATTCTCCTGCCTCAGCCTCCCGAGTAGCTGGGACTACAGGCGCCCGCCACCACGCCCGGCTAATTTTTTGTATTTTTAGTAGAGACGGGGTTTTACCGTGTTAGCCAGGATGCTCTCGATCTCCTGACCTTGTGATCTGCCTGCCTCAGCCTCCCAAAGTGCTGGGATTACAGGCATGAGCCACCACACCCGGCCACAGCTCCCTTTTCTAGTTTCCTCTCTGTGGGAGTCTGGAATTTCTTCATATGCTTCAACCTGAGAACACATCACAACACAGACTGAAGGCAGAGCAGAGATGAGAACTCAGCTGTCTGCTCTTCATCCAGGCAGTAAAGAGATTTGCAAAGCTCTCCAACAGTACCACTCTTCTCACTACAGTTTTTGGTTTGTCTTGGAGAATAGAATTAGTTTTTTTTTTTTTTTAAATACACACACACAAAAGTGTTACTTATATAAGCATGTATTATTGTTGTTTTTATTATTATTATTAGGCTTATTATTGTTATTTTAAAAATAACTTAATGATTAAATATTTTAAAACTCCTCAATTTAAAATTACAATATGGGCCAGGTGCGGTGGCTCACACCTGTAATCCCAGCACGTTGGGAGGCCAAAGTGGGTGGATCACCTGAGGTCAGAGGTTCGAGACCAGCCTGGCCAACTTGGTGAAACCCTGTCTCTACTAAAAATACAAAAATTAGTCGGCCATGGTGGTGCATGCCTGTAGTCCCGGCTACTTGGGAAACTGAGGCAGGAGAATCGCTTGAAACCAGGAGGTGGAGGTTGCAGTGAGCCGAGATCACACCACTGCACTCCAGCCTGGGCAACAGAAGGAGACTCTGCCTCAAAACAAAAGAAAGATATATACATAGATATATAGACATATATGTTATACATATATATAAATATACATATATTACATGTATATACATATACATATTATATATACATATAAATAAATCAATAACATTTCAAAGTACATTTTAAACGTTACAAACAACAGCAGTTTTCATAAAGTAGCTCCTAAATGCAATTTCTTTTTTGGGGGGTGGCCATTATAAAGTTACTCCCACTGATTTTACCATTTTTTCCTTAGAATCTTACGTGGTCTATGTGGGATCTGAAGGCAATAACCCTGTCAGTGTTGTCTGGAAGAGTCTGTTACAAGGAAGAAATATTTTGTGAAACCTGTCATGCAGAAATCACTGGAGATAAAAACAAGGAAGTGAAATGCACAGTCCTGCCTTTAAAAAGCTTACTTTCTCCTACGAGAAATCCATCTATTTTTTTCATCCATTAAATGGTCATCCATCCACCTACCCATCTGTCCATCCATTTCTCAATCCTTTCATCTGTCCACTCATGTGGCCACCTTTCATTCATCTGTCCATCTAGCTACCCACTACTCACTCATTACTCATTCATCCATCCATCCACCCCAACCATCCTACCACCCATCCCTTCATCCATTCATTCACCCACACATCCATCCATCCATTTCTCAATCCTTTCATCTGTCCACTCATGTGGCCACCTTTCATTCATCTGTCCATCTAGCTACCCACTACTCACTCACTACTCATTCATCCATCCATCCACCCCAACCATCCTACCACCCATCCCTTCATCCATTCATTCACCCACACATCCATCCATCCATTTCTCAATCCTTTCATCTGTCCACTCATGTGTCTACCTTTCTTTCACCTGTCCATATACCTACCCACTACCTACTCACTACTCAAAGATCCATCCATCCATCCATCCATCCATCCATCCATTCATCCAACTCAACCATCCTACCACCCATTCCTTCATCCATTTGTTCACCCACACATCCATCCATCCATTTCTCAATCCTTTCATCTGCCCAACCATGTGTCTACCTTTCATTCACCTGTCCATATACCTATCCACTACCTACTCACTACTCAAAGATCCATCCATCCATCCATCCATTCATCCAACTCAACCATCCTACCGCCCATTCCTTCATCCATTTGTTCACCCACACATCCATCCATCCATTTCTCAATCCTTTCATCTGCCCAACCATGTGTCCATCTTTCATTCATCTGTCCATCTAGCTACCAACTACCGACTCACTCTTCGAACATCCATCCATCCATCCCAACCATCCTACCACCCGTTCGTTTACCCACACTTCCATCCATCCATCCATTTGTCCATCCATCTTTATCTTTAGCAGGTATTTGGATGGTGGCCCTGAGGGGGGTGCAGCCTAGTACATAGTTCATGTGGAGACAAAGGTGGTGGGATGATTAGCAAAGGAGGGTGTAGGCCGGGCGCGGTGGCTCACACCTGTAATCCCAGCACTTTGGGAGGCCGAGGCAGGTGGATCACGAGGTCAGCAGATGGAGACTATCCTGGCTAACATGGTGAAATGCCATCTCGACTAAAAATATAAAAAAATTAGCTGGACGTGGTGGCGGGCACCTGTAGTCCCAGCTGCTCCGGAGGCTGGGGCAGAAGAATGGCGTGAACCCGGGAGGCGGAGCTTGCAGTGAGCCGAGATTGCGCCACCGCACTCCAGCCTGGGCGACAGAGCGAGACTCCGTCTCAAAGTAAAAAAAAAAAAAGAAATGCAGGGCGTGAGAAAGTATCTGTGCATCTGTGCCCTGGCACCTTTCATTGAGAGTTTTGGGAAGGAAGTATCGCCATGTGACACAGTAGGGGAAGGGGCGAGTGTCTTCCCCATTAGCCAAAGGAGCAACGTTGTTATTCATTCACCAGGAAGAACATCAGAGTCACGTGACTAGGAGGCATATTAACTTCCCATATGGAGCTGCTGATGGGAGAATGCAGAATGCATCTTACTCTGCAACAAGGCTTGACTTAGGCGGTGTTTTTCTTTTTTTATTTGTCACAGGGTCTCACCGTCTATAGCCTAGAGCTCCTGAGCGTGTGTGATACTCCCATCTCAGCTTCCTGCATAGCTAGGGCCATAGGCATGTGCCAACACCCCAGCTAATTTAAAAATTTATTTATTTATTTATTTTTATTTTTATTTTTTGAGATGGAGTCTGCAACTGTCGCACAGGCTGGAGTGCAGTGGCGCGATCTCAGCTCACTGCAAGCTCCGCCTCCTGGATTCACGCCATTCTCCTGCCTCAGTCTCCCGAGTAGCTGGGACTACAGGCGCCCGCCACCACGCCCGGCTAATTTTTTGTATTTTTAGTAGAGACGGGGTTTCACCGTGTTAGCCAGGATGGTCTCGATCTCCTGACCTCGTGATCTGCTTGCCTTGGCCGCCAAAAGTGCTGGGATTACAGGCATGATCCACCGTGCCAGGCCCAAAAAATTTATTTTATAGAGACAAGGTCTCACTATGTTTCCCAGGCTGGTCTCCCACTGTGGCCTCAAGCTATCCTCCCACCTCAACCTGGGGTTACAGGAATGAGCCTGAAGTGCTGGGATTAAAGGAACGAGTCACCACGCCTGGCTCAATTTAGAGTGTTTTTGAAGTGAACCCCCTGTGTCCTAGAGAGGAAGGCCCTGTGACTCTCATTCTTTCCTCCGCCCACAGACACAGGACTACTCCCAACCCCAGACCCAGCAGATCATGGGATGAGGTGTCTAGTGGAGGGAAACACTTCTGTTTCCCATGGGCTGGGAATGCCTAGGGCTTGGCGGAGCTTGGGTCACGTGCCACTCACGGTGGTGACAGGAGTGGGGAGGACCTAACATCAGGGAACGGACTACAGAGATGGGCCAAGCTGGAAACATAAGCCCAGCCTGGAGGCCAGGGAGGTGGGTTCAGTCCCACCCCAGCTCAAAGTTCTGAGTGGAATCTTTATGGAATGGTGGGGCTGGGGAAGCGGGGGGCGATCCTAAAGAAAGGCAAGTGGGGCAGAGAACAGTGCAGCCACCCTCACGGCCACCCGTGGGCAAGGGGCCCTGGCGCCTGTGATATGGTTTGGATATTTGTCCCTGCCCACATCTCAGGCTGAAATGGAGTCTTCAGTGTTGGAGGTGGGGGGTGTTTGGGTCATGGGGCAGATTCCTCATGGCTTGGTGCTGTCCTCGCCATAGTGAGTTCTTGGTAGACCTGGTTGTTGTAAAGTGTGGCGCCCGTCCCCTTCTTTCTCACTCCTGCTTTTGCCGTGTGATGTGCCTGCTCCCCCTTCACCTCCCGCCATGACTGGAAGTTTCCTGAGGCCTCCCCAGAAGCAGATGCCAGTACCATGCTTCCTGTACAGCCTGCAGAACCATGAGGGAATTAAAATGCTCCTTCTTATAAATGACCGAGTTCCAGGTGATTCTTTACAGCAGCATGAGAACAGCCAGCACAGCCTCCTGTCTTAGCCCTGTCCGACCCCGCAGGACCATCTGGATTGCTGCCTTCCCTTTGGTCCCCTCCTTGTCTCCAGGACTCTCTCCCCTCCCACTGCCAACAGCCTGGCGCAGCTCCTTCTACCTTTGGTGGTGGATTTTTGTGCCAGCTGCCGTTAGCCCTACCGAGGTCCCTTCTGGGAGGGCTGTCTCTCCCCTGCAAGACCGCCTCATGCAGCTGGAGAGAAGCACGGCTGCTCCTCCTGTCCCTGCGGGCGCAGTCGTGTCGGAGGAAAAGCTGCTCCTCCCTGCAGCACCCTGGCCTTGGAGGGAGATGAAATCAATAGGTGGCTGCCTGCTGGCTGCGGTTCTCCTAGACTGGGGGCTCGCGCCGCCGTCTCTTCTTGCTTGGTATTTACCAAGTAAAAGTCATTTCCCTGGAGACGTCCGATTTATTGACACTGAGAGATGAACGCCATCTGGTCTTGGATAGGCTCAGAAAGCCTCTGGTGTTTCTGAGCAGAGTCTCGGAGAGAAGGAGTCTGCCTGGGCCCAGAGGTTGGCAAAGGAGGCCGGCCTGGCTCCCACCCTGGCCTGGAGTGGGGTGGCCTGGGCACGGGGAACAGGTGGTGGCAGCATCTGAGCTTTGCACCACCTGGAATCTGGGGTGTGTGGGGTGATGCTGCCTGCAGATTGAGCCTGGGTGGCTAGTCCAGGCTCCAGGGAGCTGCCCCCTTGAGTGTCCCTTTCATCCCAGGCCAGCCCTTCCTCTGTCCCTTGTGTCTGGCTCAGCCCTGGCTCTTGGGAGGGAAGGGTTGGGATGCCCTCGGTCCTGTCACCTGGGGTCTTTGTAGTCAGTATTGCTTTAGACCTGGGTGGTGGGTGCCCTGCCCTGGGATCCTGGGCCCCCGAGTTTGGAATACCGTTCTCAGAAATTCCAAGACCCCCTCCAGTGCCTGAGACCAGTCAGCACTGCCAAAGGTGCCGAGGGGTAGCTCCCCAAGCCTGAGTGGGGAACCATGTGGGGCCTGGTGGCCCCTGTTCCTCTCCACGGAGCACTGTGTGGCCCCATGCCCAGTGTGGAAAGTTGGTTGCATGTCTGAAGGAGCTTTGGAACTCAGGCTGATGGTGGTTGTGAGGACTGTGTGGCTGGGGTCCAGTCCTGGAAAGGGGGCCTAGGAACAGATGGTTCCCTGCTAGCCTGTGTGGGCTTCCTTTAGTTGGATCACGTGAGGTTGGGCGGCCAGCATGGTGCTGTCTTGTTGATTTTAGGAAAACCTGATAGTTTATAGAAACGAGGACTCCCGCCTTAGAATGTATTTGCCCGGGGTCCACATGCCCTAGGGGAGGCCTCTTCCACCCACCCAGGAGCTTGTCTGCTTCCTACCTGGAAATGCCTCAGCGCCCAGGCCTCCCTCCTTGAGACCACACCCTCCTTCCCAGCACAGTCCCTGGGCGGATGATTGTCTGCCTGTCCCACTTTGAGTCCTCCCTCTGTAGTTGAGGACTGGAGAGGGAGGACACGCTGCCTACCCGATTGTGACCAGCCGTCGGGCGACCGTGTGCTCCAGGGGAGACTGGGCCCCTCTCCATGGCCAGGCTGGCAGTGAAGAGGGATCCTGGGGGTCCTGGGGGTCCCAGGCAGGCTTTGCTCCTCCTCAGGCCCAGCCGGGAGGCCCCTGCCCCGGCTGCTCCCTGCCCCTCCCTTCTCCACGCTCCTCAGCCCCTCTGTGTGCCGGGCACCAAGGGATGGGAGGAGTGAACAGAGGCCGGTCACCCAGGTCCCGTGGTGCCTGCATCTGCCTCCTCCCGGCCTGGGCTGCGTCCCAGAGTAGCTGACGGCCTGGTTGTTGCCTGACCCCAGGGCCGGCCCTGCCCCCAACCGTGGTGTCTGGGAGGACTGGTTCCAGCATGCGGGGGCCACCGAGTGGAGCCCTGGGAGACTGGGAGGCTTTACACTGGTGACAGATGCTTCCTTCCAGACAGCAGATAAAGGTCGCTCCCAAATTCCAGAATAAAAACATCCACTTATCTGGAAAATGTCAAGAAGAACAGCTGCCCTGTGCGGAGTTGAGCCCACAGGGTGCGGCAGGAGCCAAGCAGGGGCTCAGGCCTAGGCACATGTGTCCTGGAGGGGCAGACAACAGCCGCCCCCCACCCCCAGGCTCATGTGAGAACACCGGCTGGGCTGGGTCCCTGTGTCAGGGAGGTGGCAGCCTGCGGCAGGAGAAGCAGGCAGTGCAGATGCCAGATCTCGCGGCAAGATGCATTCTGCTTGACACCACCCACGGTGGCGCACCGGCAGCTCCACACCCCAGCCTCGATGCTCTGGGTCTCTCTGAAGATGCCCGCCCTGGGGCCGACATCCTTGTGTGCTGGAAGGCCCTGCTTAGCTGGCTTCACCCACCCGCTGCTGCCCTACGGGCCCCCTTGGGCATCTGACCCTTTCTGTGAAAGGAGCTCCAGGCAGTGCCCTGAGACCATGGCTCGGGCAGAGCGGTGGGACATGAGAGCTCACAGGCACAGCGGCAGCCTTCATCCTGCCTTGAGGAGTCACAGTGCTCCTGGCCCCGAGCTGCAGAGAAAGCAGGGCGTGGCCACAGAGAGTGGATGTCTGTCTTGGTGGGTGGTCGCTGTCCTGTTAGCCAGCAGCCAAAACGGGGGCCTATGGCAACAGTCCAGATGTCAGACCGTGGGCTGGTGGGGAGGCCTTGGGAGGCAGAGTGGCGAAGGTAGAACCTTGCTCCTGGCCCTGGGGGCAGCGTGCAGGGGCCATAGAGGCTGCCTGAGCAGGTGGGGCTGGAAGCCACCGCCAGCCGCCTTTGCCAAAGTCACCCTGCTGATGATGCCTTATTTCTCCATTGCTTACTGAAACCATAAAACTGGACATTTTATGGAGAAAAAAGCAAGCTCCATTCTCCTGAACTTTAAATGCCCATGTAGCTCTTTCGTGAGAAAGACATGTGTCTGCCATTGCATAAATGCACACATATATGGACATTTCAGCCAGGAAAATTAGCCATGTTGAGCTGACGGGAAAGGCTCATCTTTACTCTGCCCAAGCATTTTTATTAAGGATGGAAGGATGCAGGCACCCACCCTCTATTCCCTGCCTCCCCGGTACTGGCATGAAACGCCTTTTGTATGTTATTTTGCTGAGTGTGCAAAACAACTTCCTGAGGCACATTGTAGTTTTGTTCCCATTTTATAGACTAGGAAGTTGAGGCCGGGCATGGTTAGCACCTTCCCAGGGTCACATGGCTGGACAGTGCTGGGGCCTAGCCTCTGCAGCAAGGACCAACGAGGCCCTAGCTGGGGAGGTGGGAGTCACCGCAGCAGCCCCGACCTGCCACTTCCTTCACCTCGGAGTGTCCTTAGAAACGTCTGAGTGCAAATCCTGAAGCTGAATTCTCGTTTCTGGCTCTGGACAGCTTCACTCATCCGCTCTGGTCGTCATGTCAAAGTTCAAGCAGGCAGACAGACTTGATTAGATTTGATTTTATCCCTTGTTTGAATTATTCATGCCTCTCCTCTAATCTCCCCGGGAATAATTTAATAACGCACGGCAGCAGGAGGGCGCCTGGGTGAGTGGTGTCTGCGACGTGCTGGCCAAGAACTGCCGCCATGGCTGCCGAGCAGGGGCTGCCCCACACTCTCTACTTTAAAGCAGAGCCCGCCCTGAGTATGCAGCACCCAGGACCCCGCTTGGGACAGTTTCCGGGCAGGTAGAGCTCCAGCACCTGCACAGTCCTGCATCCTGGTCCCTGACACTTCGGCTTCCAGCACTCTCCCTAGTCCTGTGCCTGGACCCCTGGACTCTGCTCCTGTCATCTCCCACCCAGGCCACGTTCCCACAGCCCCAGACTGTGGGGGAGAAAACCCCAGCCACAGTTCTCTCCTGTCCAGATCCTTCCGGAGGTACCTACGTATTTCTCTTGGGCAAGGTCCCAGCTCATTGGCCTGGGACTGTGGTTTGAATGTTTGTCCCCCCCACAGCTCAGGCTGAAATCCAATTGCCATTGTCAAAGTGTTGAGAGGTGGGGCCTTTACAAGATGATTAGGCCTCAAGGGCTCCACCCTCAAGTGTTCAGCTCCTTTCCTCTAGGAGCTGCTCCCCACCCCTCCCAGGCATGGGCCACAGCAGCCAAGTTCAGGCCACGTGGTCCTGTCGCCTCGGCCACATTCATCTGGCTGGGGTGGATAACTGACCCTAGCGTGGCCAAGCAGATGCCTTCTTCTAGGAATTTGTAATGGAAGCGAAGATTCTAATTGAGTCCGGGCTGGGGGGTGAACCCAGGTGAAGGGAACTCAGGCCCCAGGTCAACAGCCCTGCATCATACCCTCACCCTCAGAGAGGCGGCAGAAGGAAGGGACGGAAGGCGATGTGCTGGGAGCTGCAGACGGGACCTGGGGCCTGGGCCTCACATGCATTGGCACAAACTTACTTGTTCATAATCATCTCTTATCTTTTTTTTTGTTTCTTTGCAAAATTGTTTTTGAGACAAAATTCATATGACACAAAGTTCACTATTTTAAAGCATACAATTCAGTGGATTACGTATATTCACAATACTGGGCAACCACCACTACAGTCTAATTCCAGAACATTGTCATCCCCCCACCAAAGAATCTCTGGACCTATCAGCAGTCACCCACCCCTTGCCCTGCCCCATCCCTGAGCAAACACTGATGTATTTCCTGTCTCTAGATTTGCCTGCTCTGGACATTTCATAAAAAGAAGTCATCCCACATACAACATGGGACCTTCCGGGAGAAACTGCAGCCACTCAGCACCGTGTGTTTGAGATCCATCCTGCTGGAGTGTGCGGCAGCACTTCAGTTACTTTCAAGAGTGAATGATACTCCATTGCAGAGAGGGACCACATTTGGTTTCTATGTTCATCAGTTGGTGGGCACTTGAGTTGTTTCCCCTTTTTGGCGTGTGCGAACAATATTGCTGTGAACATTTGGGTACGTTTCTGTGTGGACGTGCGATTTCAATGCGGGGTTATCTGGTAACTTTCTGTTTGATATTTTGTCCTCTTATTTTTTGAATGCCTGTAAGACCTATAGTGAGCTCTCCCAAACATTTCTGACGGTATCTTCTTGCCCCATCTCTACTGTTTTTCTGCTCAAGTGCTCAGCAGGGTTTCCTCATTTTCTTTTGCTTTTTAAAGAACTATCTTTTGGCTTTGTCTATCCTCTTTATTGGATGCTTTAAAAATTTGATCAACTTGGCAGGGTGCGGTGGCTCACGCCTGTAATCCCAGCACTTTGGGAGGCCGAGGCCGGCGGATCACGAGGTCAAGAGATCGAGATCATCCTGGCTAACACGGTGAAACCCCGTCTCTACTAAAAAATACAAAAAATTAGCCGGGCGTGGTGGCGGGCGCCTGTAGTCCCAGCTACTCGGGAGGCTGAGGCAGGAGAATGGCGTGAACCCGGGAGGCGGAGCTTGCAGTGAGCCGAGATCATGCCACTGCAATCCCGCCTCAGTGACAGAGCGAGACTCCGTCTCAAAAAAAAAAAAAAAGAAAAAAAGAAAATAGAATAAGATCAAATTTCCTCAACTTAATAAAGGGTGTCTGCTGGAAATCTCAAACAAATGTTATATTTAATGGTGAAATAATTAGACTCATTCCTGATAGTCACTCAGGATAAGTTCTTTGTTATCACTTCTAGCTAAAAAGTGGAGTTGGCCATGAAAAAATTAAAATTGCAAAGGAAGAGAAGAAAAGCTATCATTGATTCAATCACCTGTGAAATTACTATTGTTTGAGAGTTGAGCAAAATGGTGAAATATAAGATCAACATAAAAAGCCAGTAGCGTTCCTAACCACAGCATTAACTAATTAAAAGCACAACAGAAACGAGATGTCAGTCACAATAGCCACAGAATCCAGGCAATGCCTCGGAATGAATCTAACATAAAATGGGAGGATCCCACTGTGGAAAATCATAAAAACCTTACTAGAGAATATAAAAGAAAATCTGAAGTGATGGTAAGAAATAGCACATGCAGCCGGGTGCGGTGGCTCACGCCTGTAATCCTAGCACTTTGGGAGGCCGAGGCAGGTGGATCACAAGGTCAGGAGTTCAAGACCAGCCTGGCCAAGATGGTGAAACCCTGTCTCTACTAAAAATACAAAAAAATTAGCCAGGCATGGTGGTGGGCGCCTGTAATCCCAGCCACTCGGGAGGCTGAGGCAGAGAATTGCTTGAACCCGGGAGGTGGAGGTTGCAGTGAGCCGAGATCATGCCACTGTACTCCAGCCTGGGCAACAGAGCGAGACTCGTCTCAAAAAAAAAAAAAAAAAAAGAAGTAGCACATGCAGGAAGCAAATAGCTAATATCGCAAAGACTTCCTTCCTGAATTCATATAAATTCAATAAAATCTCAATTAAAATCTTCCCAGGGGCTGGGTGCGGTGGCTCATGCCTGTAAACCCAGCACTTTGGGAGGCCAAGGCTGGCAGATCACGAGGTCAGATCAAGACCATCCTGGCTAACACAGTGAAACCCCGTCTCTGCTAAAAAATACAAAAAATTAGCTGGGTGTGGTGGCGGGCACCTGTAGTCCCAGCTACTCGGGAGGCTGAGGCAGGAGAATGGCGTGAACCTGGGAGGTGGAGCTTGCAGTGAGTGGAGATCGCGCCGCTGCACTCCAGCCTGGGAGACAGAGCGAGACTCTGTCTCAAAAAAAAAAAAAAAAAATCTTCCTAGGAAAGATGTTTCATGAAGCTCATCAAACTGATCCCAGAATTCACATAGAGGAAAACATGGGCAAGAAGAGTGGAACATGCTTTACAGGAACAGCAGCAGCTACTCACCTCACCGTTATGTGGGGAGTAGCAGCCAACGGGCACTACCAGGTGCCTCTGAGATGCTGGAATCCTTAGGCTTGGACTAGCGTGCTGTTGGTACAAGACACAGAATGGACAGTGAGCCAGGAGAGAGGCCGGGACACATCTCTGCATTTATGGGAATTTACTGCAAGGTGGAAGTGGCATCTCCAATTGGTGGGAAGAGCTTTTTTTTTTCTTTTTCTTTTTCTTAAAATGAAAAATAAACAGGATATGATTATTGCTATTTGTGTTAGTCAGGGCACACACAGGAAAGGAATACTGAAAATAGGAGGAATTGAACACAGGGAACTGGTTACACAGGAGATGGGAGAGTTGAGATGCCAACAGGGTCCAGAGACACAGCAGTCCCAGCAGAGGCTGGAGGGATGAGGGGGCGGGGGCTACTGGCAGAGGGTGGGAGTGCAGGGGTGCTCCCCCTGGGGAGCTAGAGCAACCTGGGCAGGGCACGAGGAGTGGAAACACCTGGCTCCCCCTGCCCTTGCCCTCCAGTCTCTTGCTGGTGCCTTCCATGGACTGAGCCCAGCTGGACACAGCCTGGAGGTGGGGAACTTGACCTGCAGGGGGCTGCTCCCTACAGGCCGTGGCTGAGCAAGGGAAGGGCCGGGTGCAAACAGGCCAAGGCTGGTGTACCATGTTCTCCGGATAATAGAAACCGAGGTACCTCCTCACGGCTTTCAGAAGATAAATTCTTCATTGATCAAAGATTGAGACATAAGAAACAAAAGAATCAGAGTACTGACAGAATATAGAATATGGTCATAGCATTTGAGTACACGATGCTTTAAAGAATATTCAACCTAAAAATAAACCAGAAAAGAGAGTTCATACAATTTTTAATATGGACCTGAAAATTCTCCTTATGACAAAAGATGCCATAAGCAACAAGAAAATGATAGACAACGTGAAACTATTTGCAACCTATAAAAAAGAGAAAAGATGAATACTAGAATATGTAAGCATCTTGCAAATAAACCATTGAAAGACAAACCAATCCAAAAGAAAATGTGGGAATTCCAAAAAGAAGAAATTCAGGAAATTCCAAGAAGGGAAACCACAAATAGACAGGAACGATGAAATGATGGCCAAGGTCACTAATAACTGAGGAAATGTTCATTAAAACAACAGCAAGTCTGGGCGCGATGGTTCACACCTGTAATCCCAGCACTTTGGGAGGCCGAGGCGGGCAGATCACAAGGTCAGGAGATCAAGACCATCCTGGCTAACATGGTGAAACCCTGTCTCAACTAAAAATGCAAAAAATTAGCTGGGCATGGTGGCGGGCGCCTGTAGTCCCAGCTACTCGGGAGGCTGAGGCAGGAGAATGGCGTGAACCTGGGAGGCTGAGCCTGCAGTGAGCTGAGATCTCACCACTGCATTGCAGCATGGGTGACAGAGCGAGACTCCGTCTCAAAAAAAAAAAAAAAAAAAAAGAAAGAAAGAAAAGAAAAGAAAAAAAAACAGCGAGACAGCATCTTGGGTTAACATGAATGAAGTGGTAATCAATGTCAGCAAGAGCTATGACGGAGACTCAGACACACTCCCATCACCCACGTCTCTCTTTCACCATAACTACACCCACATTTTTAGCAGGGCACAGGCCCTTCCAGAATAAAGGCTGCATTTCGCAATGTGCTTTGCAGCTAGGTATGGCCATGTGACTAGGTCCAATGACATGAAATACAAGTATGGAAGGGGGATTTCTGGAACTTCCTTAACAGATGGCTGGTGCATGCTCTTTGCCCCTTCTTCTCTGCCCCTTCCTCTTTCCCAATGGTGGGAATGTAGCTGTGATGGCTGGAGCCACAGCATCAGCCAGGTGACCTGGGGAATGGAGGCCAGGCATGATGGAGCCACTAGGCCAGGTTCCTGGGGATGTTGGGGAGCAGAAGTGCTGAGCGACATCAGCCTGCCCAGCTATGGTCTGTGATGTAGGAGAGGCATCCACCTCTGTCTTGTTTATTTTCCATTCCTGCTACTCATTACCAAATGGATTCTTAATTGGTGCAGGGCATAGATGAGCACAGGCACTGCTATGGGCTGAATTGTGACCCCCAAATTCATAGGTTGAAGTCCAAACCCCTGGTGCCTCAGAACGTGGGTGTATTTGGAGATAGGGCCTGTAAAGACATAGAGAAGGTAAAATAGGCCCTATGGGTGGGCCCTAATCCAATAGGACTGTTGTCCTTACAGAGGAGATGAGGACACAGACACACACATGGGCGGCCACTGGAGGACACAGGTAGAGGCAGCGTCTGCAAGCCAAGAAGATAGGCCTCAGGAGAACCAGCCCTGCCCATGCCTTGATCTCGGAGCTCCAGCCCCCAGGACTGTGAGGGAACACATTTCTGTTGTTCAGGCCCCATCTGCGGTAGTTTATCATGATAGCCCTAGTTCAGCCAAAGACACTTTGGGGGCAACAGTTTACTAAAATCAAAACCGCTCCTGCTCTTTGATGCTGTGTATGGAGGAGGCTCAGATGCCCAGCACCCAGCAGGTGCTCAGCAGACAGTTGTCCTTTCCCGTGGACACGTGTATGAGGCTTCTTGCAGCAGTGGTCTCCGTGCGTGTAAACTCGTGGACAAGTGTCTGTAGGAACAGGTTCCATGCTGGCAATGCGGTCACCTCTGCAGAGAGCTGTGCTGGGCTTGGGCTGTGAGGTGCCACGGCCAGAGCTCCACGGGGCAGCCTTGTGCCCACCTATCTGCCCCATCGCCTGTGGCTTCGGCCTCCCCACCTACCCTCCTGCCCATCTCAGCCCATGGAACCTGCTCTTTCTGTCTTCTGCCAGCCCTTCCCTCCAGCCTTGGATGAGCTCCTGCCTGGAGACCCCTGCCCTAGCAGCCTCCCTGGCCCGGCCGACCTCATTCCTGCAGGCGAGAGGGTGCATGTTTCTGAGAGTTCCCAGCTGGGTTAGGGCCCGGAGAGCAGCTGGGATATCACAGCAGCTCCTGAGTGGCTGAGGAGCCCACTGACCCCCATGCAGAGGCTTTCAAAGGACTGACCAAGCAGAGGTCTTCATTCACGCACGGCTCAAACCTTCAGGAGTAAATCCTCACTGACAGGCCCACCCTGAGGTGGGAATGAAGCAGAGAGGTGGCTTCCAAGGCCTGGTCCCAAAACCTTTCAGAACGGCTGTGTCCATAGAGCCCCTGCCAGGCAGAGGGCAAACAACCAGGGCCACAGAGGCGCTCCCAGTGTGGACAGCCTGTGTAGATGGGGTGTTGGGTGGCGCTCTCAGTGTGGACAGCCTGTGTAGATGGGGTGTTGGGTGGCGCTCCCAGTGTGGACAGCCTGTGTAGATGGGGTGTTGGGTGGTGCTCCCAGTGTGGACAGCCTGTGTAGATGGGGTGTTGGATGGTGCTCCCAGTGTGGACAGCCCGTGTAGATGGGGTGTTGGATGACGCTCCCATGGTGGACAGCCTGTATAGATGAGGCAGGGGACAGTACTTCCAGTGTGGACAGCCTGTGTATATGAAGTGATGGATGGCGCTCCCAGTGTGGACAGCCTCATGGTTGGGTGGTGAGCGATGCTCCCCTGTGGACAGCCTGTGTGGCTGGCCCCTGTCCCAGGTAGCATGCTGTCACCATCTCTGCTATGCTCACCTCCACTGAGCACTTAAATTACTCTTAGCAATTCGTTTACATGAAGAAAATGGAAATGATCTCAAATCCCCTGCCTGTCACCAGGAAGAAGAATTAAGCAGAAAACAACAAACAAACCCATTCTTCCCTTTCTTCTGAGAGCCTGGGGGTCCCGAGCACAGGAAGGGAAGTGAGCTGCTGGCCCCCTTTGATCAGGAGCTGCCTTTCTCTGGGAGCCTTATCCCAGCTCCATGTCTAAGCCCTGAAGCTCTGGGAAGGGCAGAGAACAGTCGCAGCATGAATGAGGCAGTAGCCCCATGTCTCTTCCCTTGCAGGCCTGTGGTACCCCAGACCCTGGCCCAGCTGCCAGTGCAGCTGCCTGGGGTGTGAGCTGCACTGTCCGTCCCTTGCGTTTCCAGAGCCTCGTGGTTTGCCCTGTGCCCCAGCTTGCTTGGCAGGGCCTGGATGTGGTCGCCAGTGGGTCCTGCTCTGATGAGCGATACCCAGGGCTCCTCCCAGCCCTGATGGTCTCCACCCATCCTGCAGCCTCCTAGGACCCAGCCCATGCCTCCATCTTATCTGGGACACTGGGCAGGGTCCCCTCTCCTTGTTAGCCGGAGTGGCTCCTTCCTTGAGCCCTGCCTGGGCTGCCCTCTGTCATCCCCACCGGCTGAAAGGGGCTGCCCCTGGGGACACACAGGTGGGCTGTCAGGGAGAGCATGGGGCCGGCCAGTGGCAACGAAGCCCCTGGACTTGGCAGCTTGGGCAGCAAGGGCAGGAGCCTCCTCAATCTGAGGTGTGCCCAGAAGCCACAGTGGCAGCTTCGGAGGGAAGCGAGGAAGAGCAGCGGCCCTTTCCTCGTCCTTCTGGGTGGGGCCGGGCTACCCTAAGCTGCTAGGAAGAGCTCCTCATGCGGCAGGCGGGTGTGGGACAGGGCCCTGGTGGGCCAGGGTTCCAGGATAGTCAGAATCTGAGAACTGGTTCCCGGTGTGGGGGGCTCATTCCAGGAAGGCTCTTTGGGATCCAGGGAGGCCAGGCGCACTGAGCTGCAGGCCGAGGGGTGCGTGGATATGAGTCTGAAGCTCTGTCCAGACCACCTGCTGTAGCCAGGGAGGTAGGCCTGGGCACTCTGAGCCTCTACTCTTCCATCTGCCAATTGCGATGGCGATTTTCTTTTTTCTTTTCTTTTTTTTTTTTTTGAGACGGAGTCTCGCTCTGTCACTCAGGCTGGAGTGCAGTGGCGCGATCTCGGCTCACTACAAGCTCCGCCTCCCGGGTTCATGCCATTCTCCTGCCTCAGCCTCCCGAGTAGCTGGGACTACAGGCGCCCGCCACCACGCCCGGATAATTTTTTTTGTATTTTTAGTAGAGGTGGGGTTTCACCGTGTCAGCCAGGATGGTCTCGATCTCCTGACCTCGTGATCTGCCCGCCTCGGCCTCCCAACGTGCTGGGATTACAGGCGTGAGCCCCCGCGCCCGGCCTGCGATGGCGATACTGACCTCGGAGCTGGTGCAGCACCTCCGTGAGCTGAAGGCTGTAAAGTGCGCAGCCTTGGCCTGGGGCCGAGACTACACAAGGCGCTGTGCTCTGCAGGTCCCAGGAGGAGCTGGGAGGTGCAGGCAGGAAACTGCGGATGCCGCTCAGGCTGGCCCTCGCCTGGGGTCCCTCTTGGCGCCTCGCCCTCTCCATGGCGAGCTTTTGTTGTGTGTGGCAGGTGCTGTGTGAGGGGTCTCGCCTGCCGTCATCTGGCAACCCCCAGAAGCCGGAGCTGGGAGCTCTGGGGTTTGCAGATGAGGTCCCTGAGGTCAGGGAGGCCCTGCCTGTGGCCACACCATGGGGACACACGGAGGCGGATTTGGAGGCGGCCTCAGAACCAGCGCTCAGCTTAGGACAGCCCCGCTGAGTTAAATGCGGGAATCCCAAGAGGAGCTTCACAGCCTTCACTCTGATGGACTGGGGAACGGGGTCCCGGGAGCCAGGTTCAACACGGGGTCGCGGGACCGGGGGAGGAAAGGAGACCAGGACTGGCGTGCGGAGCTTGCTGCAGAGGCCCTGGGAGGGGCCCAGAGGCAACCATGGGGTTTTCTGAAGCTTCTTCCTTCTCGGGGTCCCAAAGAGGCTCAGAGACTCACTGATTTTTATTTTCCCTGAAACTAATTACTATTAGAAGACTCCGTGAATTTGAGCTTAGGGAGATGTCCGAGTGCCTGGGAGTGGCCTGCAGGTGCCCAGCGAGCTTCCCTGCTCTGCTCCTGCTTGGAGCTGCTGAGTCCTTTCTGCCTCCCCCGTGAGAGTCGCTGATCTCAGGGCCGAGGGCACGGGCTGCTGACAGAGGAGAGAACCAGGGCCTCCGCCTGCTCAGGCCTGCTGCGACAAAACACCGAACACTGGATGGTTTATACACAGCAGAAACTTCGCTCTCACACCGAACACTGGGTGGTTTATACACAACAGAAACTTCGCTCTCACAGTTCTGGAGGCTGCGACGGTCTGTGAGCAGACTGGGAGCCTAGTGAGGGCTTGTTTCCTGGTTCAAAGAGGACATCTTTTTGCTGTGCCTGAAAGTAGTGGATGGGGCTGGTTGACTCTCTGGGGTCTCTTTGATAAGGGCATTAATCCCATGTATGAGGGCTCTGCCCACGTCACCCAATCACCTCCCAAAGGCCCCACTCCTAACACCATCCCATTGGGGATTAGGTTGCAACCTGTGAAGTTTGGGGGTCACACACATTCAGGCTGTAGCATCCAGCCTCGCTCCAGGTTAGGTGCCCGGGAAGGACTGGCGCTCACGGAGCCCCAAGTCTATTAAGTTGTTTCCTGAGTTCCATGAAGCTGAGCGGGGGAAAGGAGGAGGCTTGCAAATAAAACACAGAGAGAAAAGTCCTGCATGCCCTCTTCACCTGCCCCATCCCCCACCGAGCCCCCGATGACTGACAATCACCTTATCACCCTCCTGTGGGTCCTTCCTGCACTTCTTTATGCAAATACAAGCAGATGCAGCTACCTGCTCTCCCTCTCCCTCCACCTTGCTCCCATAAAGGTAACTACTATATACTCGTACTCAAGAATGTACCTGGAAATCTTTCCAGATTGATGCCTGGAGTGTGTGCTCATCCTTTTATAAATGGCCGTGGCATCAGCCAGGGGCCCACTAGGAAACAGACGGCTCACCCAAATTGGGCAATTCGAGGAGCATTTTCTAGAAGACTCTTTATAGGGTGTGAGTAGCACAAGACTCTTGTCCTTATCACCTTAGGCCTGGCAGGAATTGTGACCTTCAGTCTAGGATGCAGCCAGCCTGAAGGGCTCTTGCAGGGAGGGAATGAACTCTACTGCCTCTCTCCCCACTGGCTGAGCCCAGCTGGAAGTCAGAGGGCAAGGGGCCCATTGTCACAGTCCTACCACAGCCTCCAGGGGTCGTGAACAGGGGGGACGATCTGGAATCTGGATAGGCAATGGGAAGATGGCTAATGGGTTTCCAGATCTTTCCATGCATGCTGTTCCATATACATTTGTTGTGAAAATAAGTCTCCTGTGGCTTCACTTAGTTTCCAAACTATTGCTCTTACTCATGGAGGTATATCCAAAGGATTCATTTCCAGAAGGGAATTGCTGGGTCAAAGGGTAAATGCACGCACAGCTTTTTGATAGTCATTACCAAAGTGCCTGCCACTTGGATGCTGCTCTCCCCACAAAGTTTCACCTCCCAAGGGTGCTGTCAGGTTTGCATTTCTGCCAAGCTCACAGTGAGGAGCCACTGCGGGGCTAATCACTCTTTTGAGTGAATTGGGTATCTTTGCTTATGTCTGAGGCCATTTGTATTTCACTATGTATTCATTTTTTCCTATTGAGTCATTGACGTTTTTCTTATTAGATTCTAAGAGCTTTTTACATATTAGAGATTTATCCCTCTGACAGTGATCTGGGTTGCAAATATTTTTTTTTTCTCAGTTGTCATTTGACTTTGCTTACCGTGGCTTTTGCCCTGCAGAAGTTTCCAATTTTTGTGTAGTCTATCAATCTTTTATGGTGGCTACATTTTGAGCTATATTGCAAAAAGTCTTCCTTCCTTCACCTTGTAAAGGAATCCACCCATATTTTTTCCCGTACATTCATGGTTTCATTTATACATTTAAACTTTTGCTCCATTTAGAAATTATCCGGATGTATGGTGTGAAGTATGGATCTTACCTGATCTTTTCCCAGAAAGCTGCCAATTTATCCTGACATCATTTATTAACACATTCATCTTTACTTCACTGGTTGAGATGCTGCATTTATCATTGACTAACTTCCTGCATGTATGCGGATCTCTGTCATCCCTGTTGGTCTGTGGATTGTCTCTGCGTGGTGACACTCTGTCTTGATATTAAGGTTGTATAACGTTTTAATATCTGATAGGGTGGATTCCTTCCATTGCTTCTCCCAAGTGTTTTGGGTACTTTGAAAATCAGCACTTGCAAACTACAGATTGTTTACGTGTAAGATTTCCCCCTTCCTCATTTCCCTGGACTGTCCTTGCCTGACCTCGTCCTCCAGGTGAACATTCAATGATGGAGGTTGCCTTTAATTGGCAGGTGTGCAATATTTCTAAGCTACTGTGTGTTCAGTATTGGATAAGGAAGGAAAATAACACTTTTGGACACAGGTGTTCCTGATATAAGATGCGAGCTGGCCCCGCCCTCTCCAGCTGTGCTCTCTTCCTCTCCATCCCACCCCAGCTCTCCTTGGGTGGGCAGATGCACCGGCAGCCTCTCCGAGAGACCTCTATGCCTTCTTAAAAGACAAACTTACACAAATTAAATTTAGCAGAGTTTAACTGAGCAAAGAACGATTTTCGGATTGGGCGGCCCCCAATCAGAGTAAGTTCAGAGTGGCTCCAGCTCTGCCACTTCACTGGAGATTTATGAACAGAAGTAGGAACGTGATGCACAGAAAAGAGAAGTGAGGTACAGAAGCAGCTGGATTCCTTACAACTTGACGTTTGCCTTATTTGAACAGGGTTTGAACGGTTGGCTGCCTTAGGCTGCAGCTCAGGGATTGGTACAAGAGTAGGTTACAGTCTGTCCCACACCCAGTTTGGGGACAGTTCACTATGTATGGCAGAACTTGGTATTTTTTTTTTGAGACGGAGTTTTGCTCCTGTTGCCCAGGCTGGAGTGCAATGGTGCAATCTCAGCTCCCTGCAACCTCCGCCTCCGGGATTCAAGCGATTCTTCTGCCTCAGCCTCCTGAATAGCTGGGATTACAGGCGCCTGCCACCAGGCTTGGCTAATTTTTTTTTTTTTTTTGAGACAGATTCTCCCTCTGTCGCCCAGGCTGGAGTGCAGTGGTGCGATCTTGGCTCACTGCAAGCTCCGCCTCCCGGGTTCACGCCTTTCTCCTGCCTCAGCCTCCCGAGTAGCTGGGACTACAGGTGCCCGCCACCACGCCTGGCTAATTTTTTGTATTTTTATTGAAGACAGGGTTTCACCGTGTTAGACAGGATGGTCTCGATCTCCTGACCTTGTGATCTGCCCACCTCGGCCTCCCAAAGTGCTGGGATTACAGGCGTGAGCCACCACGTCGGGCCATGCCTGGCTAATTTTTGTATTTTTTAGTAGAGACAGGGTTTTACTGTGTTGACCAGGCTGGTTTCAAACTCCTGACCTCAGGTGATCCACCCACCTTGGCTTTCCAAAGTGTCAGGATTACAGGCATGAGCCACCACGCCTGGCTGTATGGAGGAACTTTTAGGCCAAAGTTAAAATATACAAGGAGACAGCTTTCAGTTAAACTTAATTCACACTCTGCTGCTCCTCTGTTCTGGAGACTCTCTCCCCTACACCCCCAGCAGCCCTCAAACTAGGAGCCGTTTTTCTGGAGGTCACTGTCCTGTATCCATGTGGGTAATAGGCAATTGTCTGCTTCTGCACTGTGGGCAGGTCTGTGTCTCTGCCCAGCTGTAGCTAAGTGCCAGGCCTGAGATGCATCTTCTGCTCCAATGACCTCAGCTTGCCTGTTGGACATCTCTGCATTCTGCAGGCACCTAAGACTCAACGTGCACATACATGCTCAATGCCCCCCTTTCATCTCCCCCAGCGGCCCCTCTGTCCAAGGTGCTCACAGTGGGGTGCCCACTGACAGCTGCCCGCTCCTGGCCCACCAGTCAGCTGCTCATTCCACTGCTCGGTCCTCTCGACTCCATCTCTCAAATGCATGTTGTATGTAAATCTGCACAGCCCTTCACCGACCTGGCCACTCTGGATTGCTGTAATGCTCCTTCCTGCTGAGGAGACTCCTGCAGGCTGCCAGCATGATCCTTCCAGAATGCAGAGCTGTTGATGTCACTTCCCTGACCAGTGCTCCCTCACGGTCTCCTGTAGCTGTCAGGATGACATTCAGACCCAGTGGCCTGGCATCCTGGGTCCTTTGTGGCCCCGCCTCAGGTGACCTCATCAGCACCCCCATCAATGCCTTCACCCCGCCCATCCTCGAGGAGGCTTCCTCCCTGCCCATTGTCTGACCAGCAGCCCCTCAGCCTTCAGGTCTCAGCATCTGCATGGTGTCCTTGGGGAAGACCCTCTGGACTCACAGGTCTGGCCTGGGGGCCCACGGATCTTCCAGGTGTGCGGCACCACCACGGCCCATGAGGACATATCTGTGGCTGTCACATGGCTCCCAGTGCCTGGCAGGGAGGAGCTTATTCTTGCTCAAATTAAGAAATTAATGCCCAGAAACCAGGACAGCAGCCATTGATAGAAAAATATGTTTTTCAGGAACATCCCTGAGTTTTCCCCTTGGCAATGAAATGCTCTCAGTCTCTCAAGGGCTTAAAGAAGAGTTGGCACAGAGCCAGCCTGTAGAGAAAGGAGATGAGCCCAGGCAAAAGCTTCCATAAGGCATGTGCCGCACTGCTGGCCCCCAGGGACCCATGAAAGGATGGATCATGTTTTCCGCAGGAAAAACGGAAATTTGTCATCTCCTCTAGTGCTGGGAGCCAAGGCCACTCCGACTCTGGAGTCACCTTTGTGATGACACCAGGGGCATCCTTGGGTGTTGGGAGAGACTGGGGCTGGGCTTGGGGTCTCAGAGGCCACTGGGACCTGGCGCTGCCCAGTGTCTTGGGACCTCTAGCCTGGGAAGGTGCTGCCAGGGAAGGTGCTGCCACAAGCTCAAGGGCGCCAAATCATGCCCAGCAGGGCTGAGCAGGGTTGCAGGAAAGCCCCAAGCTCATTCTGCCTCCTCTCATGGGGGCCTCTCATGCATACGTGCCCCTCACTTGTGGCAGCAGTGGCATCTCTGGAGAACCATGGTTTCCCCCACCTCAGCTCTCAGTGCTGCTGGGGTCTCCATCCCCTCTTTGGGGACCATGCTCTCATGGGCACATGGTTGAGAGTTGCCAAAACACAAGTTGCCAGAGAGCATGGCATGAGATAGCCAAGCTGGCCAGTCACTGAACATGGTCAGACACTATTAGAATCCAACATTCCCACTCACTTAAATCCCCGTGAATCTGCCTTCCCCCTTGTTGGACTTCTCCAGGGCTTCACTCTCCTCCCCACGCAGGCTCTGCTTCTTACAGAGAAGAATCCCTAGTGGGAGTTCTACCTTCTCTTGCAGCCCAGGGGAAGATGCTGCTTGGTCCCAGAGGCTGGGTTTCCCCAGGAGAGCTGACAGCAGCAGGAGGCACGAGCCCAGGTCTCTGGTCAGACAGTCCTGGGCTCAGTACAGCTGGCTCATGGGAGGTGGCTGTCCTTGGTGCTACAGCTCCAAGGGGCGTGTGGGCAGGGGTACAGTCCAATTCGTCCCTGGTGCCCTGGAGCCCTCACTGGATAGTAGGTGCCCAGGGAACGTTGTTGACATGGGGTCTTTAGATGGGGGCAGTGGCCAAGCCGTGGTCCTGCGGAGTAAAGCGAACAGCTGGTGCAGACAGCGGGGGCACAGCCATGCAGACCTGAGTGTTGAACCAGGACCAAAGTGGCAAGTGCCTCAAGCCAAGAGCTGCGGGAAGTCCGGAATGACTGCCTGGAGGGAAGGTCAGAGCGGGCCATTTGACCTTGAAGGATGGTAAGTTTTGACAGCTGTGGGTATATAAAGAGCGATCTTCAGGCCTGAGCCAAGAGCGAGTGCAGGAGGGTGCTGGGTGTGTGCAGGTATGCAAACAGGCGTTTTGGGTTAGATGAGTAATTGGGGAAACAAACACATGAAAAAGCCTCAACCCAATTAGTCATCAAAGGATGCAAATTCAAGCAATAGCAAGCCACTCCCCCAGGCCCCTCCAAATCGTTAAGTAGGTAAAGATAAAATTACATCGCTATCTAGGTTTGGAAGGGAGTTGGAAGGCTGACCCTCTGGCCAGTGTAAACTGGGTCAAATATTTTTTAAGGCCATGCGGTGACCTGCATACTAAGCTATAAAGTACCTGTGCTTTATCCAGAGGGCTACTTCTAGGATATTATTCTAAGGATAGAATTAAAGCTGGCCACCAAAATTTAGCTCTACTGATTTTCATCAAAGCATTGTTCATGACAATGAAAACTCTCAACGTATAACAACAGTGAATCGGTTGAGCAAAATCTTTGGTCATTAAAAACCATGCAGTCAAGGAGCAAAAGCTATTGACATGTGAAAATGTTCCCGATAAGCTAGTAAGTGGGAAAAGCAGGCTATAAAACAGCGTGAACAGAACGAGCCAAGCTTTGCTCATCTGAATGTCAGTGAAAGTAGGTATGTGTGTGGTGGGCCTTCCCCCTCCCACCCACAGGACACGGTGCTGCAGGTCCTGTCTCTGGATGTGGCGGCCTCCTTCCTGGGTGGCTCTGGATGGGTGAACCTCCTGGCTACAGGTTTGCAGGAGGCCAGGCCTGCCTCTTGGACTGTCATGCCACCGAGCTCTCTTGTGCCTCATGTCCTCGAAACTCTGGAGGGCTAATACCTCCTCCCTTGGGCTGGTGCCTCCTCCCTCTGGCTGTCTGCAGGACGATGGCACCAGGGAGGGGGTTAAGCCTCAGCCTCCACCTCGAGTCCCAGCCCTGTTCTGTCTGGGAGGAGCTGGGCACACACCCAGCTAATAATAAAAGGGGAGCTTCCATGTGCCTTTGACATTGTCCCCCTCCCTTCCCACAGCCTCCCTGAAAGCCTCATGGGCAGCAAGGTGGCAGGGCTGAGGCAAGGTTCTGTGATTCCCCAGTCCCACTATATATATATATATATATATATATATTTTTTTTTTTTTTTTTTTTTTTTTTTTTTGAGATGGAGTCTCGCTCTGTCACCCAGGCTGGAGTGCAATTGTACGATCTCGGCTCACTGCAAACCTCTGCCTCCTGGGTTCAAGCAGTTCTCCTGCCTCAGCCTCCAGAGTAGCTGGGATTACAGGCACATGCCACCACGCCTGGCTAAATTTTTGTATTTTAGTAGAGATGGGGTTTCACCATGTTGCCCAGGCTGGTCTCGAACTCTTGAGCTTAGGCAATCCACCTGCCTCAGCCTCCCAACGTGCTAGGATTACAGGCGTGAGCCACTGCACCCAGCCCCACTATGATTTTTTTGTGAATATTTTTGAATATGTGCTTTCTGTTTTAAAGTTCAAAAAACACAAAAGGGTATTATACAGCAATAACTACGATTTCTAACTGTGTCTTCCAGCCCCTCAGAGCCAGTTATTTATTTCTTGTGGGGTCTCCCACGGTTGTTTTCTTTGAGAAGTTGTATGATTATCCAGACAAACACGTGCATGTAATGCCTCCCTGCAACTGCTCCCGCGGACACTGCTCTGCGTCCTGCTTTTCACTCGATGTGTCTTGGCTCTGATTGCACAGGGGTCTGAGAGCCTCGTTTTCATGGCTCTGCAATATCCCGCTGTAGGAAGTACCGTTATTGACCTAACGAAGGACGCTCAGGCTGTTTCCCCTCCTTTTCGATGAAGGTTTTGCACAGTTAATTTGGCACCTGTGTGTGTGATGATATTTGTTCACACTTTTGTGTGTGATGATATTTGTAGATAAAGTTCTAGAAATGTGTGAAGCTTTGTATCCAGAAATTTGGGTTGAAATCACCAAAGCACCCTCCACGGCAGACACACCAATCACACTCCAGTAGGAGCGCGTGGACAGCCCGTTTCTCCACGCCTTTACCAACACAGTGAGCTCTGACATTTTTGATCTTGGAAAAAGAGTTGAAATTTTCTATCTTATTATGAATGGCATTGAGCACCTTTTAATATTCTTTAAAAAACTTGTGACTTAGCACATGGGATGAGCAGGGCGTATGAGGCATTTGCACAGTGCGATGAATGTCCTCAATGAGACTGAGATAAACCAGCAGGCAGGGCAGGAACAGAAGCACGCCCAGCACCCGGACCCGCTCCACTGCGCGAGCCCTCTGTGTCGTGATTTCCTCCTCCCCACAGGCAGACACTGTCCTGAATTCTGTAAATCCCACTGAGGAGTCATCCTGGAAATCACACACTCGTCCTTAACTCAGCAAAGTTGGTGTCGACCAACACCCTCATCTTCCTCCCAGATGACACAGAGACCGTGGAACACCCTCATCCCCGCTTATGTGTCACTGCTGTTGCACATTTAAATTGTGTCTTTTTCCTGTGACTTCCAGGGTCTGTTTCTAGTGTCTTTGTCAGTGATATCAGATCTAAATATTTTCCCCAGTTTGTCTTTTTTTAATTCTTATTTTGGCCATAGAGGTTTTGCCACGCAGTTTTCCAAAATACATGCTTTTGTTTGTTTGTTTGTTTTGAGACAGAGTCTTACTCTGTTGCCCAGGCTGGAGTGCAGTGGCGCGATCTTGGCTCACTTCAACCTCCGCCTCCCGAGTTCAAGTGATTCTCCTACCTCAGCCTCCCGAGTAGCTGGGATTATGGGCACCTGCCACCACACCTGGCTAATTATTATTATTATTATTGAGATGGAGTCTCTCTCTGTTGCCCAGGCTGGAGTGCAGTGGCGCGATCTCGGCTCACTGCAAGCTCCGCCTCCCGGGTTCACGCCATTCTCCTGCCTCAGCCTCCCCAGTAGCTGGGACTATAGGCACCCACCACCATGCCCAGCTACTTCTTTGTATTTTTAGTAGAGATGGGGTTTCACCATGTTAGCCAGGATGGTCTCAATCTCCTGACCTTGTGATCCACCCACCTTGGCCTCCCAAAGTGCTGGGATTACAGGTGTAAATTTTTTTGTATTTTTTAGTAGAGATGAGGTTTTGCCATGTTGGTCAGGCTGGTTGTGAACTCCTGACCTCAGGTGATCCGCCCACCTCTGCTTCCCAAAGTGTTGGGATTACAGGCGTGAGCCACTGCACCGGACTACGTATTAACAAAGAAAGACTAGCAGGTCATACACCAAACTGAGAGCCACCCCCAACACAACACATGGTGGAATTGTGGCTGATTTTTGTGTTTTCCCTTTGCATTTTTAAAGTTGTTGTTGTTGCTGATGCTGAGGGCACATTACATTTGCAACCAGAGAAAGATGTAACAGGTGCCATGCAAGTAGAATTGTTCATCTATGGCAGGACTGCCCAGGGCTTTGTGGGCCTCGGGTACCAATGAATTCACTTGGCATTAAGGCCCACGTGGCCTTGGGTCCTGCCTCCCCTCCCTGAGCCCATGGCAGCCCGAGGGTCTCACCTGTCCCGTGGTCACCCAGCTGCTTCTGGGAGACCTACACAAGGCTCCCAGAACTTTGCCTGTTGCCCATGCCACCCGTGCTGCTGGCCTCTGCCCTGACCCTCTCCACCACTGTGCCCCTGGGGCATGCCATTGGCCCTGTCCTCTGGGCACCTTCCTGAGGTTTGAGCCATGAGACCTGGGCACCCTCTTGACCCTGTGCCACTTCCCAAAAGACTGAAGTGGCTGCAGGCAGCTTTAGTTGAAACTTTTCTCTCCTTTCCTCTATAACCTTCACATCCCCTGGCTGCATCCTGCAGGTGCTTAGTAAATGCTTGTGCACTAAAGATACGAAAGGGGAATGAGTTGGGGCCCAAAGCAGGAGCAGAAGGGATTTCCTGGGTCCCGGGATGCCCTGAAGAGGGCCAGTGAGTGCTCTGACCCAGCCATCAGGAGTGACCCAGGACAGAGGGCAGGTGCCATGGCAGGACTGAGCAGGTGCAGGAGAGGCTGGTGGGGCCCAGGTGCTGCCTGGGCTGGACCCTTTGCGCCCATAGAGAGCCCAGCATCACAGGCCAGCACCTGCCCAGCAGGGCACAGCAGTTGTGGGGTTTCCTCACTGCCCCAGTGCAGGCAGCAGGGTGGCCAGAACCATCTCATTCCCCGCCTCTTGCCCAGCATCCCAGCTTCCAAGCCCACAGCCCCGGAAGGAAGCCCGTCAACCCCCTCCTTCCTAACCGTCCTTGCTGTCTGCTCCCTTGGGAGACATTCCTGTTGCTGCTGGGGTGTCTCCCGGGTAATTGTGTGTGCATTTTAATGTTACCGGCCCTGCCGCTTCCAGCCCCTGGTTTGCTCTTTCAGGCCAGCTGCTGGAGAGCCATGGGGCACGCTGCGACCACCCAGGCAAGCCCATAGCTCACATGGCCTTTGTTTCCACAATAGCCTCCTCCCCTGCTCGATGTTATGTCCCCATCCCCGTTTTCCTGTCTTTTTTGGCTCCCACATTTAATTTATGCAATCCTGTTATATGTGTGTGTTCTCGTAAGCACCTTAAATCCTTTCCAGAAACGTTGGGTAGAAATCATAAATACCATTTCTATCTTCATCCGGAGTCTGGAGGTGGGTAAACATCTCATCTCAGTGACAGCTAATCTTATTAACCCTTACCTGGGTGGACAGGGGCATGGGTCCCGAGTAGAGCAGGGCCCTCCGAGCCTGTGGGGAGGCTCTGGGAGGGGGCAGTGGAGAGGAGACTCCTCAGGCTGAGTGAAGCAGGAGGGTCTGCCAGGCCCCTTGTGGCGTGTGGCGAGGGTATATGGAATATGACGGCGGGGCCAGGAGCCGGTGTCAGTGCTGCTGAGGACGCCATTGCCACTGAGGATCCTGGATTTTCGTAGGGGAGCCACGTCAGTCCCCTGGTTATTTGAGAAAAGGCCCATTTTCACCCCTTGGGAGCAAGGCTTTGCTGCGCTTGCCTGGCAGGGTTGCAGACGTCCTGGCGGGAGAGCAGGTGGGCAGCTGGACCTCTGGTTCCAGGCTGAGTAGGGAAGGAAGAGAGGTGGGGGCAGGTGTGGACAAGATCTGGGTGTGGGGAGGGGCGTGGGCTGAGAGAGCCCTGGCTGGCTGGGGTGTGAGGTTTGACACTGTCTCCGAGGTGGTGCTGTCCTGGTGACGAGTGGTTTTCAGGGCGGCTGTGGGAGATGCTGGTTGCGGCGGTGTGGCAGGCAGGCTGTGACCCTGTGGACGCTCCTTAGGGTGGGCACTGAGGAGGGAGGCAGGGCGGCAGTGTGGGGTGGGGCTGCCCTCCTGGGGCTGGAGGGAGGGCACTGTTGGGGCCGGGGCTATGGGCTTTGCCTGTTGGTCAGCCATCCCCTCTTCTCCTAGGAACAGTGCCCAAGAGCCCTTGGGATGCAGCCTCCATCCCACCTCTCTTTGCAGACCCTGTGGTCTCTGTGGGGCTCCAGCCCCTCTCCACTGGCTCATGGTAGGTCCGAACATCAAGCTGATTCAATTCTACTGAGTCCTGGGGCTGGTGTGGGAACTTCTGGGAAGAACAAGGCCTGGAACAATGTGGTGGCAGCCACGTTGCCACCATGAGGAGGCTGAAAGCAAAACCATCCGGAATAGACTGGAGAAACAGAGAATACCTAGGGACTGGAGGTGTTGTTTTGAGCCCGTAAATCCAGCTGTACTTGAAGATGATTTATAGAGTCATCGAATTAAAGTTTCATACAGGGTATGTGGACTTCAGGAGAGGCTTGATCGAGCAGCTCAATGGTGTCATGAAAAACACAGATCCCTTCTGGCTGTCTGCTTTTCACCTCCAATGGTGCCAGCTTCATCCTAAGGCTGGCTCTACTCTTGGTAGCAGAGTGGCTGCCAGCAGCGACTGCAATCACGCCCTTCCTCATTCAGTGAAAACTGCCGTCCCACCCCACCTCCAGAAGCTCCTGGGGAATAGGGAGGCATTTCTCGCACAATCCCTGCAGACACCTCGTCATTCTCATTGGCCTGACTTGGGTCATATGCCTGCCCCTGGACCAATCCATCTGGTCAGAGGTCTGAGATGTTCTGACTGAGCTGAGCAGCACCAAGAGGCCCCAACTTGAAATTCTGGGGTCCTGTTAAGAATGATAAATATGATTCCTACCTTCATCTGGAGCATAGAGGGGGGTAAGATGGGGGGCTGTATCCTTGGGGGGCCACCTTGCAGTGCTGGCAGAGCAGACCCAGCTTCCTGTGAGGCCCAAGTGACCCCACACTGGGTGTTCCCTTGGGTGGGGTCTCCTGGCAGCAGAGCCGGTGAGATCTGGGCTCTTCTCCAGCTCTCGCCTCTGGTCAGTGTCTTTGGTCTGACTCCAGTTACAGGGGAACAGGGGTGCAGTGCTGCACTGGTGGCAGCTGGAGGGGCACCCCACTCAGGATGAGGCTTAGAGAAGTCATCATGGGGTGGGGGGATGGCAGGGGAGGGGAGCTGTCACGGCTCTAGCTCATCTGCCTTCCTCAGAGGGTTCTGTGGACAGATGGGGGCTGCATCCATGGCATGGAAGAGGCCCTGTGCCTGGAGCCAAGTGGCCTGCCTTAGTTCCTCCTCCACAAATGAATCTCAACCCTGTGTGACACATGTGTCACTGAGCTCTGTAGAAACAGGAATGGTCCACGTCACTGAGGCTGACATTTCTTGTTCTGATGTGATGAAATTAATAACTGTGGCTTAATGGATACAAATCAAAGTGTAACTCATCTGTCAAAGGTCCCTCGGCCCCATTAACTCTGAAGTCACTGTGGGTCACTGACCGTGGCTGGGGTGGGTGGGGCTGAGCCCAGCTGAGGGGGCCCCATGTGCTTCCAGAGCTGGCCGCCCCTGATGAGGCCAGTGCCAAGCAGCTCCCTGGGAAAGGTGCTCCGGAATCTCATGCACATCTGAAGTTGAGTTTTATCGGGAGGGTCTCCTGCCTGTGGCCCGACAGCAGGGGCAAGGACAGAGACCCTGGGCTGTGCCTGAGGGTGGTCCTGTACTTGGGACCACACCATGGTAGTCTGTGTGCTCTGGAGGCAGGGCTGCCATGTGCAGAGTGAGGTGGTGGCAGGGGCTGCCCGTGACCTTCCTGTGGTGTGGAGATGTGCCTGCATTTCCACCATCACTTTACCCCGTTTCAGAAAGGGTTTTGCAAGGGAACATGGCTGTAGATGTCTTGGGGCTGCCTCCCACAGCAGCTCACATTCCTGCGCCCTGCGTCCCACCCTGTCTTGCTCTGGCCCCCGCAGCCAGGACAGCGCTGCTTGGATGGGCTTCTGTTCCCTTTGAAGGCACTTCCCTTCATAGCCTCCTCCCTTCCTTCCCTGGATGCTGCTGCTGCCCCGAGAGCCCCAGGCCTGGCCTTCTCTGTGCCAGGCACAGGATGTGGTGGCCCACAGCATGGACACAGCCCTGCCTCCCTGGAGCTGACCTTCCCAGGGGGACAGTGACAAGATGATTGTCCGAGGGAGGCTGGCAGGCAGGTGGGGAGGCTGCTCTGGGGGGGGCCCTGAGAAGCACTGTGTACCTGGAACTGCCAAAGACTAACCTGGGAGCTGGGCAGAGTGTGGGGAGCGGGCAGGGGACCTTGCTGCCAGGGGGTGCTGCTCTGAGGAGAGTGCATAAGAAGCGTGGACAGCCTGTGGCCGGCTCCCGGGTGCTGTGCCCTGCTGGGAGTGCGGCTGTGACAGACTCTCGGATGGGCAGGATCCTGCCCTCAGGGAGCTGCTGTCCAGTGGGGAGAGCAGGCACTGTCTGGCCCACCAGATAGTCAACACTGAAAGCCACAGAGTGAGGATGTGGGGACAGGCACCTGGTGGCTGTGCTGAGGGATGGAGATGGGCACAGCCCTTCCGAGAGCAAAAGGGACCTGCCAGTCAGACAGAGCCCAGCTAGTATCCCTGCAGAGCCCAGCCATGCCACTCCCAGTGCAGTTTGTCCATAGCTTGTTTGGGCACCTTTTGTGGGGGTGGTGTTGGGGACACCCTGAGCTCTGCTGCCGTGAGAAGCAGCAATCTCAGAAATTCACAGTGACATGGCTGGGCCCTCACTCGGCAAGGGCTATTCCACACTGTGTGGGAACGAGGGGTCCACCTAGAAGTAGCCCCCATTTCACAAGGGCGAACACAAGGCAAAGACGTGGCAAAGGTATGGAGTGTTGGCCGTGCATGGAAGGCTTGCTCAGCAGGAGCTGGAGTGTAGGGGAAAGGGGCCGGTGAACTCAATAGAACAAGGCAGGGATCTTGGGGGCCCTCGTGGGACGCAGGCATAGACTGAGGAGTGTGAATGCAGTTCCTTCCTTCCAAAGCTCAAACCATGACAGGCAGACAGCACGGGGCTGTGCGTCTCATAGCTGCTCTGAAGAGGGACGGGACGGGAGTCCCAGCATGGCCGTGCTGGGGGAGGGCGGAAGGTCGGTGGGGGGAGGCTGGAAGGTCGGTGGGGGGAGGGTGGAAGGTCGGTGAGGGGGAGAGTGGAAGGTCGGGGGGGAGGGTGGAAGGTCGTTGGGGGGGAGGGTGGAAGGTCATTGGGGGGAGGGTGGAAGGTCGGTGGGGGGGAGGGTGGAAGGTCGGTGGGGGGGAGGGTGGAAGGCCGGTAGGGGGATGGTGGAAGGCCGGTAGGGGGATGGTGGAAGGCCAGTGCGGGGGATGGTGGAAGGCCGGTGGGGGGGGAGGGTGGAAGGCCGGTAGGGGGATGGTGGAAGGCCAGTGCGGGGGATGGTGGAAGGCTGGTGGGGGGGGAGGGTGGAAGGCCGGTTGTGGGGGAGGGAGGAAGGCCGGTGGTGGGGGAGGGAGGAAGGTCGGTGGAGGGGAGGGTGGAAGGTCGGTGGGGGGGAGGGTGGAAGGTCGGTTGGGGGAGGGTGGAAGGCCGGTAGGGGGGATGGTGGAAGGCCGGTAGGGGGGATGGTGGAAGGCCAGTGCGGGGGATGGTGGAAGGCCGGTGGGGGGGGAGGGAGGAAGGTCGGTGGGGGGGAGGGTGGAAGGTCGGTTGGGGGAGGGAGGAAGGCCGGTGGTGGGGGAGGGAGGAAGGTCATTGGGGGGGAGGGTGGAAGGTCATTGGGGGGAGGGTGGAAGGTCGGTGGGGGAAAGGTGGAAGGTCGGTGGGGGGGAGGGTGGAAGGTCGGTGGGGGGGAGGGTGGAAGGTCGGTGGAGGGGAGGGTGGAAGGTCGGTGGGGGGGAGGGTGGAAGGTCGGTTGGGGGAGGGTGGAAGGCCGGTAGGGGGGATGGTGGAAGGCCAGTGCGGGGGATGGTGGAAGGCCGGTGGGGGGGGAGGGTGGAAGGCCGGTTGTGGGGGAGGGTGGAAGGTCGGTGGAGGGGAGGGTGGAAGGCCGGTTGTGGGGGAGGGAGGAAGGCCGGTAGGGGGGAGGGTGGAAGGTCGGTGGAGGGGAGGGTGGAAGGCCGGTGGGGGGGAGGGTGGAAGGCCGGTAGGGGGGATGGTGGAAGGCCAGTGCGGGGGATGGTGGAAGGCCGGTGGGGGGGGAGGGTGGAAGGCCGGTTGTGGGGGAGGGAGGAAGGCCGGTGGTGGGGAGGGTGGAAGGTCGGTGGAGGGGAGGGTGGCGTGCTGGCGGAGCAGGAGGAGGCTGGAGTGGAGTGAGTGAAGGGAGCCATGGCTGGTGAGGGTTCCTCAAGCTGTGTGGACTCAAGCCACGATGCTTGACATGGGCCCCTCGTTTGGAGCCTCCACCGTGCAGGTCACAGGGGGCTCTAGAGGCTGACTCCTCCCCATCCCGGGTTCACTTGCTGCTTCGCCCACCTGCGGCTCTACACTGCAATTATTTTTTCCTCCCTGACTTCACAAGTGGGGTTTAGGCCCCAACTGCTGTGGTTTACGCCTTTGGAACTCAGGGCTATTTTATGTCAAGTTCAGGCCGAGGCTGTGGCTGGGATTTGGGATCTGGAGGGTGGCTGTGTCCTATGGCTCTGCTCTCTGAAACTGAGGACCCCACCCTCAGTTGGGTCCCAGCCTGCCTGCCCTCCCAGAGCTGGCCCTCCTGCCTGCTCCTTGGGGTAGGGACCCCCTGGGTTTCAGAGTCATCCCTCAGGCCGAGGCCGCAGAGCGGTGCCAGGCAATAGCTGTGGGGGCTGCAGCGGCTTCTGACAACACTAGTGAATGGGGACAGAGCCTCCTCATGCTTCCACCCGTGCTCACACAGCTGGGGGCATGAATGCCCACACTTTACAGATGAGGGAACTGAGTCTGGGGACAGCGATCACTTGGGAAGTTCATGGAGACCCTGGGGGCAGCTGTCAGACTGGAAGCCAGGCTCCTGCTGGCTCTCTTGCCCGTGGCCTGTCTGTCCCAGCCTCCAGGCGCAGGGCTGGGGGGAAGCTGTCAGGCTGCCAGCATCCCAGGAGGGGTGACGAAGCTGCGATGGGATCTGCCTCCCGTCCTGGGCCTGTAATTGCTGGGAGCTGGCCGGCCCAGCACAGGATGGCTATTGCAGGCCTGGCGGAGTGTCCTGCTCCTCTCTGTGTTACTTTTTCCATTGCCATGGAAACAATTTCAGTCCCTCCTTTGGGGCTGGGGCCAGCCTCCCCAGGCCTCCAACGTCTGAGCTGGCCCCGGAAACTCTGACCCAGCCTGGGCCACCGGTCAGCGTGCTGCCATCACATCTTCAGCCCTTGGCGCTGCGTCTAGGGGTGACCTCAGGGCAGGCCCCGGCCAAGCACTGGGCCCTGGGCAGAGGTCTGAGTCTGGCTGCCTGGTCCTGAACCTCCTGCCAGGGCCTGTGGTGGTCATCACCTTCACCTTCAGCTACACAGTGCAGAACACCTGGCCTCGAGTATCCGCCCAGCCCGGGCTCCCATCTCAGGCTTTGTCCAGGTTCTTGGAGATACTCAACCAGTTTGTTGAATCCCTGTGAAGTCCCGTAAAGGCGACCTGGAACAAACAGCGTCAGCCAGGGCCTCGCTGTGACTGTGTCCCCATCCTCTGGTCCTCCCTGGCTCCAATCAGCTCACAGGGAAGGCACCCTCACCTGGGACGGAGCCGAGAGAAAGGCAGCCCTGGCTCAGCCTGGCCCTCCGACCCTGAGCAGGCATGAGCCAGGCCCCTCCTCTGGGCGTGGGAACAGGGAAGTGGGGGGATGGGCCCCATGCCCGCCTGACGCAGGTCTGTGAGCCTTTCTTTGCACCAACATGGGCCTGGCCTCCCGTTTGCTCTCTGGTGCCCACGCTATATGTTCTAATCCTTGGGCTGTTGGAGAAAGAAGGTCTGATGCCCAGCACTCAGCCCACATTAGGGCCCAGGAAGCTGGGAAGAGGACTGGAAGGGGACATCCACCCAGGCCTGGCCAGCCAGAACCCAGGGAGAATCAGCAAGGTAGGAAACCATACCTTGGAACCCTGCCTCCACCATCTCTGTGACTTTCCAGGACCTCAGACCCTCCTGGCCTCCACCGAGGGCCAATGTGGAGGAGTCAGCCTCCCACCGGGACACACAGGGCCACTCAGATGGCGCAGATGGAGGGCGTTGAGTGAGGCATGACTCACAGTGCTGCAGGCAGGAGGAGGCAACCCGCAGGCAGGGGGTCGGGGAGTTACCATCAGGGGCTGGAGACAGCAGAGCCGTGGCCACCTTAGGCAGCAGGGCCAAGAAAGGAAGCAGTGTTGACCAAGCATCTTTTTTTTTCTTTTTTTTGAGATGGAGTCTCGCTCTGTCGCCCAGGCTGGAGTGCAATGGCGCGATCTCGGCTCACTGCAAGCTCCGCCTCCTGGGTTCATGCCATTCTCCTGCCTCAGCCTCCCGAATAGCTGGGACTACAGGCACCCGCCACCACGCCCGGCTAATTTTTTGTATTTTTAGTAGAGACGGGGTTTCACCATGTTAGCCAGGATGGTCTCGATCTCCTGACCTCGTGATCTGCCCGCCTCGGCCTCCCAAAGTGCTGGGATTACAGGCATGAGCCACCACGCCCGGCCGGCCAAGCATCTTTTAATGAAATATACTAAACACACTTCCATCAGGTTTGTATAGATGGTCTCTGAGGTGCAGAGCAGAGAAGCAGCCAGCGTGTGTGTGTGTGTGTGTGTGTGTGTGTGTGTGTGTGTGTGTGTCTGGGCAGTGTGGATGGTGTGAATGAGTGGGTGACAGTGTGCCCACCTGGAATACCTTCCCCCACCGCCACTTCTTCCACTTGGCCTTGAAACCTCCCTTTCCCCGTCCCACTCCCACAGCTGAGCGGCCTCCTCCTGCTGTCCCCTTTGTGTGGGATTTCGGGGCAGGCGCCCGATCCCAATTCCACAGTGCCTTCCGTGAACACTGCACACAGCAGCTCATCTGTAAGTATCTGTGGAGTAGATGATTTAATCAATCCATGAATTAGTAATTGCAGCAAAGTGGACAAGGTGTCAGTTGGATATGTAAGGGAGAAAAGGAAAGGAAAAAAGACAAAAGCACATGAGAGAAATACGAAGGCACTGGAGGGCGGGGCGGGTGGAGCGGGAGCAAGGTGTTCCATAGCACTCGGAAGATGCCACGAGGGGCCCCTCACGCAGACGGAGGGGCGGGCGGTTGCAGCTCCCTGTGCTGACAGCCGCACGTCACTCGGCTCGAGTGAGCTGCTCCCTCTGCGTGGAATATCCGATATCCTGCCCCGGTTGACCTTCCGATTTCTCCCTCAAGATCAAGTCAAATGCCTTTCCTCTGTAAAACACTATCCCTGCATGCATCCCTCCCCTCCCACCTGACCCCAGCCACGATAGAATTACCTTTCCCCCTGGCCAAGTGGGAGGAATGTGGCAATTCTTACATCCTTTCAGTAAAGCCTTTACCCTAATCCATCCCAGCTGTCAATGTTTCATCCCATGTCTTCCTCAAGGACAAGGGCATTATCCAATTCTTCTTGTAGATACTCAACAAGTTGGTTGAATCCATTTGAAGTTTGGCTATTTAGTCTCAGGTATTCCAGAAATGTGGCCAGTGAGAGTCGTGCCCCAGGAGTGTAATATATTTGACGTTTACTTTCAAAGGTTTAAGACGTAAGACCTGTAAAGGCAGGGAACTGGCTTAGCACAGCTCAGAGGACTCTGTCCAGCATTAGACCAGGGCGCTTCACAGGAAAGAATTATTGTTCAATAGTGGCAACTTCTCGAACTGTTAAATTGGGCCTGCTGAAAGCCTAAGGCTACTCATGTCAGCTTTACTTTCTTCTTCTTTCATTCCCCTGCTTTAAAAGAGTCATCCATCGTGGTTTAATTCAAGACAGTCTCCAACCTTCAATCAGCGCAGTTCCACCCGTGTTTACTGAGCCTGTGCCCTCATCAGGCCTCTGTGGGGTGCTGGGCTCAGGTGGGGGAGGCAGGGAACTGTGGGATGAGGGCATGTTGGGTGTGCTCAGTGGTGGGTTCAGCCCCACAAAGGCCAGGGGGCTTGGGCCAAGCTTGGGAGGCTGGGGATGGACACTGGCCGAAGGCGGCAGCTCCGGGTATGTGGTGTGCAGTGGAGCTCCGAGCTCTCTGAACTCCAGGCTCCTGCTGGCTGGTTGAGATGGCTGTTCTCTTCTCTCTGCCTTGATGTAAAGTGGGGCTAATAACAGAACCGCCCCATGGGGTTATGGTGAGGCCTTGGCGAGACAGTGAATGTGGTGGAGTGCTTAGCCCAGGCCTGGCCCCAGGCGGGGCTCAGGACACAGGGCTGTGCTTATTATGAAGTGGTCTGGGATGACATCACCGTGGAGGGGGAGCCATGGGTAGCCCATGGGGCAGGACCAGGGCCGAGGCACAGGCTCAGCCTGACTCTCTGACCCTAGAGCTCTGCTCGGTACCATCACCTCCCACTGTCATGCTGCCCTCCCACCCACAAGCCCAGCCCTGCTGCCTGGGCGAGCCTGGGGGTCCAGGCTGCAGCCCCAAGGTGAAGGGCAGTCTGTGGCATGCTCATCCTCTGGGTTCTCTGGTGTTCAGGCTTCAGCAGAGGCTGTGAGGGAATCCAGAAGCCTTCAGGGAGGGTGAGAAAGAGGCCAGGAGCTGGAGGAATTTCCCCAGCCAGGCGCAGTGTCTGCCAGTGGTGTGGCGAGGAGCACAGCCAAGACTTGCCCCAGTGTGGGAGCCATCTGGAGCCCAGGGCTCTGCCTCATTGTTGGCTACATCTGCTTGCAGACACTGCCCATCTCTCCCTTTCCAGGAGTCCATGCAGAGCTTGGACCCAGCCCGGGGCCCCGCCATCATCTGATGCTTCAAGGTCCCCAGATCCCTGAGTGTGGAGCTGTGGCCAGGTGGCCTGGCCGAGACCAAAGCTAGCCTTTGACAGTGCTGCTGCAGTCTGCACGGGGGCTTTAGGGTCCCTGGCCTGCCCGTGATGGGCCTCTGAGAGAAGCTCTCGGTGATGGAGCAGCTTTTACAAATGGAAGCACTAATTAAGACGTTTGAATGTCTTCCATATTCCTAATTCTTTGTTCTTCTCCTTTATGTAATAGAGATGATCCTGCCTAGCTCATTACCAGCTGGTTTAGTAAACATCTAGAGACTACAAGGATATTTTATTTTAATTGCCTGAGCCTCAGGATTATGGAAACAAGATGGTAGGGGGAAGGGCTGAGGAGTGAGACTGGGAAGAAAACGCTTGACCCGAAGTTCTCATCTGGAAGAGTGAGGCCTGGCTGCTTTGGCTGTTGGAGCAGGTTTAGCGCTTTTGACCCAGGCCCAGGAAAGAGTGAGAGGCACCTGGAGGAGCCTGTGCCTCTGCCGGCTGATGAGAGGGCAGGTCCTGGGCCAGTCAATGAAACACATTTCTCCTTCATAAACGTGGCAAACAGCATAAAAATATGTCTTATTTTCTAAGTTGCATGAATCAAAAGCTGGCAAGGGGCCCGAGAGGCAAGAGCTGTTTGCTCTGCAGCAGACGTGTGCATGGTGTCCTGAGGCCTGGCTCCGGGTTCTTCCCATGGGAACACTGCTTCCCAGACCAGGGCTCCAAGCTAGCCTGGGAGGGCGGGGGACAGGTGGAGGGCTGGCCTGAGGGCCGGTGGGAGAAGAGCAGGGTGCAGGAGCTAAGTGGGGGGTTACCAACAGGGAGGAGCTACATGTGAGGGGCCACTGGCAGGCCAGGCACCAGATCAGCTGCAGTGGCCCTGCAGTGAGGCCCGTGAGTATCCCCTGGCCAGCAGAGAAGCTGATTAGCGGTGTCCTCCGGGGCCCAGGACTCGCTGCACAAATGGACCTGAGGGCCCCAGCTTTACCAGCAACAGCTGAGGGTAGCATACAGGGGCCCAGTAAGAAGCTGGAGACTGAAGCTCCCCCGGGGCCTCCTGGTGGGCTGCTCCCAGGCCTGTTGCTGGGGCCGGAGGAACAGCGCCTGCCAACAGCCTGCTCTGCTGACACCTACAGCGGTGTGCTGAGGGACCTGTCCAGCTTCCCCAGGTCCAGCAGCAGCAGCAGGTCCACATCCTGTGGTCTGGCTTTTGGAAGGTTTTGACACCTCTGCAAACAAGCCTGGTGTGTTGTTCTAAAAGTGGGTTCCCCAGGACTGTCACTGCCCCGCGGGGGAGGGGGAACAGCATCTCCTGGAATCGCCATCCTGCCTGCTGCCATCACTCCCTGGGGATACCCTCGGACCTCGTAGCCTTTGCATCCCATCTTGCAGCTGTAGCTGGCAGGGCTGGTGAGGGCTGGTCAGATAGCCTGGGGGGTGGGGGCGAGGCTGGGAGCCAGGGCTGAGGAAGCGGGTCAGAGAGGATGCTACCCACGTGGGAGAGGCCGGATGTACCTCCTCATGGTCATGTCACTGTCCTGAGCCACGCAAATCATGCCCCTGTCCCTGCCCTGCCACAGGTGGCATTCTCTGGGCTTACCTGAAAGAGTCCCTGCCTGACCTTATTAAAACCGGGATCCACCATAAATGCCAGTTCTCCATCCTTGACCCACAGCATGTGCATTTATGGCCGAGAAAAACTCACTAGGGCCAGAGCACTTCCCAGCTAGGGAAGCGCTGGCTCATTAGGGAGGCCGAGCTGGTCCTGGCGGTTCTAGTGAGCTGTGAAAACCACTCGGGAATGGGAGAATTAGCAGAGAAGGTGTCTTCGAATTCCCAGAGGAGCTTCTTCTGTCTAATTTTGGAGTGTGCAGGCCCAGGTGTTTCATGGGAAGGGGCTAACAAACTGGATCTTATGTTTTGAGAATCTAAACAGAGTGTAGGGGATAAATCCCCCACAGAGGAGCTGTCACTGACCTAGGTCTCCCCAGCTTTTGGTTGGGGAAGGTGAGGTGGGCTGGGTGGGGCCAGGCTGGAGTCTGCTAGGTCCTCAGAACATGTGGAACGTGGGTGTGGGCACAGACAGTGGCTGCCAGGAGTCCAGACAGAGCCTGTCTAGGACTCTGGCCTGTTCCCAGGTCAAGGAGGCAGGTCCAGCAGGGAGAGAGGCCCAGATGGAGGGATGGGAGGCCCCTGTCAGTTTATTCTCAGGCACCTACCCCAGTGGCTCAAGTGGGGGAGATGAGCCAGTGACAGGAGGGCCTAGTGCAGCCAGGCCAGGGGCTCCCACAGTGTCAGCAGGGTCTTGTCCTTCGGTCCTTCTCACCCTGCTCCCCACACAAGACCTCAGGAGCTCCAGGCTCCTGCTGGCTCATTCACCCCAGTGGGTTGGGGGACAGAGTCTTTTGCCCAAAACTTCCAGGCAGCGTCCCAGCCCTGATCATTCTCAGAAGGAAGTCAAGGGGCTACAGACACCAGTAGACCTACAGAAAGGGACCCTTGAGCAGAAACACATAACACTCCAGGGCACCTGGTCTCCTCACCAAAGACTCACCACTGGGGGCACCAAGGCAGGCAAGGAGAGAGCCCCAATTCATGCAGGAAGGCAGCCAGTTTCCTCTGCTGGCCCTCCAGGGCAGTGGTGTGTGCCCTTGACCTAGGCCAGCAAGACCAGGTGTCCACGGAACAAGTGGCCTGAAGGCCCTGTGCTCCCCGCTGTGTGTGGCGTGACCAGCAGAGGCCAGCAGGGCTCCAGCTCAGTGGATATGTCTGTGCTGTCATCTCTCAGCTCACAGATCCCAGAGCTTCTCTTTCTGGATCTGTCATTCTCTCTGCGCCCCTGCTCCAGCACTCTGTTGCTTTTCTTTCTACCTGGTTGACTGCCCCTTCTCTGTCTCTCCCTCCTTTATACAATCATTAAACTCAGCCCCTGTCCTCAGCTCTTGTTCCTGCTCACTTTAAACCATCTCCAGGCAAAGCTGTGTGGGCTGATGATTCCCAACTTAGGAACTCCATCCTTGAGCTTGGACAGGCCACTTACCATTCCAGCTACTCTAAAGCTTGAACTCACTCTCCCCCATCCATCTGCTCCTCCTCCAGTCTTCCCCATGGGAGCATATCCTCCCCTCGCTCCATCTCAGGACTGGGAACAAGATCTGCACCAGCCACCCCTGGAGCTGGTGGAGGGCTTTGCACAGGCATGGCCCAAAGCAGACCCACCGTGGGATGGAGCTTTCCAGGGGCTACCCCCTTCTAGCTCCCATTATCAGTCCCACAATCTCCAACAGGCCCAGGGGAGGGAGATTCTGAGGGCCGGCCACTGGAACAGGAAACCTGTGCAAAGAGTTTGGGACTTCTTGATGCCCAAGCAATGAAATGCTGATTTGGAGGCACTGGCTCTTGTCACAGAAGCTGAGAGGTAGGTCAGGAAGTCACCCTAGGTACCTCTCCTTCACTGTCCACACCCAAACAATCCCCAAGTCCTATTTATTTGACCTCCAGAGGAGTCTCAAATCCATGCTTTCTCTTCCTCCCCACTACAACCTCCTGGCCAAGTCATCATTCTCTCCCATCTGGACTCTGAGTTCCCTCACTGTCTCCCCAAGTCTTCTTCAGCCTGTTCTCCACTCAACATCAAGCACAGTCCCTGGCACCTAGTAGGGGCTCAGCTTACACTCATGCCGTGGACGGACGTGGCTGCTTTTACCTTCCAGCAGGCCTTGGTGCAGGAGCTTTGCTTCTCAGGGTGTATGTCATACCCCTGGATGGTGGGGATTGTTGCTGCTATTTTTGGCTTGCTGGGAAGAAAAATAACAACTTGTCCTCATTATTAAAACTGGAGGAGAAATACTACTTCACCAGAGTAGGTAGGAATCACAGTGAGAACACCTGGTGTTTTGGCCACAGGTCCACTTAGTAGATGGTCTCTGGTTGGAATTATCATTGCTCATGTCCTACCCTGTGGGAAAAAAAAAACATTTTATTTTGAAATAATTGTACACTTGTAGGAAGTTGCAAAAATTGTACAGAGTCCCTTGTAAGCTTCCCTCAGCTAATCTTAATGCTGACATCTTATATAACCACAGCACAAGATCAAAACCAGGGAATTGACATTGATATTACAATGCTACTAGACTCTAGACCTTATTCAGTTCTCATTATTGTTGAGATGGTAATCATTCCTCTCTCTCTCTCCGTTTCTATGCAATTTCATCCCGTGTATAAATTTTGATAACCACCACCACAGTCAAGACACAGAACTGTTCATCATCACAAATGCACACCCTTGCACTACCTCTTCGTATTTGGTATTTGCAACCTCCCCCTCCCTGTCCCTGTCTTCTAGCAACTACTAATCTGTTCTCCATCTCTATCATTTTGTCATTATGAGAATGTTGTACAAATGGAATCACACACTGCATCATCTTTCAAGGTTGACTTTTCACTCAGTGTTTGTTCTCTTGAGATCCATGTAACAATAGTTTGTTCCTTTTTACTGCTGAGTAGTGTTCCATTATATGCACGTACCAGAGTTTCTGCAAATATGGTGAATAAAAATTCTATCGATAGTCACGTATAGGTTTTTGCACAAACATCAGTTTTCATTTCTCTGAATAAATGCCCAAGAGTGTGAGGGCTGGGTATTATGATGCGTGCTTAGCTTTGTGAGACACTGACAATTTTACATTCTCACTAGCAATGGATAAGAGAACCACTTTCTGTGGATTCTTGTTAGCATTTTTTTTTAACCATAGTTGTTTTCATAGGTGTGTAGTGATATTTCCTTCTGCTTTTCATTTGCATTTCCCTAATGGTCAATGATGAGGAACATGTTTCTGCGTGCTTTTGTTTTTTTTTTTTTTGAGACAGAGTTTCGCTCTGTCACCCAGGCTGGAGTGCAGTGGTGCCATCTGCAAGCTCCGCCTCCCGGGTTCACGCCATTCTCCTGCCTCAGCCTCCTGAGTAGCTAGGACTACAGGCGCCCACCACCACACCCAGCTAATTTTTTGTATTTTTAGTAGAGATGGGGTTTCACCGTGTTAGCCAGGATGGTCTTGATCTCCTGACCTCGTGATCCGCCTGCCTCGGCCTCCCAAAGTGCTGGGATTACAGGCTTGAGCCACTGCGCCCAGCCTCTGCATGCTTTTTGGCTATCTCCGTCTTCTCCTTGGTGAAATATCTGCTCATGTCTTTGCCCATTTTGTAACTGAGTTGTTTGTTTTTTTACTGTTGAGTTTTTTATGATGGTAGTAAAAAACATAAGAGCCAATAAACTTTGCTTTTTTCTTTTGGTGTTTTTCACAGTAATAGAAGTGGATACACACCCAAAAGTCTGTGTGACATGCCCGTGTCAGGGATTAGCTAGGGTAACAACCTCCGATTCTCAGAGTTTAGACACAACAAATATTTATTTCTTGCTCACAGAAATCCAGAAGTAGGTTGGGTGTCTCGTCTCCTCACAGCTTTTGCCAAGCAGTGACTGTGGAATCTGGGCCTGTTCCATGCTGAGGCTCCACCACCTGGATATCCAGCCACCCGGCTTCCAAAGTGGTAGTGGAAGAGGAAGAGAGCTGGGAAGTGCATGGAAGTTTGTTTTTATGGCCTATTCTAGAGGTGGTGTACATTCTTTTCACAACATCTTATTGGCCAGGATTTAGTCACATGGTCCCCACACAACTTTAAGGAGGCTGGGAATGTTGCCCTCCTGGGTATCCAGGAAGAGGGGTTAGATGGGGTGAACATTACCTGTATTAGTCCGTTCTCATGCTGCTATAAAGAACAGGCTGAGACTGAGTAATTTATAAAAGAAAGAGGTTTAATTGACTCACAGTTCTGCATGTCTGGGGAGCCCTCAGGAAACTTACATTCATGTTGGAAGGACAAGTAAACATGTCCTTCTTCACATGGTGGCAGGAGAGAGAAGTGCCAGCAGGAGAAATGCCAGATGCTTATAAAACCATCAGATTTCATGAGAACTCATTCACTATCATGAGAACAGCATGGGGAAAGCTGCCCCCATGATTCAATTACCCCACTCCATGTCCCTCCCACAACATGTGGGTATTATGGGAACTACAATTCAAGATGAAATGTGAGTAGGGATGCAGCCAAACATATCATTCTGCCCATGGACCCTCCCAAATCTCATGTCCTCACATTTTAAAACACAACCATGCCTTCCCAACAGTCCCTCAAAGTCTTAACTTATTCCAGCATTAACCCAAAAGTCCAAGTCCAAAGTTTCATCTGAGACAAGGCAAGTGCCTTCCACCTATTAGCCTGTAAAATCAAAAGCAAGTTAGTTTCTTCCTAGACACAATGCAGGTACAGGCATTGGGTAAATACACCCATCCCAAATGGGAGAAACTGGGTAAAACAAAGGGCCCTATGCATGTCCAAAATCCAACAAGGCAGTAACTAAATCTTAAAGCTCCAAAATAATTTCCTTTGACTCCATGTCTCACATCCAGGTCACAATGTTGCAAGACGTTAAGTTCCCATGGCCTTGGGCAGCTCCACCCCTGTGGTTTTGCAGCGTATAGCCCCTCTCCTGGCTGCTTTCACAAGCCAGTGTTGAGTGTCTGTGGCTTTTCCAGGTGCACAGTGCAAGCTGTTGGTGGATCTACCATTCTGGGATCTGGAGGACAATGATTCTCTTCTCACAGCTCAACTAGGCAGTGCCCCAGTGGGGACTCTGTGTGGGGGCTCTGACCCCACATTTCCCTTCCACACTACCTTAGGAGAGGTTCTTCACAAGGGCTCCACCCTGGCAACAAACTTCTGCATTGACATCCAGGCATTTCCATACATCCTCTGAAATCTAGGTGGAGGTTCCCAAACCTAAATTCTTGACTTCTGTGCACCCAGAAGCCCAATCCTATAAGTAAGCCACCAAGATTTGGGGCTTTCACCCTCTGAAGCAATGGCCTGAGCTTCACATGTTGGCCCCATTAACCACAGCTGGGACACAGGGTACCAGGTCCTGAGACTGCACAAAGCAGTAAGCCCTTGGGCACAACCCACAAAACCATTTTTTCCTCCTAGGCCTCCTGGCCTGTGATGGAAAGGTCTGCCGTGAAGTCCTCTGACGTGCCCTGGAGACATTTTCCCCAGTGTCTTGGCGATTAACATTTGACTCCTCATTACTTATGCAAATTTCTGCCACTGGCTTGAATTTCTCCTCAGAAAATGGGTTTTTCTTTTCTATCACATTGTCAGACTGCAAATTTTCCAAACTTTTATGCTCTGCTTCCCTTTTAAACATAAGTTCCAATTCCAAACCATCTCTTTGTGAATGTGTAAAACTGAACACTTTTAAGAGAACCCAGATCACCTCTTGAATGCTTTGCTGCTTAGAAATTTCTTCCGCCAGATACTCTAAATCATCTCTCTCAAGTTCAAAGTTCCACAGATCTCTAGGGCAGGGGCAAAACACCACGATTCTCTTTGCTAAAAGCATAGTAAGAGTTACCTTTATTCCAGTTCCCAACAAATTTCTAATCTCCACCTGAGACCACTTCAGCCTGGACTTCATTTTCTATACCACTATCAGCATTTTGGTCAAAGCCACTCAACAAGTCTCTAGGAAGTTCCACACTTTCCCATATCTTTCTGTCTTCTTCTGAGCCCTCCAAACTGTTCCAACCTCTGCCTGTTACCCAGTTCCAAAGTCAATGCCACATTTTCGGGTATCTTTTCAGCTGCACCCCACTCCCAGTACCAATTTACTGTATTAGTTTGTTCTCACGCTGCTATAAAGAACTGCCCAAGACTGGGTAATTTATAAAGGAAAGAGGTTTAATTGACTCACAGTTCTGCATGGCTGGGGAGGCCTCTGGAAACTTACAATCATGGTATAAAGGGAGGCAAACAGGTCCTTCTTTACATGGTGGCAGGAGAGAGAAGTGCCAGCAGGGGAAATATCAGATGCTTATAAAATCATCAGATATCATGAGAACTCACTCACTATCATGAGAACGGCACAGGGAAAACCACCCCCATGATTCAATTACCTGTGACCATGTCCCTCCCACAACACGTGGGGATTATGGGAACTATAATTCAAGATGAGATTTGGGTGGGGACACAGCCAAACCATATCAGGCCCCATTTCTGTCACTACAGCAGCATAAGATGGAGCTGCATGGAGCATGCCTTGTTTGTTCAGATGATGCTTGACTCACAAGCCTGGGAGCCTGAGGTACCAAGCCTGAGGCTGAGGGGGGGTCACCCTATTGCATCTGTGGCAGGCCACACCAGTCACCTTCATTTGGACCAAATAAGGAGTTGGAGCAGATGGTAATTGGTGTCTCCCTCCATTCCCTTCCCTTCCCTTCTTCCTTCCTTCTGTCATTCCCTCTCTCTGTCTTTCTCTTTCTTTTTTTCTTTATCCCTGCACCCCAATAAAGAACCTTAAAAATGAAAGTGTCTGTCCTAAGAGCACATAATGCAACTGGCCCACATGTACATGGTCAGAAGGATTGGGGGACTGACCTTCACCCCATTTGATTCTCTAGCTCAGTTTGCAAACTGGTAGTGTGTGAGTCACATTCAGTCAACAAACATGCTTTATTTGGCCTATATGATTTTTTTTTTTTTTTTTTTTTGAGACAGAGTCTCGCTCTGTCCCCCAGGCTGGAGTGCAGTGGTGTGATCTCGGCTCACTGCAAGCTCTGCTTCCTGGTTCACGCCATTCTCCTGCCTCAGCCTCTTGAGTAGCCGGGACTACAGGTGCCCGCCACCATGCCTGGCTAAGTTTTTAGTAGAAACGGGGTTTCACTGTGTTAACCAGGATGGTCTCAATCTCCTGACCTTGTGATCTGCCTGCCTCGGCCTCCCAAAGTGCTGGGATTACAGGCATGAGCCACCACTCCTGGCCTTTTTTTTTTTTTTGAGACAGAGTCTCACTGTGTTGCCCAGGCTGGAGTGCAGTGGCACCATCTTGGCTCACTGCAAGCTCCACCTCCCAGGTTCAAGCCATTCTCCTGCCTTAGCCTCCCGAGTTGCTGGGACTACAGGCACCCGCCACCATGCCTGGCTAGGTTTTTTTTTTTTTTTTTTGTATTTTTAGTACAGACAGGGTTTCACCATGTTAGCCAGGATGGTATCTATCTCCTGACCTTGTGATCCGCCCACCTCGGCCTCCCAAAGTGCTGGGATTACAGGCGTAAGCCACTGCACCTGGCCTATGATGTTTTTAAAAATCAAGTATATTAGGATATAGTTTACATGTAATAAAATGCATTGATTTTTAAGTGCACAGTTCAGTGAGTTATTATATATGTATACACACACACACACACACACACACACACACACATATATATATATATATATAATTAGTCTGTTTTCATGCTGCTGATAAAGACATACCTGAGACTGGGAAGTAAAAGTTGTTTAATTGGACTTATAGTTCTACATGGCTGGGGAGGCCTCAGAATCATGGGGGGAGGTGAAAGGCACTTCTTACATCGTGGTGGCAAGAGAAAATGAGGAAGAAGCAAAAAGCAGAAACCCTTGATAAACCCAACAGATCTCATGAGGCTTATTCACTATCACAAGAATAGCACAGGAAAGACCAGCCCCCATGATTCACATACCTCCCCCTGGGTCCCTCGTACAATACGTGGGAATTCTGGGAGATACAATTCAAGTTGAAATTTGGGTGGGGACATAGCCAAACCATATATATATATATATATATATATATATATATATATATATATATATATATATATATATACACTATAAACATACACACTTATGTAACCACCACCTCAATCAAGATAAAGAAACCTCCCTCATCCAGGAAGCTACCTGTGCCACTTCCCAGTCTATTCTCCTCCCTGGCAGCAGAACTGATTCCTGGGACATCGACCACTCCAGCTCAGTGCCCCCTGACTCAGAACGTCATGGAAATGGACCCTAGAGTACTCTTTGTGCCTGGCTTCTGTCACTCAACATAATGTCTGTCATCTGGGTTGCATGCCACATTTTTTTATTGCTTATAATTATTCCTCTGTATAAAAATGCCACAATTTATCTGTTTAAATGATGACAGACATTTGTATTATTTCCAGTTTTTGGCTATTATGAATAAAGCTCATATGAAAATTCTTGTGCATGTATCTTTATGAACACATGCTTTCATTTTCCTTGGTTAAATACCTAGGGGTAGATTGCTGGCTCATAGAGGGGGTGTGTTCAATTTCTTAAGAAATTGTCAAACTGTTTCTTGAAATGTTTGCACCATTTTCCACTCCACGCATTGTATGACAGTATCAATTGCTGTATATCCTCTCCAATATTTGGTATTTTCAGTCTTTTAAATTTTAGCCATCCTGGTCGGTATGTGGTGATAATTCTTCATTGTTTTCACTTGAATTTCACTGATGAACATGTTGAACATCTTTTCATGTCCTTATTGGCCATTCATGTATCTTTTTTCATGGAATGTCGGTTCAAATATTTTGCCCATTAAAAAAAATTGAGTTGTTTGTCTTCTTACTGTTGAGTTGTGAAAGTTTTGTGTGTATTCTGGATGCAAGACCTTTCTCAGATATATGTATCGCAACTATCTTTCCTTTCATATTATTTTATTAATGATGACTTTTGGAAATCCTAAGTTTTTAATTTTTAGAAATCAATATCAGTTTAAAAAATTTTATGGTGGCAGAGTACTTTTTTGTATCTTAAGAAATCTTTAGTTATCCCAAAGCCATGAAGATTTCCACCTAAGTTTTCTTCTAGAGGTTTTGTAGTTTCACTTTTTTAATTGACAGAATTCAAAACAATAATTCAGTAAATTTTTCTCTAATGAGGAAAATGGAATTTTGGAGGAGGGATAACATTTTCACTTAACTGGGATGAAAGTTATGTTTCCCATCATCAAAATCTGTTGCAAGTGCTGCCAGTAATGATATTTTATGCATTTCATCTTTGAAAATGTCTTTCCACTGAGACAGGTACTGCTAAATCCTAATACCATCTATAAGCACAATAATTTTTCCCATTACTTTTTTTTTACTGAGATATAATTTACATAACATAAAGCTGATCATTTTAAAGTATACAAGTCAGTAGTTTTTCCTATATTCATTATGTTGTACAACCATCACCACTATCTAATTATGGAACACTTCCATCACCCCGAAAAGAAACCTTGTGCTTATTGGCAGTCATTCCCAATGTCCCTCTCTCCCACTCCTGGCAACCACTCATCTACTTTCTGTCCCTATGGAGCTGTCTATTCTGTAAATTTTATATAAATGGAATCATTCTATATGTGGCCTTTTATGTCTGGCTTCTTAACACATCTTCACAGTTTATCGTTCCAACATATAAAAGTTCTTCATTCATTTTTATGACAAAATAACATTCCATTGTGTGGATGTACCATGTATCATCATCAGTTGATGGCCATTTGGATTGTTTCTATTTTTTGACTATTATAAATAATGCTTCTCTGAAGTTTGTGTACAAGTTTTTGTTTGACATGTTTTCAGTTTTCTTTGGCATATTCCTAGGAATGAAATTGTTGGGTCATATGGCAACTCTATGTTTAACTGACAAGCCACCATATTGTTTTCCACAGTGGCTGCACCATTTTAAATTCCCACCAGCAAGGTCATGAGCGTCCCAATTTCTTCACGTCCTCACCAACTCTTTCTGTCTTTCCTTCCTTCCTTCACCCCTTCCTTCCTCCCTCCCTTTCTTTCTCTTGCTCTCTCTCTCTTAATTGTAGCCATTTTAGTGGCTGGGAAGTGGTATCTTGTGATTTTGATTTGCATTTTGCTAATAACTAATGACGTTGAACATCTTTTAATGTTCTTATTCATCATTTGTATATCTTTTTATAGCTTTAGTTTTGATGTTTATATTATTACAGTGTTTACATTTACATCTATTATTATTATTATTATTATTTTTGAAGCAGAGTCTTGCTCTGTCACCCAGGCTGGAGTGCAGTGGCGCTATCTCAGCTTGCTGCAAGCTCTGCCTCCTGGGTTCACGCCATTCTCCTGCCTCAGCTTCCCCAGTAGCTGGGACTACAGGTGCCCGCCACCACGCCCGGCTAAATTTTTGTATTTTTTTTTTTTTAGTAGAGACAGAGTTTCACCATGTTAGCCAGGATGATCTCGATCTCCTGACCTAATGATCCACCCACCTCGGCCTCCCAAAGTGCTAAGATTACAGGCATGAACCACCACGCCTGGCCTACATCTATTATTAATTTAATTAATTTTTGTGTGAGGTAAGAATTGCGTTTTACTTTTTCTCTCTACAGATGATCTAACATCATTTGTTTAAAAGATTACTCTTTTTCTGTGGTAGGAAAAATTCTGAGATGTCTCCTAGGATAGGCAGAGTAATGGCCCCACAAAGATGTCTACTTCTTAGTCCCTGGAACCTTGAATATCATGGTACATGTTAGAAACAAGTCAAGGTAGCAGACAGAACTAAGGTTGCTGCTCAGCTTGATACAGGGCAGATGAGCCCCCAGATTGGGGCTTAGCCTGGGAAGGTTCTTGGCTTCATCCAGGAAAGAATTCAAGGGTGAGCTGGTGCTGTTATACAGCAACTTTTATTGAAGTGGTAGTGTACAGCAGCAGCAGGGGCTTTGTTCCTTCAGAGTAGGGTTAACCCACAAGCAGTTTGCCCAGAGTAGCAGCTCAGGGGCAGTTCTGCAGTCATATTTATACCCAGTTTTAATTATACACAAATTAAGAGTTGGGTTATTTAGAAATTTCTTTAAAAAAAAGATGTGGTAACTTCCGGGAGTTGCCATGGTACTGGTAAACTGTCATGGTGCTGGTGGGAATGTTATGGAGAGGTGCTTTTGGGGCCTCTTCCCTGTTTCAGCCAGTCTTCTATCTGGTCTGGAGTCAGGTCCTGACTCCTACCTCAAGCTGACCTTAAGATAGGGATATTATCCTAGACTATCTGGGTGGGTTCAGTGTAATCACAAGGATCCTTAAACGTGGAAGAGAGAGACAAAAGAGAAGGTCAGATGATGTAATGTGCTAGGAATTTGGCCTACTGTTGCTGATTTTGAAAATGGAGGAAGGGGCCATGAGTCAAGGAAATCAGGCCGGCTCTAGAAGCTGGAATGGGAATTAAAGTCTTTTATCAGTTGACTTTGGGTTAATCAGAAGTAAGATTATCCTTTCTTGGCCTGACCTTAAAAGAAGTCAAAGAAATTCAAAGCGTGAGAGCTTGTCGTGGAGAAGGTCACATGGCAGGGAACAGGGAGCGGTCTCCAGGAACTGAGGGCTTCAATCCTATGACCAAAAGGAGCTTGCTTGGAAGAGGAATCCAAGTTCCATATGAGAGCACATGCAGGCTGACAGCTTGGTTTTAGCCTTTTGAGACCCTAAGCCGAGAACTCACTTACACAATGCAAAGACTTCTGACATATAGAAAAATGTGAAATATATAATTATATGTGAAATAATAAATCAGTGTTGTTTTATTCTGATAAATTTGTGCTAATGTGTTATGCAGCAATAGAGAAAGAATGCATTTTCCCCGTTAAATTGCCTTAGCACTTTTGTTGAAAATCAATTAAGGGTCTATGTTTGGGTCTATTTCTGGACTCTATTTTTTCCTGTTGATCTATGTGTCTATCTTTTTGCTACAATGATTCTAATTTGGATTACTATAGTGAGTCTTGAAAATTAGATACTGGGAGTCTTCCAACTTTGTTATTCTTTTTCAAGTTTGTTTTGCTATTTTAGGTCCTGTGCATTTGCATATCAATTTCAGAATTTTAGCTTTCTCTCTCGAAGCCAGCCACGATGTAGAAAGTCTGATGACTCTGAGACCACCATGCTATGAGGAAGCTCCCATGGGGAGATCATGTGGAGGAGCACTGAGGTACCAGACATGTGACTAATGCCTTCTTGGACTTTCCAGTTTGGCCCAGCTGCCAGTTGAAAGCAACAGAGTGAGTCATCCCAGACAACACCATTTAAAAAAGAACCACCCAGCTGAGGTCAGTTAACTTAGCAACAACAAAATAATTGTTAAGTTACTAAGCTTTGGGACTGGTTATGAAGCAATAGGATACTGAAAAGTAGGGCTATTCGTTTTTTCTATTTTTTCTTGAGTCACTTTTGGTAAGTTGTGTTTTTCAGGGAATTCGTCCATTTCATCTAAATTGTTGAGTTTATTGCCATAAAGTTGTTTATAATATTTAGTAGTTTTTCTTTTGGTATCTGTAGGATCTGTAGTGATAGCTTATCTTCCATTTCAGATATTTTGAGTATACATATATCAAAACATCATGTTGTACAACATAAATACAAAGAGTTTTTGTCATACAGAAAGTTATTTTGTAATTTGTGTTCTTTTTCTTGATCAGTCTTACTGGGATTTTTCAATTTGATTAATTTTTCAAAGAGGTATCTTTTGGCTTTGTTATTTTTATCTCTTATTGGTTTGTTTTATATTTCATTGATTTGGGCTCCTTATTATTTCTTTCCTTCTATTTACTGTGGGTTTAATATGTTCTTTCTTTTTAGATTGCTAACATGTACACTTAAACCATTAATTGTTAATTTTTACTTTTTCCCTATTATGAACATTTAGAGTTATATGTTTCTTTCTAGAAACTGATTTAACTGTATCCCATAAAATTTGATTTTTTTGGTTTTCATTATCATTCAGTTAAAATTTTTTCTAATTTCTCTGCTGATTTCTTGCCATATAAATTATTTAGAAGTATATTGTTTATTTTCCAAAACTTTGGAGGAATTTTCTAGATACATTATTGTTATTGATTTGTAACTTAATTTTGTTGTCACCAAGACACACTTTGTAAGATTTTGATGTTTTGAAATTTATTGAGACATTTTATGGTGCAGAATATGGTTAATTTTGGTGAACATTCCATCTGCACTTGAAAAAAATGTGTATTTTTGAAGTTGTATAGTAAGATATTCTGAAAATGTCAATTAGATCGTTTGTTGATAGTGTTGTTCCAATCTTTTATATCCTTACTGACTTTTTGTCTCTTTGTTCTATAATTACTGAGATAGAGGTGTTAAAATCTCCAGCTATGATTGGGGAATTGTCTATTTTTCTCTGTCTTTTAATCAACTTTTGCTTTATGAATTTTTAGACAATTATTAGGTGCAAAGTTAGGATTTTTATAACTTTCTGTTGAATTAACCATTTTGTCATTGTGAAGTGTCCATCTTTATTTGAAGAAATGCATTTTGTCTTGGTGCCTACTTTGCCTTCTTATAATATAACCACACCATGTTTCTTATTTTAACCATTTTCATGCTATATCTTTTTCCATCTGTTTACTTTCAACCTATCTGTGTCTTTATATTTTATACTCATATAGTCAGGCATTGCTTTAAAAAATCTATTCTGACAATCACTGACTTTTTATTAGTATTTAGCTCATTTATACTAAATTATTGGTGTAGCTGTTTTTAAGTCTAATATCTGCTACTTGTTTTATATTTGCCCTATGTGCTTTGTACTCCTCTTCCTCTTTTATAACCTTTTTTTGGGAATAACTGAATATCTTGTTGTATTCTTTTGGAAAATCTCTGTCATTGGCATTTTAGCTACTATTTTTTATTTTTGTATTTTAGTAGTTTAGAGATTACAATACGTGTCCTTATCACAGTCTACTTATAATTAATACTGTTTCATTTCACACATTACTATTCACACTTCATAAATCTAAGAAACTAATAAGAGTACAACTTCATTTTCTTCCCCATCCTTTGTACTATTGTCATAATTTTAATTTTATATATATATATATATATAATAAACCCCACCTTATAATGTTATTACATTTGCTTTAAACGGACATTTGTCTTTTAAGGTAATTAAGGAAAAAGCTAGTGTTTTAAATTTACATGTTTACTTTTTTTTTTAGCACTGCCATTTCTTCCTGTAAATCTGTTTCCTCTGGTGTCATTTCTCTTCAGCTTAAGAACTCTATTTAGAGTTTCTGGTGGTGAAAGTCTGCTGGCTTTTAATTCTTTCAATGTTTAATAATCTAAAATCTCTTCATTTCATCCTCACTTTTGAAGAACATTTTGATGGACATAACAGTCTTGGATTATAGTTCTTTTCTTTCTTCATCCATGTCATTCTGTGGTTGGTTGATTGTTTCTAATGAAAAGACAGCTGTCATTTGTGTCATTGTTCCCCTGCATTTATTTTGCCATTTTGCTCTGCCTGCTTTCAAAATTTTCTCTTTATTTTTGGTTTTCAGCAGTTCGACTATAATGTACTTATTTGTGGTTTTCATTGTATTTATCTGCTTGGGGGTTCATTTAGTTTCTTGGATTGGCAAGTTGATGCTTTTTGTTGTTGTCATTTGTTTTTACCACATTTGGAAAATTTTAAATCATTATTTCTTCAAAATATTTTTCCTTTCCATTCTCTCTCTTTGCTTTCTTGTGAGACTTGAATTACATTCATGTTAGACTGCTTAACATTGTCACACAGGTCATTGAGATTCTGTTCATGATTTAACAATTATTGTTTGGTCTCTTTTCTTCAGAGTGGAAATTTTTATAAATCTGTCTAGTTTATTGACTTTCTTCTGCCATCCTAAATTTGCTTTCAAGCAAGTAAAATTTTGATTTCTGATATTTTGTTTTCAGTTATAGAATTTTCACTTGTTTCCTTAACAGAACGTCTATTTCTCTGCTGAAATTTCACATCTGTTCACTCATAAAGATCATGTTTTCCTTTAAGTTCTTAAACATATTTTTAATATAGCTTTTAAAATCCTTGTCTGCTGATTCCAACATCTTGGTCATCTGAGGATCTTTTCTATCAAGTGCTTTTTTTATTTTAAAAAATTGTGCCATATTACTTGCTTATTTTTGTGTCTGGTAATTTTTTACTATATGCTGGTCATTGTAGATCATACACTTGAAGGAATCTGGATTATGTTTTCTTCCTTTAAAGAGTTTTGAGTTTTGTTCTGGCAGACAGTTAATTTACTGGTGGCTCTCCCTGATCGTATCAAGGCTTAGTTTTAGGCTTTGCTAGGGCCGGGTTGTGTTAGTTATCTATTGCTGTGTAACAAATTACCCCACAAAATAACACCTTAAAACAAAAGCATTTGTTGTTACATCATTTCCAAAGATCAGGAATCTGAGCGTGACTTAGCTCAATGGTTCTTGCTCAGAGTCTCTAAGGACGTTGCCATCCAGCTGTCGTTTGGAGGGTGCAGTCATCTAAGGCTCAATTATGGCTGCAGAGTGTGCTTGCAGACCTACTCATATGCTTGTTGGCAGGCCTCTGCTCATTGCTGACTGCTGGCTAGAAGCCTCTGCTCCTCCCACTTGGACCTCTCCATGGTAGGGAGGACTATACAAGGGTATGAACAAAAGGAGGTGAGCATTATTAGGGTTCATCTGGAAGGCTGGCTACCAGTTCCCACAGGGGTTTGGGGTAGCACTTACTCTAGGATGAGATTTCTTAACCTCAACACTATTGACATTTTGGGCTGGAAAATTCTTTGTGGTGGGGGGGCTGTCTTGTGCAATGTGGGATGGTTAGCCGTATGTCTGGTCCCTACCCACAAGATGGCAGGCAGTAGCACCTCCCCTGATGACAGTCAAAAATGTCTCCAGACATGGTCACAAGGGGAAAAAGCAGCCCACCCCCAAATCGAGAATGACTTCTCTAGGATGTGGGCCTTATTCATAAAATGTGGGTTATATAGCGGCTTGGCCGAATGTCTTAAAGATTGCTCTTCATTCCAGTTGGGCCAGAACCCCCATGTCTCCTAGCAGGGCATGAACTTTGGTATCTCAGTTCTGCCTCCAGCTGTGCATCATCTGCTCTCTGCTGGGTCTGTCAGTCTTCCCCTGCGCATGAGCCATCCAGCTCTCAGCCAGAAATCTGCAATCTCTCTCTACATAATTCCCTCCTCTGTGTCATCCACCTCTTTAAGTTTCAGGTGCTTCATCAGCCCAGAACTCTAACCTCTGCCTCAACTCAGTACCTGCATTCTCTCTGCTGGGCCTGCTGGGCTCGGCCTCCTTGCTGTGGTCAGGTGAGACTGTTCTAGGCTGGGAGTTTGGGTGTGCATGGGCTACCCAAATGTGCTTCCTTCTTTCAGGGGCTGGCTCTTGTCCAGTGCCTGATAACATTAGCTTTAAGTACTTTGCCCATTTTTAAAGCCATTGAAGGCAGAAGGACAAGGGTGGTGCCAATCACACCATCATGGCTGGAGAGAGAAATCCCCAACATCGTGTGTGTGTGTGTATGTGTGTGTGTGTGCGCGCGCGCATTTTAAAAGAACCAACTTTTTTTTTTTTTTTTTGAGATGGAGTCTCTCTCTGTCACACAGGCTGGACTGTAGTGGCTCGATCTTTGCTCACTGCAAGCTCCGCCTCCCGGGTTCACGTCATTCTCCTGCCTCAGCCTACCGAGTAGCTGGGACTACAGGTGCTTGCCACCATGCCCGGCTAATTTATTTTTGTATTTTTAGTAGAGATGGGGTTTCACCATGTTGGCTAGGATGGTCTCGATCTCCTGACCTTGTGATCCGCCTGCCTCAGCCTCCCAAAGTGCTGGGATTACAGGTGTGAGCCACCCCACCCGGCCAAGCCAACTTTTTTTAAAAAGGAAGATTTCGTTTAAAAGTTAGCCTCTCTGCCGCTCTCAAAAAATCCTGGCTGTCCCATGGGATTGCCCACCCCGTGGCAGCATGCGTCTGGCCTGACGGCTGCATTCACCTTCACACTTATGCTGCTATTCTCATTTCTACCTGACCAAGTCTCTCTACCCATGTCTGTTAGAATAATGCAAAGATATGTTGAGTGGGCAATAGATATGTTGAGTGGACAATAGATATGTTGAGTGGGCAATGTTATTTTCCTCACACGTGTCCCACCTCTAACCTCACTTGCTTCTGTCACCCACATTTGAGTTGGTGACCCCTTCTCCCCAGGCCTTGGGAGCACATGAAATCCTGGGAAGGATAACATCCTGGTGTCATCTGTCTTGTCCCTAAATACATTTTGGAGACTATTTGATTGAAGCCAGTGCATCTCTCACAGATTCACCAGGCTGGGGTTAACCACACGGCCATCACCAGGCAATTAAATAAACAGACTCGTCGAGGGGTTTGCTCTGATGTGGTTGTCTGAGCTCCATCAGAAGCTATTCATTTTCCTGAGGGCTCTGGCAGGACATCCTTTGGTAGCAAGCGACTGGAAGAAAACTCAAAGTGGCGCGAGACGGTGCTTCACACGTGTCAGGGTCATCATCTGGTTCCATTCCCACCCCGCCCTGTATGGTGCTCTGGAGAAGAAGGAGTAGCTCTACCCTAAACGGAGATCATGCGGCTTGTCCCGGGGCAGATGCTGTGCACAAAATCACACTGTCACCATTATTAGATCAGTAAAGGCAGGAGGAACCTGAAACTGGGCCTCTGGGGACTTGCAAATTCAAATCCCCAGAGGGGCCAGGAGTGAAACACGAATCAATCAGGTTAGATGCTGAACAAAAGGGAGTGGCGGGGTCTGTGGCCGCTGGAAAGCACATTCCCTGCTGAGGCAATCTGTTTCCAAAGGTTTAGACACCTGTGTTTACCTGTGGGTGGTCGTCAGCAGTGTCTCCTGGGGGATCAGTTACCTTGTCTGAGGCTGAGCACTGTGTCGGGGGGACTAGTTTCAGCAGCTCGGGATGTTTCCGGTGGATTTGGGAAGAGGGCGTGCCCCAGGGCAAAGAGCCCAAAGTGAGCCCCACAGTCTAGGCTTGATGGCCACTCTGAGCTGCCTCCAACCAAGTGGCCCTGCCCCTCACAGACCTTCTAGATCCAGCAGCCTGGGGACTGCTGTCTTCCAAGAGCTTTCCCCTTTGTCTATAGCTGGCCAGTGCTCAGTGAGGGCAGGGGCTGTGTGGGGAGGGAAGGGAAGCTCCGGGGCCAGCTCACAATTCTCCCTGCGCCAGCTCTTACCTGGGTTTCACTCTAGAGGACCTGATCCCACTCTCCCACCTGCAGGACACACTGAGGTTGCTGTTCTAGGTCCTGTAACAGTGTGGGGCTGGGGGAGAGGCAATGGCTCACCTGAGGCCATGGGGCTCACTGGACTCTGCCCCCTTGGCCACAACCAACAGGCCCTCTCCACCCTAGCAGCCACCTCCCCTCTGCATCAGGCAGAAATGCCCTCTCTTCCTGCAGTCTCATTTTAATTCTCCACACCCAAAGTCTTCTCCACTCCTGCACTGGGTCCCCAGCTAGGCTGAGGGTGGAGCTGGTGGCCCAGGCTGGTTCATTACCATCCTTACCTGACTGGTTACCTTACAGTGTCTACAGTTGGTTCCCTTAGATTTTTTTTTAGCTATTACTGAAAAAAAAGTGCACTCTTGGAAATTTAAATACATATATCTCAGCTTACTGCAACCTCCACCTCCTGAGTTCAAGCAATCCTCCCTGCCTCAGCCTCCCAAGTAGCTGGGATTACAGGCGCCTGCTATCATGCCTGGCTAATTTTTGTATTTTTAGTAGAGATGGGGTTTCACCATGTTGGCCAGGCTGGTCTTGAACTCCTGACCTGAGGTGATCTGCCCGCCTCGGCCTCCCAAAGTGCTGGGATTACACGCATGAGGCACTGTGCCTGGCCAATTTTAAAATATATTTTTAAGAATGCTGATATCAAGTATCTTCATAGATTGAGAAAACCACAGTTTGGTGCTTATATATGACTTTTAAAAACTCTCAGGAAACTAAGAGTAGACAGAAAGTTTCTTAACTTCATAATTGCTACACCCCAAAAGCCGACTGCACCAAGAATCCTGGCGAAGATGAATCTTCTCACTGTGAGCCCACATGGGCCCCACTACTAAGGGGGTGGACTAAGGCTCTGAGGGATGAAAGTGGCAGAAGACCCGTCAGGATCAGAAGGGAAAAGATAGGGCCTCATTCCTTGCAGATGATAACATCACATAAACCCATGGAATCAGCAGGCAAGATAACAGAACTAGCAGGGAGCTTAGGCAAGGCTGCTGGATATGTGGCCAACTCACCGGCCCACCAGCTTCTCTTTACACCCGTGACACAGCCAACTAAAACTAAGTCATGGTGTTTTCTGGACGGTGAACGCAGAGAGTGCTGGGAGGCAGCATGCCCGGGAGGAGAAGCAGGAGCTTCACCACGCCCAGCCCCGCCCTTGCTGTATTAGGCTGTTCTCTCTATTATTCATTCAATTTGGGCACTGGAAAGTACAGACATCTGGCTTCATAGTCTTGTAAGAGAATCAGTACTTACCATACTATTGCTCTTTCAAGTTTTGAAGTAACAGGAGAATTTCCCCTGGACTACAGATTTACACAGCTCTCTTCAAACAATCCACAAACAGCTGGTCTAAACCCTCCACTGGTCTTATCGATGATGAGACACTGGCAGCCAAATAAATTATCTTTACTGAAAAATGGAGTAAAGAAACATATATGGCAAATGTACCACAAAAATGTTAATATTTCAAAAATACTGTGAAGTGCTTCATAGGAACAAGTTATTAATGAAAAGTGACCAATACATTGAAAAAAAGGTCACCATTTGCAATGCTCGAAAACCTAAAACGCACCCTGGAATCCACATAACAAAGAACGCACGTGGTTTTTCTACAAAAATTGAACATTCCAGTAGAGAACATAGCTGGAGTCGTAGGCCGGGCGCGGTGGCTCACGCCTGTAATTCAAACACTTTGGGAGGCCGAGGCGGGCAGATCACGAGGTCAGGAGATTGAGACCATCCTGGCTAACACAGTGAAACCCCGTCTCTACTAAAAATACAAAAAATTAGCCGGGCGTGGTGGCAGGTGCCTATAGTCCCGGCTACTCGGGAGGCTGAGGCAGGAGAATGGCTGGAACCCGAGAGGCGGAGCTTGCAGTGAGCCGAGATCGTGCCACTGCACTCCAGCCAGGGCAACAGAACGAGACTCAGTCTCAAAAAAAAAAAAAAAAAAGAACACAGCTTGAGTCATTATTAAACGAAGAGATACTTTAATGTTACAGGTTCCCAACAGTACCAGATTCACCTATGCATTAAATGTAATCCTGATCAAAATTCCAGCTGGAATTGTCGAGGAGATGAATAAACTCACTGTGAATTTATGTGGAAGGATCAAGGTGTAAGACAAATGCTATAATCTGAATGTTTGTGTTCCCCCAGAATTCACATGCTACCACCTAGTCCCCGCTGTGATGGGATTAGGAAGTGGGGCTAGTAGAAACTAACCCAGTAGAAAAATGGGAAAGGAGAGGTATTTGGGAGGTGATGAGGTCATGAGGGTGCTGCCCTCCCGAATGGGACGAGTGCCCTTATACAAGAGGCCCAGAGAGCTGCCTTGCCTCCTCCACCACGTGGGGACACAGTGAGGAGGGCTATGAGGACGTGGCCTCACCAGACACTGAAACTGCCGGCACCTTGGCCAGGCGCAGTGACTCACTCCTGTAATCCCAGCACTTTGGGAGGCTGAGGCGAGCAGATCACCTGAGATCTGGAGTTCGAGACCAGCCTGCCAACATGGTAAAACCCCATCTCTACTAAAAATACAAAAATTAGCCAGGTGTGATGGCACATGCTTGTAATCCCAGCTACTTGGGAGGCTGAGGCAGGAGAATTGCATGAACCTGGGAGGCAGAGCTTGCAGTGAGCCGAAATCGCGCCACTGCACTCCAGCCTGGGTGACAAAGCAAGACTCTGAAAAAAAAAAAAAAAGTAAAATAAAATAAAATAAAAAGAAACTGCCAGCACCTTGATCTCGGACTTGCCAGCCTCCAGAACTATGAGCAACAATTTTTTGCTGTAGGCTAGGCACAGTTGCTTATATCTGCAATCCCAGAACTTTGGAAGGCCAAGGCAGGCGGATCACTCGAGCCCAGGGGTTGGATACTAGCCTGGGCAACATGGCGAAACCGTGTCTCTACAAAAAAAAAAAAAAAATTAAAAAATTAAAAAATTAGCCAGGCATGATGGGACGTGCTTGTAGTCCCAGCTACTTAAGAGGTTGAGGTGGGAGAATCGCTTGAGCCCAGGACGCCAAGATTGCAGTGAGCAAAGATCGTGCCACTGCACTCCAGCCTGGGCCACAGAGTGAGACTGTCTCAAAAAAAAAAAAAGAAAGAAAAAAAGAAAAATTTCTGTTGTTTATTAGCTAACCTGTTTATGGTACTTTTTAAATAGCAGCTCAAATGGCCTAACACAAAAAACTAAGTCAATTTTGAACCACAGAGCAGAGAAGGGGCAGGGCAACTCCTGAGCAGGCGCCATTGTGTGTTGCAGAGGCCGTGGTCCTGGGAACAGCATAGGCCAGGCGTCAGGACCATGGAACAGAGAGATCAAAACAGACCTGGGGTAGACAGGAACTCGATAAAGGTGGCAGCACAAAGGGAAAGGGCAAGGCTGGTTGTTTAGTGAATGAAGCTGGGAAAACTGGCTCCCTTTGAAGCCGGACTTCCACTTCACCCCAGTATTCCAGGTGGTCCCCAGCTGGATTAAAGGCCTACGGATGGAAGGGAAAGCTTCAGAGCTGATCAGTGAATACTCAGGATAACATCTTTGTGACCTATAGCGGGGGAAAGTTTTCTTAAGCAAAACTCCCCACATGCAAACCTGGGCTGAAAAAAGAATGGATTTGGCTAAATCAAAATCAAGGCTATCTGTTTAGTAAAGAACACCACAGCCCGGCCGGGCGCGGTGGCTCACGCCTGTAATTCCAGCACTTTGGGAGGCTGAGGCGGGCGGATCATGAGGTCGGGAGATCGAGACCGTCCTGGCTAACATGGGGAAACCCTGTCTCTAGTAAAAATACAAAAAATTAATCCGGGCGTGGTGGTGGGCGCCTGTAGTCCCAGCTACTCGGGAGGCTGAGGCAGGAGAATGGCGTGAACCCGGGAGGCGGAGCTTGCAGTGACCTGAGATCGCACGCTGCACTCCAGCCTGGGCGACAGAGTGAGACTCCATCTCAAAAAAAAAAAAAAAAGAACACCACAGCCCCACGCCAACAGAAGGCAGACTGGGAGGAGATGCTTGTGACGCCTACAAATGCTAAGGGATTACTATTAGAATATAGAAAGAGCTCCTGCTGATCAATACCAAGAGACGGGCAACTCAGTAGAGAAATGAGAAAGGAGAGGATGAGGTGGTTTTCAGAAATGGATGCCCAAATGGCTAGCAAGTGTTCGAAGAGACTCAAACACATCCGTGGGCAAAGAAATGCAAATTAAAGCAACAGTGAGATGCCACTGTCCATCCAGCAGGGTGGTGATGTTGAGAAGGTGGGTGGTTCCAAATAGTAACGTGGATGTGTGCCAGAACATCAGGCACAACTGACGGGAACGTTCCTCTGGGCAATTGGGCACCATTTAGCAAGACTGAGTGTGCATGCGCCCTCTGACCCAGCAATGCTAGAGAGGTGATCACAGGATGCCTGAGGGAGTGTGCAGAGCTATGCTTTGTATGTGTGGCATTGATTCTGAGGGCAGGGCTGGAGATGGACTCTGGGTTCACTGCCAGGTTCAAGGTGGATGCAAGCTGCGGTGTACTATGAAATACACAGGGGAGGAAACACTGAATCTGCTGTTCTATAGTTCTACAGACAGAGCTCAAAAGCAACGATACAACAGAAAAGTGAAATGGAAGAGAGTCAGAGCACGACATTGTTTGTGCAAGTCAACAACACGCACGCAGTGGTGCTCCGAGTACTTCACAGGGAAGCATGCGTCTTTAAGGAGACCAGACTTAGAGTAAGCACCTTTAGAGGTCATGGGAGGGATGATATGAGAAGACGGGAAAAATTAAGTAGAAAAAAAGAAGTCAGAGGTGTCTGTGAACACACATCTGTGTTAACAAAAGCTGTGATCCGAGGAGTATGGTTTCAGCACAAATCTCTGCAGCAGAGGTCCAAAGAAATCCATGAATCATCAAGCAAGTTCCAGATTTGCAACTGAATTTACAAGGTCATTTCTTTCTATATGGGGAAGCCATTAAATAAATGTAGATGGGAAAACTGGATTTTAATCTAGAGAAAAAGAAATTTTAATCCATATCATATCCCAGACATCACGATGAATTCCTGATGATTTAAAAGGTAATTTTAAAAATTACAAGGAAAAGTAGTTGCATGTCATCTCAACTCTGGAAGAAAGAGAACCATAGGCCACAGTTGTGAGGCCGAGACACAGCTGTTGAAAATGCTCGGCAGTGTCAGAAGCTACGCGTGGAGCAGTGAGTCGCGTGGAGCAGTGAGCCGCGTGGAGCAGTGAGTCGCGTGGAGCACTCAGCCATGTGGAGCAGTGAGTCTCGTGGAGCACTCAGCCACGTGGAGCAGTGAGTCTCGTGCAGCACTGAGCCGCGTGGAGCACTGAGCCGCGTGGAGCACTCAGCCATGTGGAGCAGTGAGCCTTGTGAAGGCTGTTCTTGCTATTGCTCATGGCCATCGCCTACTATTTCCACTTAACAGATGAGGCTCTTGGCCCTTGGTGAGGGAGGTAAGGACCTGGCCTGAAATCCTGGAGCAGCATGTGAACTGGTCTTGAGCCCAGGCCAGCAGTCTCAGAGCCTGTGCCTTGGCCCAGCCATGTGGCAGGGGCCCGGGTAAGAGCCACATAAAGGAATGGGACATAATCAAGAGAAAAGCAGCCACAGATGGGAAATAACAAGCTCCATAAAGATGATGGGGAGAACTAATATCAGTGTGAGGGCTTGTTAGGACTCGAATTCTCCCGAATAAAGTGTTCAAAGCAAGTGAAAACAGAGGTTGTTTAAAAGGAAACAAACCAAGCCAGGTGCAGTGGCTTACTCCTGTAATCCCAGCACTTTGGGAAGCCAAGGCAGGTGGATCACTTCAGGCCAGGAGTTCGAGACCAGCCTGGCCAACATGGAGAAACCCTGTCTCTACTAAAACTACAAAAAGTTGGCTGGGCGTGGTGGTGTGCACCTGTAATCCCAGCTACTTGGGAGGCTGAGGCTGGAGAATCGCTTGAGCCTGGGAGGCGGAGGTTGCAGTGAGCGGAGATTGTGCCACTGCACTCCAGCCTGGGTAACAGACCAGGACTCCATCTCAAAAATAAATAAATAAATAAAAATAAAAATAAAAAAAGGAAACACACCAAAAACCAGTGTCTAAAGAAGTGTTTCAGTTTGTAAGTCCTTAAAGATATGGCAACCAATAAGGCGTTATCACCTTGCACAGTTATTAAGTTATCAAAAAAAAAAAAAGATGCATGTTGTAAAATGCCACATTGGCAGAAGTATGAGGGACAGGCACATTCACGTACAGCGGGTGGGAGCCAAATGCATGTTCATCTGGACGGGTGAGCAAACGCCCCCCCGCAATGAATCGAAACACAACGGCTTTTCTCCCACCGGCCCCTTAAATGCATTTGGTTGGAGAAGGTGTTGCCCTCCCCATGTGAAAACTGGCCTGGTCTCAGCACCTTTCAGCTCATGCTCAAGCAAGAGGTTCTCACAGACACCATTCAGAAATAAGGACGTCCAGCTCATGAGAACGGCCTACACTCCAAATGTGCCTGCATGTCCCCTCATGGTGGGGCCGCCTTACTGTTTCTCCATCTGGAGCCCCACCTTGCCACCAGGTGGGCCGGCTTCCTGTCGGCCTGGCGGGTATGGGAAGCTGCCTCTCTCAAGGGGCCGCTCCATGGTTCCTCGAAGGTTTCCTGCTGGAGTTTTTCACCTGCAGATGCCGTGATGGGGCTGATGTGTTTCCTCTTCTTCAGGCCCCTCTGGTGTCCTCAGCCTCAGTTTTCTTCTGCAAGTTCATTGCATGCAGCCCCCTCGTGGAGTCCTCATATCTGCTTAGGCTGAGGGCCCCAGGAGCATCCTACATCCTCAGCCCCACGGGACTCCGGGAGGCAGGCAGGCCGCGCACAGTGCCGCAGTTGATTCACAGTCTGCTCCCACGGCGACGACTCGGCTGACACTGGCTCCCATGTGATCAGCAGACCCCAGCCCTCAGTGTACAGGGCCTCTGAGTGACACCATGGAAGCGCTCTCAGGAGGCTAGAGGTGAGGGAGGTCGCACCTCACGCTTCCTCCTTGGAAGGGGAGCATGCACAGCATAGCAAAGGCTCTCTCCAAATAAATGCACCCTAAACTCTTTTCTTCAGAATCCTCTTGTACACCTTGATATTCTCCTGGATGCTGAGGGGCTCAGTAGGAATTGGCATGCAGGCTGAACTTTGACGTGCTCACCTACTTTTCAATTTCACATTGCTTGCATCCTGGAGTGACCATTCACTCAGCTTATGTGTTTGAGCATTGGTGTGTGTTGGGCATTGGTGTGCGTTGGGCATTGGTGTGTGCTGGGCATTGGTGTGCGTTTGGGCATTGGTGTGTGTTGGGCATACAACACCAAGGTTCTGAGTATGCAAGGGTGCCTGAAAATAGTCTCTTTCTTGAGAATTCAAGGATGCAGATGGGACAGGGGTGGGCAAAGAAGACATCTGCCTTATGACCGCAAGGCGAGCTTCCTGGAATAGGTGCCACTGACTGCACGTGTGCCATGCTCAAGCCGAGGTGAGGCAGCAGCGTCCACTATGCATCTGCATTGTAAGCAACAGAAATCCACGTAAACTGGCTTCACCTCTAAAGGGAATTGATGGGCTCCTGTTCCTGACAAGTCCAGAGGTCATCTTGCTGGCTGCAGGTGAGGCTTGATCCAGCCATTCAAATGATGTCACCAAGAACCAGCTGCAGTCCTCCTCTGGGATTCTCTTGGTTCTGCTACTGGATTCATCCTTAGCCTGGTGCCCACCACAGAGGCAAGTAACTGCGCCATTGCAGCCATCCACCTTCACCCAGCTGCCTCCTGGAGAAGAGTGTTTTGTGTTCCCAAGGCACCCACGGGAGAGAGGGACTTTCCATCCCAGGAACTCCGAGGCTCACTCTGATTAGACCCACTAAAGTTGCTTGAGAAATCCCTGGGACCAGTGACATGCAATGCGATAACTGTCTTAAGTCCTAGTCTATGTCAGGAATCTAGGACAAGGATTGAATGTCCTGAATTTGACCACGAGTGTTCCTTGTTCTGGGAAAGAATGCACCAGACCCTGCATGATTGTTTGGGAAAATATGCACATCCACTTAGGAGGCAGTGGCAGCATGCAGAGGGGGCAGCAGAACAAGAACCAGGATGCAGGACAAGGACGGGGGCGGGGGGCACGAGATGGACACCGGATGCTCCCCAATCAAAGCTGCTCTGTGGGTTTCAGAAATGGGAACACCCGTCCCTTCAAGCATCCATAGTGTGTGAACTGTAGGACTGTAGGGTGAAGGTCATCCCAGAGCTCAGCATTGAAACCAGCCGGAAATTGTTCAGTTGGGGGAACTAGGGGAAAGGGAACAGTGGTGTGGAGGGCAGAGGCAGTGGTGGGAAGCCTGTGTGTGGCCGACGCATGCTTTTACGCTGTCATCACGGCCTTGCTTTCTATAGCAGGGATCTGAGAAGCAGGCAGGCAGCTGCTCTGCCCGAGACTGTCAGGAGTTGGTGGATGTGAATCCATGTCTGAAGCCCAAGCTCTCACTACTCTGCTGTCTCCCTGAGGGGTGCATGAAGGCCCCAGCCCAGCCAGTGACACAGAGGTTGGGAAGACCAGGGCGTGAAGCTTCTGTGCTTGGAGAACAGGAGGGCTTGTGGAGCTGTGGTTGATGGCGTGTCCAGGAAGCCTGGCCAGGGTGAGTAACAGGCCTTGTATGTCAGGCTAAGAAAGTTGCCCTTGACAGTGCGGGATGTGGGGAGCCATGGGCAGGTTTTCAGCAAGGACATAAAGAGATCAATTCCAGGCTTTGGAGAGAGCACCAGGGTGCTGGGTGCAGGGATAGGAGTTGGGGTGGGTACTGAGGGTGCCAGCCATGAGGACAATGGTGGCACCTGGAAGCATGCATCCCCAGGCTGTGGTGAGCAGCCCCGGGCGCCAGGCACTGGGCTGGGCACTGAATCCCCCTTACCACACTGACCTGCACTACTGAGCTATGGAGCTGGGGGTTGTCACACCGTCCAACGAATAGGGAAATGCAGGCTCCAGGTTCTGAGAGCAGGTGGAGTAAAGCACATCCACTGGAGGTGGCCCTGTGTGCCTGGCTCTGCGTCAGGCACTCGGGCCATAGAGCCTCACCCAGTCTCAGAGGACACCATGGCCTGTCTGCTGCTGCCCCTGGTGCTTCCTGGCATCACTGGCTGGAAAGGAGGCTTTGGGGCCTCTGCACATTTTCACCACCACCCCCCATCCTTTAATACCTCTTTCCTCCTCCATGGCTGGGCCTGGAGGATCTTTGTTTCCAGCTGGGGTCTGGCAACAGCCTCACCACGATGGCATGGCGGTGGGCCCGGCCTCTACCCGCTGCGCCACAGCTCCTGGCTCCTGGCTCCAGGTCATCTCTGCCCACAGCCAGTGTCTCTGGTGAGCCTGGGCAGGTGGGAGGCCGAAGCTGTGCCCCACTGGTTTGGATGCTGAGCTCTGGGGTGACCTGCACCCTGTAGTCCTACAGTTCACACGCTATGGATGCCTGAAGGGATGGGTGTCCCGTTTCTGAAACCCACAGAGCAGCCTTGATTGGGAGGCGTCCTGTGCCCATCTCGTGCCCCCCGTCCTTCTCCTGCGTCCAGGTTCTGGTTCTGCCGCCTCCTCCGCACGCTGCTCACCAGCCTGCTAAGTGGATGTGAATAAACAATCATGCAGGGTTTGGTGCATTCTTTCCTGGAACAAGGAAGACTTGTGGTCAAATTTAGGACATTCGATCCTTGTCTTGAATTCCTGACAAAAATCCTCCCAGGGTGACAGCTAAACCCTTAGGCTGGCTGAGTTCTGCGCCCCCATTTTTCCAGCCGCATTCGCAGCCCCTACACAGCTACACACCCCGGGCATCCAACACTGGCCCTCTCCCCACCAGGTCACGTGCTTTCACACCTGCCTGCCTTGGCACAGGTGCCCCACCAGAGCGGTGCCCTGCGGGGACTGAATGTGTCTGTGCTCCTCTGACTCTGCCGGCTGTTTCGGGCGCAGCAGCCTCCTCTAGGCACATCTCCCTTGCTCCCTGAGGGGCTTCTCTCTCAGTTATGTAAATGGCAGGAGACATTTTCCTGGTCCTGAGACAGGAGTGAGAAGATGGCTTTAAAACCTGCCTCACTGCTTGTGGATCTAGATGGTGCCTGGGGAGGAGTGGGCGGCTCTGGGTTAAATGTGTATAAAGACAGGGATGTTCTTCCTTCCAACGAGCCTGCTCTAGAAGGTCTCCCTGCCAGTGTCTCTGGATCTGGCCTGGTGGGTGCTGCCTCTGTGAGCAGCATTGCCCCTGCCTCCACCTGAGGGTCACCGTGGCTCCCTTATAGGGGTGACATGTGCTCCGGACTGCTTTGTGGATGGAGAGTGGGGCACAGGTCCATCGCCACCCACACTTTTTTTTTTTTGAGACAGAGTCTTGCTCTGTGGCCCAGGCTGGAGTGCAATGGCGCGATCTCAGCTCACAGCAACCTCCGTCTCCCAGGTTCACAAGCGATTCTCCTTCCTCAGCCTCCCAAGTAGCTGGGATTACAGGCATCCACCACCACGCCCGGCTAATTTTTTTTTTTTTTTTTTTGAGACAGAGTCTCGCTCTGTCACCCAGGCTGGAGTGCAGTGGCGCGATCTTGGCTCACTGCAAGCTCCACCTCCTGGGTTCACGCCATTCTCCTGCCTCAGCCTCCCGAGTAGCTGGGACTACAGGTGCCTGCGACCACGCCCGACTGATTTTTTTTTGTGTTTTTATTACAGACGGGGTTTCCCCGTGTTAGCCAAGATGGTCTCTATCTCCTGACCTCGTGATCTGCCCGCCTCGGCCTCCCAAAGTGCTGGGATTACAGGAGTGAGCCACTGCACCTGGCCATGCCTGGCTAATTTTTTATATTTTTAGTAGAGATGGGGTTTCACCATGTTGGCCAGGCTGGTCTTGAACTCCTGACCTCAGGTGATCCACCCACCTCAACCCCCACAAAGGGCTGGGATTACAGGTGTGAGCCACTGCACCCGGCCTGTCCACAATTCTGGTGGGACCTGGTGGTATAGACATGGCTGGTCTGGCTGGTAGCCACTCTCATGCAGTACAGCCCAGGAGGGGGCATTGGGCTGAGCTCCTCCCCCTTTCCCCTCCCCCAGCCGGACTCCTCCCTTTTTCCCCTCCTCTGGCTGGACTCCTCCCCTTCCCCCTCCCCCACTGAGATCCTTCCCCTTCCCCACCACCCCTGGCTGGGCTCCTCCTCCCCAGGGGCTGGAGTCCTCCCTCTTCCCCCTCCCCCAGTTGGACTCTTCCCCCTTCCCCCCTCCCCCAGTTGGACACTTCCCTCTCCCCCTCCCCTGAATGGACTCCTCCCCCTTCCCCCCTCCCCTGCTGAGCTCCTCCCCCTTTCCCCCTCTCCTGGCTGGACTCCTACCTCATTCCCCTCCCCCGCTGAGCTCCTCCCCCTTTTCTTCTCTCCCCCAGCTGGACTCCTCCCCCTTCTCCCATTCCCTGGCTGGGCTCCTCTTCCTTGGGACCCTCATAGCTTGATGAGAAGACAGTGCCCTCTTGGCCAGACCAGGACATTATTTGACAGTAGAGAAACTGGAGTGTAGACAAACACCATGGATGCTGTGTGGAAGAGTTGTTCCCAGCTGAAGATGTCCCTCCTCAGTGAAGCCCTGCCTGAGCGTCTCCGGTCCTTCTCAGCAGCCAGAGGCTTCTCAGCACTTCTGCGTTCCCATCTGGGTGGGAACTGCATGGCCTGTTTAAGCACAAGGAGGGGGAGTGTGGGGAAGGGGGAGCAGAGTGAGTGGGGAGGTCAGAAAGGCAGGCACTGGTTCATGTAGGGTGGTTGATACAGTTTGGATGTTTGTCCTCTCCAAATCTCATACTGAAATCTGACCCTCAATGCTGGAGGTGGGACCTGGTGGGAGGTGCTTGGGTGACATGGGCCAATCCCTCATGAATGGCCTGGTGCCCTCCCTGTGGTAATGAATTCCCATGAGATCTGATTGTTAGAAAGAGCCTAGGTAGCTCCTCTCTCTTGCTCCATCTGTCACTGTGGGACACCTCTGCTACCCTTCCCCTCCCACCAGGAGGGTAAGCTTCCTGAGGCCCTGACCCCAAGCAGATGCTGCTGCCATGCCTCCGGTACTGCCTGCAGAACTGTGGACCAAATAAACCTCTCTTCTTTATAAACGGCCCAGTCTCCGGCGTTCTTTTATGGCAACGCAAAACGTATAAGCACAATCTTGTGGAGAAACTTCCCTACCACGGCGGCCTTGGCAGTCGGTCCTGCTCCTGATGAGGTGATAGAGAACAGCACCTGAGATGATTAGAGGAGAGGGCCCTGACATCCTCTGTGCCCTCTGCCCTGGCATCCTCTGTGCCCTCTGCCCTGACATCCTGAGTCCTCTGCCCCGACGTCCTCTGTGCCCTCTGCCCCAACGTCCTCCGTGCCCTCTGCCCCGACGTCCTCTGAGTCCTCTGCCCTGACGTCCTGCGTGCTCTCTGCCCCAATGTCCTCTGAGTCCTCTGCCCCGACGTCCTCCGTGCCCTCTGCCCCGACGTCCTCTGTGCTCTCTGCCCCGATGTCCTCTGAGCTCTCTGCCCTGATGTCCTCTGAGTCCTCTGCCCCGACGTCCTCCGTGCCCTCTGTCCCGACGTCCTCTGTGCCTTCTGCCCTGACGTCCTCCAAGTCCTCTGCCCCAACGTCCTCCGTGCCCTCTGCCCTGACGTCCTCTGAGTCCTCTGCACCGACGTCCTCTGTGCCCTCTGCCCCAACGCCCTCTGAGTCCTCTGCCCTGACGTCCTCCTTGCTCTCTGCCCTGACGTACTCTGTGCTCTCTGCCCTGACGTCCTCCAAGTCCTCTGCCCTGACGTCCTCCAAGTCCTCTGCCCGGACGTCCTCCGTGCCCTCTGACCTGAAGTCGGGGCCGCCTGACTGGACCATGACTCTCCACCTATGCCTGGCTGCCGAACAGCGTGAGGGCACTTCTGAGGGGGCAGAGAGTCCCTTGATGGGCCTGCCGCAGCCCTGGGCCTGGTGTGTCTCCCTTTGTCCCTGCTGGCCTCATCCATCTGACTGCATGCCTTCTGTACCCTGTGTCCTGGCTCCCTGCCTCGGCCCCTCTCTTGCAGTGGGACAGGGCACACACCCTGGACCCCGACGCTGATTGGCTGGGTGCAGACCTCGTACCCCAACACCCACAGCCCTGCCCTGTTCCCAGCTCCCAGAACACACCCTGGTCTCCTTCCTAGGGATTGAGACTCAGAATATGCAGCGTCCTCGTGAGCCACCTAGATGTCCTACTCACCCAGGCCTGTGGGGCCCTGCTCTCAGGCACCCCTTGCCAGGGTGTCCTCCTGTGTGAAGGAGCCTGCCTGCTTGGGGTGTGGAGCCACCCCAGGCTCCAGCTTGTGAGCTGGTCCATGAAAATTTGGTGCCTTCCTGGAGAGAGAAGCCTGCCGGCTTGGTAAGTGGGCTCAATCATGTGTTCCCTGGGGAGCCCTCCAGAGTCTGTCTGAATTGGAGAGGGAGCTCAGGTTATGGGAACCCATCTTGGCGGCCTGGCAGAGCCGTGGGCGTTTGAATTAGGATTCTTGGCTGCAACTGTCAGAAGCTGGCTCAGACCAGCTGACGGGCTCTTAGAACCAAACTGTTGCTGCGTCCAAGGGGCCCCGGCAGTAGGCGCAGCATGTCCAGACCCTCTCTCGTCCACTTCTGGGGCCTGGCCCAGGCCAGCTTCTTCCCCTCTAGGCTCCCGACAGTGGCAGACCCTCGCTTCAGAGCCGCTCCTCCAAGAGGAAATGTGCCTCAAGCCTTAGGTCCAGTCGGAAAGCACTGGGGAAGGATGCTGATTGGTCCGGCTTGGGCCGAACGTCCAATCCTGCCGCAGGAGGTGAGGCACTGCATTTGATTGACAGCTCTCCGCCCTACCACTGCGAGAGTGCGCAGCGTCCCAAAGAGGGCGAGGGGTGGTGTGGACAGCTCTGTCCCTTATCGAGGGGGAGCACTGAGGTTCCTGGCATGTGGTCGAGACCCTCCTCACAGCTGTTCAGGTGTGGGACGGGAAGACAAAGAAGACCACTGGTCTCACAATTTGGGACACAGCAGAAGCCCACGCTCCTGGTGCCGGCGTTGACATGTGCTAGCAATGACGGTGCCCCCATAATGGACAGGCCCTGTGCCAGGCGCTTTAAATGAACAATACCGAATAGGCCTGAACCTTCCCACAGGTATGACTATTCCTATTTTTAATAGGAGGAAACTGAGGCTCAGAGACTTAAAGTGACTGTAAGAGGCCAAAAAATTACCAGCCTGGCAGAGCTATAGCTGAGTCAGGGTCTGCCCAGCTCCAAAACCTGGGCCCTTCCTCCAAAAACGCTGCCACCCACAGACAAGGCCAAATAGAAAGAGAAGACTCTTCAAAATACAATGTGATGGAAACAAAACAACACACCGTAAATGTAAAACAAGAAAAATATGCCAGATGAAATGAGCCAACAGCTTCCTCAATCAATGGGCGAGATAAAACAGGAAAGGAGCTACAAAGATTTCTGAAAAGTTAAAAGTCGGGGAGTAAAGAGCACTAGCAACGGAGCAAACAAGGCCAAGGAAACTGAAATAGGGGACCTGAACATACGTGAGCCCAGAGCCTCGGGAAGGGCTGGAGCTGTGCGGTCTCCGGGAGTCTGGAGCTGGGCTCCGGCCTCCTGCTCCCCTTCCCCGGGGCCCAGGGCTGGCAGCCCCACACTGGCAAGGGGCTCAAGGAAGTTCTCACAGCCCGCCAGGATCCCTGGCTCTGGAATTGGGCACCCTGACCACACAAGCTGATGACACAGGGAGCGGATACACTGGGCTCTTGCCCAGGTCTGGGTTCAGTGCCCACTTCTGTAGCTGATCTAGGTGAATGAGGATGATGCTTTCCTGGTTCAACTACTTGGCATCTCCATGAAGGATCCTGCACATGCATCTGCTTACAGACTCCTGTCAAATCATAACTGCTCACATGGCAGACAGGCTCCCTGCAGTTTTCCCTGATCTAAGAGGATTAACTAGGAGGGCAGCAGACCTGGGGGCCTGTGGTGGTGGGTGGGGTCTTTAACCTGGATCCCATTCTCAGCCTCCCCCACAGGGGTCTGTCTCTGGCCCAGGAGGCCTGCCCAGCCCATACCAGCCTGGGTGGAGGCTGCAGGTTCAGTGGCTCCTGAGTCAAGCTGGGACTAGCTGGGCTGTGGTGTCTGGGAGCAGTATCTTCTCAGGAGCTTGCAGACAAGGGGATGTGCGTGTTGTTGCTGGGATACCGTAGCACTCTGGGAAGCTTGGCCCAGCTGCTCACTGGCAATGGCATTGATTTTTACCAAAGGGCTGTGCCATCTGTGTGGCCCTGCGGCTCCTGTGTCTGGGCAGGCCTGGGGCCTGGGGAGCAGGGGCTGGTTGCCAGGGGGCCAGAGAGCTCAGCTCTGAGCTGAGCATTGAAAGGGAGGCCTCTGCGGGGCTACAGTCCTTGGAGGGCAGCTCCTCTCTGGCCACCACTCCCTCACTCAGCACTCTCTCTGTGCCAGGCATTGGGAATGGTGCAATCAACTGCTATCCTCACGGGGCACAGCTTCTAGCTGGGGACACCAATGAGGCACACACAAGCCAGTGTAGGTGCTGGCGACCTTGGACAATTGTTGTCATGGCTCTGAGCCTTAGTTTTTTCATCTGTAACATGAGGATGGTTAAAATAGTTCCCACCTCTGAGGGATGTTGAGAGAAATGAGTGAGTTAAAGCATTTAGAATACTGCCTCACATGTGGTCAGTGCTGGACCAGTGTAATGGGGCGAATTGTGTTCCCCTACAATTCAGCGGTTGAAGTCCTACCACCAGTAGCTCTGAGTGTGCATAGATTAGGAGATAGGAACTTACGAAGTCATTAAATTCAAATGAGGTTACTCATCCAATATGACTGATGTCTTTATAAGAAGAGGAGTTTAGGACACAGACACACAGGGACAACCATGTGTGGAAGCTAGGGGAAGGCGGCCACCTGCAAGCCAAGGAGAGAGGGCTTGCAAGAAACCAACTCTGCCAACACCTTGAACTCGGACTTGCAGCCTCCAGGACTGCTAGACAATGGTTCTGCTGTTCTAGTCCCATAGTCCTTGCGGCTCTGTGATGGGAGCCCAGCTGATGAACACACACAGTCGTGCGGCTCTGTGACGGGAGCCCAGCTGATGAACACACACAGTCGTGTGGCTCTGTGTTGGGAGCCCAGCTGATGAACACAAGTGCTAGGCATCGTTGTTAGGTCCCGGGTGCTCAGCCCAAGGCAGCACAGCAGGCACTGGGAAGTCCGGGGTCTGAATCCTCAAGAGGAGATGACCAGACAGGGTGGCTGCAGAGAGAGCGAACGTCCTCCGGAGCAGAGGGCCCTCTGTGTCGAGGGAGTGGCATGGAGCTGCTCCCTGGGGAAGAGGGGGACTCTGCCGTTGCTGGGTGTGGATGGGGTCACCTGGAGGTGGCTCTGCACCTCGCGCTCCTTCCTGGCGTGGGAGTGGAGCCAGTGTGCGGGTGGCGTGTGGGACCCCCTCTCGGTGGGGGCCCGGCCTGCTCAGTGGTGCTGTTGTCTGTGCCATGTCCATCGTTCCCGAGGTTTTGCTGCTACACAACACAGCAGGCACATTCGTGTACAGGCCCTCTCTTGGGTACATGGTCGAGGTAGAAAAATGGGCATGTGGATTGTGAATTTTAATAGGTTTTTCTTTTAGACTCATCTTTTTAATGACATCTTAAAGCAGGGCCCGTGGGGCCTCTGGGCTCAGCAGCTGTGATGGAGGAGGCCCCCAAAGTCCCCCAAGGCAGGTTACTGCAGGAAGGCGCTATGAGGGGGCTCTGAGCTCCTTCTCCATTTCTTCCTATAATATCAATGGGGCTGGGATGGGGGTAGTGCTGAGGGTGAGGCAGACAGGAGACCACCTCTTCCAGCATATGGATAGAAGAAATGAGAAGGGGGCTGGGGGCTAAGAACTGGGAAAAGAGAAACTGCTAAGCTAGGGTCTGTCCCCCACACCTCTAAAATCTGCAGCCAGCACCTGGGAGCCCCACGTTCAAGCCCCCAGCTCTTCTCCCGTCCAGCTGGTGCCAAGCTGATAATCGCCACAGTGGATGGGTGAACCCATGCTGCTTTTTTTCAATGATCTTCCTGCATCAGACCTGGAGCTCCAAGGCAGTGAAATTGGGGATCTCCAGCTTGACCCTCATAGGAGGCCAGCTCCCATCTCCTTCTCCACACTGGGGAGGCTAAACAGAGCAGGCACACATCAGGTGCTCCTTGCCCCTGGGGAAGGCCGTGTGACTCCAGATGACTCCAAAGAAATGTAACCAGACAATTGTCCCTGATCTCTATTCCCTCAGCAGCGCTGGAGAGGACCCTTTTCCTGAGGCCGGGCACTGCTGTCCCAGTTGAGGAGGGACAAATGCCAGGGTTTCGTGTGCACATCCCTGGAGAGGGGTTGGGGCCCCACATCTCTGCCAGGGTTTACGGCCTCTCCTTCTCTTGAATGGATAGGATTGGGCTAGAAATCAGAGGGGACCTGGGGGTGCCACAGGATTGGGCTCCGGGCCTAGGCCTGGGAGAATGAGATGGGGCCTGCAGATGGGGGTTAAAGGCCCCTCCCCCAGCCCAGGAACGGCAAAGGAGAAGTTGGAGAAGAAGAGCAATAATTGAACGCCTGTTATGTATGGACGCTGTGCCAGGCACTGGCAGCCGAGATCTGGGTGAGACCCCTCATGCCCCATCTGGGGGGCACACAGGGGCTTCCTCAAGGTCTGCACAGAAGGTGATGGGCGCTGAGATAGCTGTGAGCCTAGTCCTTTGTGTGTGGGGACAGAGCGAAGGCGGCTTTGGGAGGGGCTGGCCCCTGCACTGGTCTTGCGGGAGTGAGAGGCAGGAGGCCGGCTCCGCTTTGGCTTTGGCTTGCTGCATCGAGGGCTTCCTCTCCAGCCTCAGCCTTAGAGTCACCTGGAGCTGTGAGCCCAGGATGCCAGGAGCTCAGGGCTGGATTCCATGTGATCCAGGTTCCCAAGGGCTCCTCTCACCCATATGCTGCGAGTGGATGTCGGGAAGTGGAGGGTGCGTGCTGGAGCTGTTGAGGATCACCCTGTCCTTGTGCCCTCACTGCATATCCTCCCCATGGCTGTGGGGTGGCACTGGATCTCTGGCCAGGCCAGGTACAGGGCTGGGCCTAGCATAGCAGGGGCACAGGAAGGAGCCCCTGACTCCAGCCAGGGGAGGCACGAGGCTGTGCCTGGGGAGAGGTGCACGGGGTACAACAGAGGCCCACTGGGACCAGTGGCTCCAGGCAGAACCTGGCACATCTGCTCCTTAGCTCATCCATCTGTTCTGCAGACGAGTGTGTGGCCAGGGTGAGGAGGCGGGAGACAAGGCCTGGTTTGGGATTCCCAGCAGTGTCCCTGAGAGTTGGGCCTGAAGAACCTCAGGCCTGTCTTCCCCGAGGCAAGCCACGATCCCAGAGCACAGAAGAGGAGCGGATCACCTCCTGCAGAGCCACAAGGGTGGCTTGGAGATAGCTGCTGCAGGCAGGCCTGGGAACGGCCGTGGAGAAGAGAAAGGCCCAGGTCCTGGCTGGAGGTGGTGACGAGGCATAGCCTGGGACATTCCGTGAGTCCAAGTCCCACCCTCAACCTTGAGAATGAGGCTGGCGGTGCTGTTCCTGGCCAGTCTTGCATCCTCTGCACACACCCGGGGCCGCCTCATCCTCTTTCTCTGCTGCGGGCTGCAGCCTCCTCTCCCAAGTCTGTGCTCTGCTGGGTGCGGGGACCCTGCCTGGGGATGTGGACAGAGGAGGGCAGGTCCCTAAAATACCCAGGCTTTTTGCCCAGCGGGATCCATTAACCTTTTCACTAATGATCTGGACAGCTGAGGAGGCCATCGCCATGAGAGCCTGAGTCAGCAAAGGAGAGCGTTCCGAGGGCTCATTAGAGGAGAAATGCCAAGAGGTGCTGGGCTGGCAGGAAGCAGGGCAGGGGTTCGAGGGTGGGGCTGAAAGCCCTCCTCCCTGGGAGGACCTGGCATCTCGGGCCAGCCTGGAGGCCCCTGGAGAACGCTTGGCCCCGTAGCTAACCTGTCTAGTCTGCTGACCTCATCCATGTCCTCACCCGGCCTGGCCCTTCAGTAATAAACAGTCTCACAGCCACTTTACATCTCAAATGCCATCGCTTTTCAACCCCTTTAGACTTCTAGTCCACAGTATTCGTCACCATCTCAACTGTGCTCCGTGGCTTGCTGGGCGCTCACAGGCTGGGGCTGCCGTGGAGAGGCGGTCTGCAGCCCACGGGTTCCTGGAGCCACTGCCCAGAGCTTCCTGGGCTCTGCACTCCTTGCTGTGCGGGGAGGGGCGGGTTGGGGGAGTCTTCAGGCGGCTGGCTGCTGCCAGCTCCCCTCTGTGTGGCAGGCACCTTCTGCGGCAGGACCCCATGTGAAAAAACCCTGGGCAGGGTGCCCCACGTCAGCCTCCCACCTGGCCCGTGGGACCCCCGTGCCTTGGACCTGCTGCTGGAAGGAGGTCACCACCCCTGCACACTCTGTGGCCTCCTGATCTCCCAGGCAGGACGCAGCCGCCATTACCGCGACACCTTCTCCTGGTCTTTCAACAGGAGGAGTGAGCAGGACCTTTTCCTTTGGTCGAATGGGGCAGAGGGAAGGGGAAGAGATGAGGACACCTTTTAGAATCCTGGCCTGGGCACCTGGGACGTGTGGCATTCCTGTCACGCAGAGGCCTGGAGGAAGGGGTGGCAAGCAGTCCCCTGACCCCAGCCTCATGGCCCAAGTCACGCAGAGGCCAAGCTCTCACCAGCCCTCTCTTTAAGGTTCCGCACATTCACCACCCGAAGTGGGCCCCAGGGTCAGGGAACGAGTGCTTGGGAATCTCTGATTCTCCACAGGATTCCCCCTGGGACCCCCACAGCCTTTAATATTGTTCGTGAATTAATGTTTATAGAAGGGGCTGCTAGCGCAGGCTTTTGCTGACCACTCAGAAGATGCTAGAACTGAAAGGACTGAGATCAACTGGGCCAGCTCCCTGAAGCTAAAGATAGGGAAACCGAGGCCCAGAGGGGCAGGGGCGCTCCTGAGATGATGGTCAGATGATGACCGAGCTGGGTTAGAATGGAAACCCTAGAGAGTGCCTTAGTATAAGCCCGGCTGTCCCATTTAAAGGCATCTACGTGGAGGTCTTAGGCCACACCCTTGTCCTGTGCACAACCCCTGGCCACTGCCCATCCTCTCCCCCAATCTCTGGGCACGCTCTGGACTCCCCTCAAACCCAGCTTGAGCCCTCTCAGAGCCCCTCAGCTTCCACCTGGCTGTTCTGCACTGCTCTCCTCCCCTTCTCCAGCCTAAGCCATCTCATCCATACTCAGAGTGCCTGGCCTCAGGAAAGCTTTCCGCAACCCAGGCTCCATCCGGTGCCTCAGCGGCCTGTCAAACAAAAGCAACAGTGCTCAGCCTCACACCTTAGGGTCAGGAGGTGCAAATGAAAACAGTGAGGCACTCTGTGCAGGAGTGAGCGTAGCAAAGACCAGAGAGAGCAGCGGCAGACTGAGCGAGCAGGGAGGCAGAGACGCGCCCCCATGGGATCTCACTGACAGGGGAGTGGCTCAATCCCATCGAAGACTGGCCGGCAATATCTGTTCAGCTTAAAAGACACATTAGCTTGAACCCACAATCCCACTCTAGGGATTTTATCCTACAGAAATGAGAGCACCAGTGTACAAAGAAGCAAGGATGCTTACTACAAGATTGCTGGTAGACACACAGACACACGCACAACCTGCAAACAACCTACAAATGTCAATAAAAAATATGGGAGTGGCTGAACACATCACAGCTATGGGCTTTTAAGCACCTGCTGGAGAAGGCAGTAGATCTCAGGCTACCATCCTCAATAGACGGCCGCGACGTGTCAGGAAGTGAGAACTGTTGGCTGCTGATACCTATGGAATGATTCCATTTTTGACCAAAAGACCCCTCCACAGTTGCTCACATGTCCATGAATGTGGTTTGTGTCTCAGCCTGGGGTTACCAGGAGGTAAGGGCGGGGCAGTGTCTTAGTGTTGCTCTGAAGGAATTCCAGAGGCTGGGTAGTTTATAAAGAAAAGAAGTTTATCTGGCTCGGAGGTTGACTTGATGTCTGGAAAGTTCAGATTTGGGCATCTGGGGAGGGCCTCCGGCTGCTTCCACTCATGGAGGAAGGTGGAGGGGAGCTGGTGTGTGCAGACCACATGGTGAGTGAGAAGCAGGAGAGACAGGGGAGGTGCCAGGCTCTCACAAGAACTAAAAGAGCAGGAGCTCACTCACCCTGCCCCACACAGGGAGGGAATTCATGGGGACGGGTGCGGGGGCCGGGGTGTCCCTCATGAGTAGAAAACCCTAATAGAAAGATTTCTTTTTTTTGTTTTTTTTTTTTGTTTTAGTAGAGACAGGGGTTCTCCATGTTGGTCAGGTTGGTCTCGAACACCCAACCTCAGGTGATCCACCTGCTTTGGCCTCACAAAGTCCAGGGATTACAGGCGTGAACCACTGCGCCCGGCCAGAAAGATTTCTATTCATGAGGGACACCTGCCCCATGACCCAACACCTCCCTTACGCCTCACCTCCAACATTGACACCAAATCTTAACATGAGATTTGGAGGTGATAAAAGGCCAGCCTACAGCAGGTATAGAGAAAGGCACATGGGGTAGTGGCTCTGAGGGAGACGAGGGAGCCCCCAGGTTGGAGTTCTGAGACTGGACTCTGAAAAGAAGTGGGTGCAGCCACTGGGGCTGGGGTTGGAGGCCAGGGTGGGCCTGGCACCTGGCTGACCTGAGCCAGCTTGCCCTATAGGCCCTGGCCTCTCCACTAGGCCTGGGGTGGTCCTGGAGCAGGGTGGGCTGGCTGGGGTGGTGTGTGGGAGGGAGGAGGCACAGGCCGGAAGCAGGCAAAGCATTTCCACCTTCACCTCCAGCCCCGATTTCCCCGGGGCTGTTGAGTTGGTGTTTCTTGGGATAACAAGCCATGCTGACATAGGACCCAGTGGAAATATGCAATTACCTTGTTAGTTTGACCATTGCATGGACTAAACTGTGCTTCATCCACCCAGATGATGAAACCCTAGCCCCAGTGTGACTGTTTGGAGATAGTCTTTAAGGAGGTGATTAAGGTTAAGTGGGGTCATAAGGGTGTGGCCCTCATCTAATAGAACTCTTGTCCTTATAAAAGAGGGGGCAGTGTGATGGCTCACACCTGGAATCCCAGAACTTTGGGAGGCCAAGGTGGGAGGTAAGATCCCTTGAGCCCAGGAGTTTGAGACCAGCCTGGGCAACACAGTGAGACTCTGACTGTACAAAAAAAAAAAAAAAATTAGCCAAGCATGGCGGTGTGCAACTATAGTCCTGGCTACTCGGGAGGCTGAGGTAGGAGGATCACTTGAGCCCAGGAGGTCGAGGGTGCAGTGAGCCGTGTTCGTGCCACTGCACTTCAGTGTGGGTGACAGAGTGAGACCCTGTCTCAGAAATAAATAGATAAACAAATAAAAGGGGAAAAGACACCAGAGTGCATGCTTGAGCTAAGGCTCTTTCCCTCTCTCTCCCCCTCCGTCTCTCCCTCCCTCTCCCCCTCCGTCTCTCCCTCCCTCTCCCCCTCCGTCTCTCCCTCCCTCTCCCCCTCCGTCTCTCCCTCCCTCTCCCCCTCCGTCTCTCCCTCCCTCTCCCCCTCCGTCTCTCCCTCCCTCTCCCCCTCCGTCTCTCCCTCTCTCTCCCCCTCCGTCTCTCCCTCTCTCTCCCCCTCCGTCTCTCCCTCCCTCTCCCCCTCCGTCTCTCCCTCCCTCTCCCCCTCCGTCTCTCCCTCCCTCTCCCCCTCCGTCTCTCCCTCCCTCTCCCCCTCCGTGTCTCCCTCCCTCTCCCCCTCCGTCTCTCCCTCTCTCTCCCCCTCCATCTCTCTCTCTCTCTCTCTTCTTTCTTGCACAGAGAAGAGGTTGTGTGAAGACATAGTGAGATGTGTCTACAAGCCAGAGAGGCCTCACCAGGAGCCGACCATGCAAGCACGCTGGTCCCAGATTTTCAGCCTCCAGAGCTGTGAGAAAATAAATTTCCGTTGTTCAAGCCACACAGTGTGTGGTGTTTTTTAATGGCAACTCTTGACTAATAGAGCCATTAAACTGGACGATCCAGACTATAAGGATTAACTGCTTTTCTGACTTACTAGAGGCATTTTGAGTCAGCCATTAAAGTAGCATGGGAGACACTTACTATTTAGTAGCCACTCATGCTTTTCTGTGGGGCATGTAACTAGGGTGAAGCTAACCCAGCCCTTAGCTTTCGGGGGTGGATCGTTCGGCCAAATCCTGGCCCCTCAGTGAATTCTTGGCCATTAGATTGGTGCAAGGATGGGCCCCTGGCCCCATCTAGGCCCACTAGATACCTGGGACTCAATATGAGTTGTTGGGGAAGAAGCCTGTTTCCCCTCAGGGCTTGAGGTTCTGAGAATGTGAAGCTGGAGCCGTGGCAGCCCTGTTGGTATCATGAGGACATTTCTTGTTTGAGATGGGATCAACCCATAGGAAGAGGAACAGAGAGCTGGAGGGAAAGAAACTGGGTCCTGAGGACAACATTTCAGCTGTCCAAGGCCAAACTATCCCTGGATTTTTAATTCTGTGAAACAATAACTTCCCTTTTTGCCCAAGTCAGCCCGAGTCAGTTTCTGTCACTTGCCATATAACCATATTTAAGCCACCAGTTCTTATCCACATCTGAGCCCTTGCTTGGAACGGCCCTTTCACGGTCCTGAGACAGGCTGATACAGACAGAACCCCTCACTGATCTCGTGACTAGTTCTTGGCTCTCACCGGTGGCTTCCTGCCTTCCACCCCCAGAGCTGAAACATGGGTGGCAGGCAAGATTGTATCCGGGCACGGTGGCTCACGCCTGTAATCCCAGCACTTTGGGAGGCAGAGGCGGGCGGATCACGAGGTCAGGAGATCGAGACCATCCTGGCTGACACTGTGAAACCCCGTCTCTACTAAAAAATACAAAAAAAAAAATTAGCCGGGCGTGGTGGTGGGCGCCTGTAGTCCCAGCTACTCGGGAGGCTGAGGCGGGAGAATGGCGTGAACCCAGGAGGCGGAGGTTGCAGTGAGCTGAGATCGTGCCACTGCACTCCAGCACTCCAGCCTGGGCGATAGAGCCAGACTCCATCTCAAAAACAAAAACAAACAAACAAACAAAAAAACCGAAAACAAAAACCAACAAAAAAAGATTGTATCCAACCTCAAAGAGCTTTGCAAGAGGAGGACCTGTTGCGGGGAGGCGCATCCGAGCATTTTCCTCCAGGAAGGCAAGCTGAGCGCTGAGTCTCTGTGGCCTGACTTTAATTTAACTGACAACTTAAAAAATCAAAACCAGTGTCGGGGGGCGTTTAGAACGTCTGTCTTCCCTGTTTAATTTCACAGGGATCCTGTTATGGCTTTTAATACCATGTTTCATTTTAAAGAACTGGTTTCATCAAAGCGCGGCTTTCCTGTAACAGGGTCAGGTCCACCGAAGAAAGGCATGTTCATTAGGGAAAAGCGGCCCCTGGCTTGGGCTTAACTGTAGGTTCAGAGAACAGAACGGAAAGCCCACGCCCTCTGGCGATCTCTCACGGTCTGAAGGAGGCGCTATGCGGAAATGCGACTCGTTTCTGAGGAACATCACGCGTGCTCTCCCTCTCCAGTGCCTCAGGTTGTTACCTGTCACCGATGCCCTTCCTCGTTCTCGGCAGGCAGATCCCACCCTCCATCACCTGGCTCCCCTGTTCTGGGCGTGGCTGTGGAATGATGGTCTGCAAAGGTGTAAAGGTTGCCTCACTTGGAAAAGGTGTCTTTGAAGATGTGATTTGATGGATGATTTTGAGAGGAGAAGATTATCCTGGATTATCTAGGTGGGTGCTAAATTGGATAAATGTCCTTATGAGGAGGAGGCAGAGGGAGGTTTGACCCAGACACACACCCAGAAGAGGAGGCGGCGATGTGACCAGGGAGGCAGAGATGGGAGGGAAGCGCCCGTGAGCCAAGGAACGCCAGCAGCCCCAGGAGCTGGGCGAGGCAGGGAACAGATTCTCCCCAAAGCCTCTGGAGGGAGTGTGGCCCTGCAGACACCTGCTTTCTGCTCTCAGACTCACTTCGGACTTCTGCCCTCCAGAGCGGGGAGAGAATAAGTTTCTTTCGGTTTAAGCCCCGCTTAAACCAAGTTGGTGTTGATTTGTTACAGCAGCCACAGGAAGCTAATACAGAAGAGAAACCCATCTAAACTGTCATGCACAAATTGGGTCCTTCGGTGTTGAGAATGAGGGTGGTGCGGATTCCATGACATCCAGAGTGGGAAAGCGCGTGGAGCCTCTGGCGGGGCTGGAACTGGGGCAGGGGAGGCGCCAGCCCTTTCCCTGCTTCAGTCTTGCTTCCTCCTCTCTCTTCCTGGCTTCCTCCCCCACCATGGCTCCATTCTTCTCTATCCGCAAAGAAGGCGATGTGGGAGATGCACAGGGAACAGATACTTGCTTTGGTTCACATGATTTGGAATCATTTCACTTGTTACAAGAACCAGCACTTTCATAATGCGAAAACTGGCAAGTAATGAAACTTCAATGCAGGCTGTGCTGGGCTGCACTGCGGTTCCCCGGGCCTCCCCATCCCTATGTCCGTGCCCTCTGACACATGACTTTGCAGCTTCTCCCTCTAGGACAGGCTGGGCAGTGAGTTTTGCCTGGCCAGTGGTACGTGGGCGAAGTGACATTTTCTGGCAGCTTCTGACCTCACCCATGGGATGAGCTTCCCGTGGGAGCTGCTGCCCCCTCAGCCCGGGCCCCAGAACGCACACACAAAAACCGAGCTGTGAGCCTGAGAATACGTTCTTGCTGTTTGAGGTTGCCAAGTTTTAGGGTGGTTTATTATGCAGCGATATTATGGCAGTGGTGAACCGCTATGGAAACCGGTACCTAGAACAGAATTGGCTTTGAAACCAGAAACTGTTATAGGAGGCTGCAAAAATGATGGCCTGTGTTATGCAGTGGTGAGACATTTGCTAAAAACTGTCACTCGCAGTAAGTTGAAGGTTAGAAAAGGTACTTGGTACACTCACGGCTTTGGGCTGGGTGTGTCCAGGTAGGATGTTGAAGGCATGAGCTGGCCTCTGCTGCCCACAGTTGATATGGAACCACAAACAGGAGACATCTCCGGAAAACACTGGCTGCTTGTCAAGAAGAATTGAGAAGGAAAACAGAGCCTGGAAATTCTGGAACTTTCTGGGTTGGAAAATAAAACTATTTCTTTTCTCTTTTTTGTTTTTTGAGACAAGGTTTTGCTTTGTCTTCTAGGCTAGGGTGCAGTGGCATGACCACAGCTCACTGCAGCTTTGACCTCCCAGGCTCCAGCGATCAACCCACCCCAGCCTCCCGAGTAGCTGGGACTACAGGTGTGTGCCACCATGACTGGCTAATTTTTATTATTTTTAATTTTTTATAGAGACGGTGTCTTGCTGTATTGCCAGGGTTGGTCTTGAACTCCTGAACCCAAGGTATTCTCCCATCTTGGCCTCCCAAAGTGCTGGGATTACTGGTGTAAGCCACTGTGCCCAGCCAAGAAAACTATTTCTAATCTTCAATCTCTCCATCCAATAAAAGATTTCCCACTTAAGATACAGCCTGGAAGAAAATTCAAGTCAATGAAGATATAGCTTGGGGACAAAAATCAAATCAAAGACACAGCTATCACACCTTGTGTGAAGACCTCTGAAAGAATTAAATGATGCCCAGCAGTTACTAGAAAGATCAACGGTGGGTCCTGAAGCAGCTCAGGGGGCTCACAGTACCTGCAATTAAGTGTAGAGAAAGGCATGTCTTGTAATACATTGTGAATATGGCTTTTGGCACACAGCATCCAGTTTTGTTTTTTTTTTTGAGATGGAGTCTCTCTATGTCGCCCAGGCTGGAGTGCAGTGGCATGATCTCGGCTCACTGCAAGCTCTGCCTCCTGGCTTCATGCCATTCTCCCACCTCAGCCTCCCGAGTAGCTGGGACTACAGGTGCACGCCGCCACGCCCAGCTAATTTTTTTTTTTTTTGTATTTTTAGTAGAGACGGGGTTTCACCATGTTAGCCAGGATGGTCTCGATCTCTTGACCTCGTGATCTGCCCCCCTCGGCCTCCCAAAGTGCTGGGATTATAGGCGTGAGCCACCGCGCCAGGCTTACATCATTTTTGAGAGAGCTGTTTTGGCAAAAGCCCACCAGTCTGGACTAAAAGAGACTAACGGTATTTAATGTGGAAAAAAAAATTTGGGGGCCACTGACATTTTATGAACAAGACCCTTCAGCTGCCAGGAAGGGCATATTTTCCAGGGTCCTTCTCAGAGGTGACCAAGGAGAAGGATGGGAAAGGAAGGATCTCCTAGAGAGTAAACAGCCACAGAAAACAATGGATTGAGGCTCAAGTCCCAGAGGGTGAACCTGGAACCTCATCCCAGAACATTCTCGACCCCCAGGGGAGCAGCACCTGGCAACATTTTTCCAACAGGATTTAAGGATTGCTATGAACCAGTGACTGCTATGGGCTTCCTGTCCTTCCCTCCTTTGAATGGGAGTGTTGCTGGGGTGTGTGTGAGGTGTGGAAGGTAGGAGGGGTGAACATAACTTCTCCTTGTGTTCCACAGGTCTCTGGAGCAAGAGAAGCCACATCTGGATGTGATGTAGGATGGGGTATTCTGGACTTCAAGCTTGAATCATGAGTGGTTAAGGCTTTCAGGGTCTTAGGATGGAGTGAGTATATTTTGGGAGCAGGCGTGTCTTCGTCCATTTTGTGCTGCTGTAACTGAATACCAAGATTGCATAATTTACAAAGAACAGAAATTAATTCTCTCACTGTTCTGAAGGCAAGATCAAGGCACCAGCATTTGATGGGGGCTTTTTTGCTGTGTCCTCATGTGGAAGAAGAACAGAAGAGAGAGAACCGATTTTCACAAGCCCCTTTTATCACAGCTCACCCCTCAACACTGTTGCATTGGGGATTAAGTTTCCAACACATGAATTTTGTAGGGGACACATTCAAACCACAGCAGGAAGCCTCTTGAGTAATTGGGTCCAAGAGGACAGTCTGTAGTATATTGTCTTATTGTTTCCAATTCCTCACCCATCCTATATTAGAGCTGCCATAACGGATGATCACAAACTCAAATGACTTAAAACAATAGAAATCTACTCTCACAGTTCTGGAGGCCAGAAGTCTGAAATCAAGGTGACTCTCACAGTTCTGGAGGCCAGAAGTCTGTAATCAAGGTGCTGGCTCATTCTGGAGGCTTGGAGGGAGAGTCTGTTCCATGTGTCTCTTCTGGCTTCTGGTGACTGCTGGCTGTACTAATCAGCCTGGGCTGCCACTGAAATGTCATGGAGGGGCTTACACAACAGAAATGTATTCTCACAGTTCTGGAGGTGGGAAGTTCAAAATCAACATACCATTCAATTAAGTTCCTGGTGAGGGCTCTCTTCCCAGCTTGTAGCTGGCTGCCTTCTTGCTGTGTCCTCAGGTGTTGGAGAGAGCCAGAGTGAGAGCAAGAGAGAGAGGGAGAGGGAGGGAGGGAATGAGGGAGGGAGATAACCCTTCCTCTTCTTATAAGGACACCAGTCTTATTGGATTAGGGCCCCACCCCTATGACCTCATTTAACCTTAATCTCCTCCCAAAAGCCCTGTCTCCAGATACAGTCCCATTAGGGGTTAGGGCTTCAGTATGTGAATTTGAAGGGGGCACAGTTGAGGTCATAGCTCTGGCAACACTTGCTGTTCCTTGGCTGGTGGTGGCATCACTCTGATCTCTGCCTCTGTCACCATATGGCCTTCTGTCTGTGTATCTGTGTCTCTGCATCTCCACTTCTTAGAAAGACACCCATCATATTGGATTGGGGCCACTCTGATCCAGTGTGACCTCCTCTTAACTAATTACATCTGCAAAGAGCCCGTTTTCCAATGAGATCCCTTTCTAAGATTCCAGAAGGACATGCACTTTTGGAGGACCCTGCTCAATCCAGTACACACCCCTCTTCCACATCCACTGTTGTGTGACTTTGCAGCTTCTCCCTCTAGGATGAAGTGTCCCTCCTCACCCCACTCCCACTGGGCTGGGCGTGCATCTCTCCTGGCCAGTGGAACACAGGTGGAAGTGATGGTGTGCTGGATTTGAGCCTGGGCCTTAAGCATGAGGTCTTTATGCTCATCTTTCTCGAAGATTCTGACCTCCTCCATGAGATGGGCTTCCCCAGGAGCTGCTGTCCCAGCACTTTGGGCTCCACATGAGCTGACATGGAGCTGAGCTGCCCCAGCTACAGCCTGGACCGGCGGAGCTGTGACCGCAGGATGGCTCTTGTTCCCTGGGGTAGGTGGCAAGGTAGTTCTCCTGTGCCTATAGCTGATTGATACAGGTGAGAAGGGATCTGAGATGGATAGGCAGCCCCTTCTGAGCCCCTGGTCCCACTGCCCTGCTGGAGTGCAAGCCCTGTGTTGTCAGGACATTTTGTTTTATCAGTTTTATTTTCGCAGCCAAGAATCTAGATTTCTAATCTGAAAGCACCTAGTTTTTAACTTATGCATCTAATTCAAATTTTCAAAGTGACTGTGCTGTCCCAGCCAAACATGCCCATGGGCAGGATTCTGCCTGCAAACCTCCAGCTTGTGGCCTAGGGTGTGACCTGTCTGGCCCTGCAGGTCCCTCTGCTCAGCATCTTCCCCATCACAGGCCCAGCCATCCTGGGCAGATCCTGCTTCTGGGAAGAGAGTGGCCTCCCTTGTGCAGGTGACTTTGGCAGGACCAGCAGAAACCCAGGTTTCCTGTCAGGAGGAAGTGCTCAGCTTATCTCTGTGAAGGGTCGTGATAAGGCACGAGGAGGCAGGGGCTTGCCAGGATGTTGCCTTTCTGTGCCATATGGGACATCTCAGCTTACGTTGTTAAGAAATATTTGGCAAGAAGATGCACACAGAATTTCTGTAACGAATAGGATGGAGTTTTAAGGGTTACTACGAAAAAAAGAAAACTACTGGAGAAGAGGGAAGCCAAACACCACCAAGTTTGAAATCGATTTTATTGGACGAATGTCTCACTTTAAATTTAAATGGAGTCCAACTTCCTTTTCTCACCCAGACGTCGAGAAGGTGGCATTCAAAATGTTTACACTTGTTTCATCTGCCTTTTTGCTAAGTCCTGGTCCCCTACCTCCTTTCCCTCACTTCACATTTGTCGTTTCATCGCACACATATGCTCATCTTTATATTTACATATATATAATTTTTATATATGGCTTGTGAAATATGCCAGACGAGGGATGAAATAGTCCTGAAAACAGCTGGAAAATTATGCAACAGTGGGGAGATTGGGCACATGTACATTCTGTACTGCAAAGTTGCACAACAGACCAAGTTTGTTATAAGTGAGGCTGGGTGGTTTTTATTTTTTCTCTAGGACAACAGCTTGCCTGGTGGAGTAGGCCTCCTGCAGAAGGCATTTTCTTAGGAGCCTCAACTTCCCCAAGAAGAGGAGAGGGCGAGACTGGAGTTGTGCTGGCAGCACAGAGACAAGGGGGCACGGCAGGACTGCAGCCTGCAGAGGGGCTGGAGAAGCGGAGGCTGGCACCCAGTGGCCAGCGAGGCCCAGGTCCAAGTCCAGCGAGGTCGAGGTCTAGAGTACAGCAAGGCCAAGGTCCAAGGTCAGTGAGTCTAAGGTCCATGGTCAGTGAGGCTGAGACCCAGGGTCCAATGAGGCCAAGGTCCAGAGTCCAGTAAGGCCGAGATCCAGGGTCCAGGGAGGTCAAGGTCCAGGATCCTGTGATGCTGAGGCCCAGGGTCCAATGATTCTGAGGTCCAAGGTCCAGGGAGGCTGAGGCCAAAGGTCCAGTGAGGTCAAGGTCCAGGGTCCAATAAGGCCAGGGTCTATAGGGTCCAGTGAGGCTGAGGTCCAGGGTCCAGGGAGGCTGAGGTCCAAGGTCCAGTGAGGCTGAAGCCTAGGGTCCAGTGAGGCCAAGATCCAGGGTCCAGCAAGGCCAAGGTCGAAGGTCCAGTGAGACTGAGGTCTAGGGTCCAGGAAGGTCAAGATCCAAGGTCAGTGAGGCCAAGGTCCAGGGTCCAATAAGGTCATGGTCTAGGGTTTAGTGAGGCTGAGGTCCAAGGTCAAGCAAGGCCAGAGTCTGAGGCCCAGCAAGGCTGAAGTCTAGGGTCTAGCAAGGCCAAGATCCAGTGAGACTATGGTCCAGGGTTCAGTGAGGCCAAGGTCCACAGCCTGGTAAGGCCAAGGTCCAAGGTCCAGTGAGGCTGAGGCCCAGGGTTCTGCATGGCTGAGGTCCATGATCCAGCAAAGCTGACACCTGGTCCTAGCGTGGCCACTGCTCAGTGAGATGGAGGACCAGGGTCCAGCCTGGGCAGAGGCTGAGACCTGGGACCGAGCAAGGCCAAATCCCAGTTTCCAGTGAGAGTGAGGTCTTTCGGAGACATTTGTTTCCCTGCTGCCATGTGTCAGGTGGGTGGAATTATCTGCTAACTTCTGATGAGTCTTGAAGCAAGCTGCCTCTCACTCCCTGTTGATCCCAGGGCTTAGGCTCTTCCTCTGCAGTGATGGCTTGTCTGGGACCACCTGGCTCTGCAGTTCTCAGGTCCAGCCACTGTCTCTCTTGTGCCCAGGAGGATGCAGGAGAGGAGGGGCTTGGTCATTCAGACCAGGGTTGGGTCATTCCTGGAGCCACCTGGCCGGGGGACTCTGCTCTTTCTCAGCTATGCACCTCATCATCGCACAGATTCAAACCAATAAAGGGAAACCAGTGATAGCTCCAATCAGTTCAAAACCTCCATTGTCAATGTCCACTTTCGGTGTGAGAGACGTGCTTTACTATGTTTATGAGGAAGATCTGAGGGTCTCAGGTGACCTCCAGGATAACAGTGCGGCTGATCATGCAATTTGTCTGCTCTATCATTGAAGACAATATTATGGCCAACAGCATCCTTCTGTCTAGGCTGTGTCTGAAATGCCGTGGAGAATAAGGGGTCTGGGGGAACTTCCAATCAGAGGGTCTGTGGAGTGGCTCAGGATGGGAAGAGCCTCAGGAGGAGAACACACTGTGGCACAGACCCATAGGAAGGGATCTTCTGGGCAGCAGCTTCTCATCCTGTAGGCACAGGGTCCTAGGATGCACCAAGCATGGGGCAGAGGCCCTGGGCTCTATAATGATGGGAAATGCTGTGGTCCTGGGCTTTGGGGTGCCTTGAGAACAGAGAGACACTGTAGTCTCAGCTGCCCCAGGAGGCAGGTCAGTGGCCCTTATCACCACTGCAAGCCCTAGATGAGCTGGCAGCTCCCGTCCATAGCAGGCGGCTGGCCGAGGCCAGAGACAGCTTGCAGTGTGGCCCATGCTGAGGGTTGCTAAGGAGTCTCAGGGCTCAGACGGAACTCCAGACAGCCTTGCTGCTGTGGCCTCTCTGAACGGAGATGGGAAATCGCCATGGGGTAACGGCAGCCGCCTCAAAGTCATTCGATTTCCTCTATCTCATTTTCAGAAATGCAATTAGGGAGGCCGGGGCACCGTGTGGGCTCTGGAGCGTGCGTCTGCGTGTCTGGGTCTGTGGGCGTTTGCGGGCTGCAAGTTGGCGTGTGTCTGCATGCCTGCTAGTGCACGTGCATCACCACATGTGTGTGCTGTGGTACGAGTGTGTGCATACAGGCGTGTGCAAGTGAACACTCTCGCCTCTGGGCTCCTGGAGAAGTCACCCATTCAGCACCCTGAATCAGCTTCTGTTCCCTTTCACATCAATTTGCTGGGGAGTCCCCCAGCCTTGAGACGACAGTATTCCCGTGGCACTCCCCTCCAGCCTTGCACCCCTACCTCCCCATCCTCCCTCCCAGCAGCCTGTGCATTCAGACTTAGGTTTGGAAGGCCTTGGGGATGGTCTCTTCCTCAGGTCACTGTCCCTATCTGCAGCCGAAGAGCAGGACCTCTTAATAGGTAGCAGGGGGCCACCGGTGCCACATGGGGACAGGAAAAGGAGCATTTTGGAAAGTTCTAGCAGCTGAAGCCATCATAGAGGTCCCTGTGTGAGACAGCAGAGAAGCCTGGGCTACAGAGGTTCCCCTGGGCTGCCCCAGCCATGCAGGGACCCCTGACCCAGCTTCTCCAACCAACAAGGCAGAGGTGGGCTCTGCAGCACACGGGCTAGAGGCCACAGGCCCAGGGGCCAGGTGGCTGTGTGCAGAACGTGAGGGTCTGGAAACCTCCACTCCAGCTTGTGGATGCCCCATGGCACAGCGGGCCCAGAGGAGCCAGTTGGGCTTTTTTTTTTTTTTTCATGGAAGCCAGAGCTGCATGTTTTCATGGGCAGTCTTTTGCTTTTTTAAATCTTAGCAACTAATTTGAGTTTAAAAATAAAACCCTATAGGCCACCAGTGGGCAGCCCCTTATGCAACACTTAGGATAGGATGCTTGAGTTTGTGAGTGACAGTAAATGACTCCATGACCCTCCAGGCCGAGTGGGGCTTCACGGGAAGATGCTGGACCCCAGAAGGCCTGGGGTCTCAGAAGCCTCTGGACACCCCCATATAGGGTGAACGTTGGAGTCTAGGGGTTCGATCTGCCTTTGAACCCTCAGGGTCTGCCGTCCCTGAGTGTCAGCCTCTTCACCTGCAAGTGGGATGCTGCAGTTCCACCTTGCAGGCAGTCATGAGGCTCAGGGGAGGCAGTTTATGAAGACCTTGGCTAATTCACCTGCAGCGGTGCCCAATGACGGCATCTTTCTGCTCTGGTGGGAGAGGAAACTGCAGGGTCCAGCTGACCCAGTCACCTTTGATCTGGGCAGATGAGGGTGGTCTTGGGGTAGAAACGTGCATGATCCTTCTCCTCAGAAGAGGGCTGGGGACCCCTCAACCAGTGTCCCAGTGAGAGATCTTAGTTCCCAGGGCATTTTGCAGTGAGCATGATCTTGCTTCCTTCCTCTCCTTTTTTTCTTTTTTTTTTGAGACGGAGTCTCACTCTGTCACCCAGGCTGGAGTGCAGTGGCGCAATCTTGGCTCACTGCAAGCTCCGCCTCCTGGCCTCACGCCATTCTCCTGCCTCAGCCTCCCGAGTTGCTGGGACTACAGGTGCCCGCCAGCACACCCGGCTATTTTTTTTTTTTTTTGTATTTTTAGTAGAGACGGGGTTTCACTGTGTTAGCCAGGATGGTCTCGATCTCCTGACCTCGTGATCTGCCCACCTCGGCCTCCCAAAGTGCTGGGATTACAGGCGTGAGCCACCGTGCCCGGCTCCTTCCTCTACTTTAAACTCTCCGCTTAGAACAAAATGCAAACTCCTGGCTGAGACCCACAAGGCCCTGTCTCCTCGACAGTTTCCTCTCTCACTCCATCTCCTCCTGCTCTCTCCTGTTCTCACCACCTTTTTGCTGCGCTGCTCTTGCTTTTCCTGGAGCACAGAAAGCTCTTTCTTGTCTCAGGGCCTCTGCATGTGCCGTCTCTCTGCTTGAGGTGCTCACCGTGTAAGCCACTCTTCCCGGGAAATTCTCTCTGATTAGCTTTTAGCCTAAACCTCCCCCTTCCACCCTCCACCACCTTTGTCACACGTGTTTGATGTCACCTGCCTCTTTTATCTCCTTCATGGCATCTATCTTTGGAAATCGTTTTATTTGTTTGATTGGTCCTACAAATATTTACTGCACACCTACTATGTGCCAGGCTGTGTTTTGTCAATTGCCATATTTTCTACAAGACTTTGGCGAGGTTACCCGTCCAAAGTCAACCCTGGCATCCTACCATTAATGTCCTACCGTACCGTCAGGGTTTGGTTCTAAAGTCAGTGGCGGCATGAAGAAGGCCATGGTCAAAATACTCTGCAAATTTCCAGCGTCCACAGTGTTGTGTTTCTGGCCCAATACTGCACTATGGGTACAGCCATGTACAGGAAGTCATGGAGAGCAGTACTAGCAAAGGTACCGGTGCTGACTCTGTGAGGATCAGTTGTGAGCCCCACATATGTGGTCAATCATTTGATTCTCAACCAGGTATGGTAGCTCACACCTGTAATCCCAGCACTTTACGAGGCCATGGTAGGTGGATCACTTGAGCCCAAGTGTTCAAGACCAGCCTGGGCAGCAAGACCCTGTCTCTACAAAATATAAAATATTAGCCAGGCACAGTGCTACGCGCCTGCGGCCCCAGCTACTTGATTGGCTGAGGTGGGAGGATCACTTGAACCTAGAATGTTGAGGCTGCAGTGTGCTGTGATCATGCCGCTGCACTCAGTCTGGGCAGCAGAGTGAGATCCGGTCTCAAAAAAACATATCATTTGATTCTGAAAACTGCCCTGTGATGAGGTATTATCGTGCCCAATACAGACTTTAAGAAACTGAGGCACGAGAGGTTAACTTTCCCAAGGGCACACGGCTGGAAAGGGGAGTTGAAATAATCTAAGCCAATGAGCCCTGGTGGAGTTCCCCTCTCAGCAACCCCAGGAAACCAGGCTCCCTGCTACCCAGGACAGCTATGCCCACAGGGTGGGGCAGGAGCCCTCCAGCTAGGAGATGGGCCTCATTATTCCAAAGAACATTGGCACTTTCAGCCACCAACCTGTTTCAGGGGCTGCTCACGTCTACCCTCTGCTGAAAACAAATATAAGTCATGCTCAAGCTTTGCTCCAGACTGGGAGGGAGGTGTGCAAGCCCCCTCCAATGAGGAGACAGAGGCAAGCATAAGAAGATGCGTGCTGTGTGCAGGTCATTGTGTGTGGGGTGCCGTCCTGGAGCCGCCCCCTTCTGACTAGCAGGAGAGGAAGTCACTTGAGCCCACGGGCTCAATTTCAGGCATCTAGTGCCCAACGGGGCTGGTCCTGTGGGTGCTCCGTCATGTCAGGGAGGGGTATCGAGGCTGGGGTAGAGGGGGTGGTAGGGAGGGGGTGCAGACTGGAGAGTGCTTTCATGTGGGGGTAAAGGAATGGAGGGGACCGAGATGCCCCTGGGTCCCTGGCTGCAGGGAGCCTGCAGGGAGAATGGAGACGCCGGATGCTGAGCCCAAGGGGACTGGGCCGAGGCTGGGGCCAGGCTGGAGATGGGGCAGTTCTGGGTGGGTGAGTTGGTAAGGCTCTGAGATATCTTGATGCAGGTGGCTGAGGGAGCTGCATTTACGGTAGAATGAACCCAGCGGGTGGGCAGTCATCAGCACACCGGCTCTCACGAGCCTGTGGGAAAGGATGAGATTGCCCAGGAAGCGGAGGGCTCAGGGACCAGCCCTAAGGACTGGCCTTGGGTCAGTATGAAGAGAAAAGGCTTCTCCTCCTGAGGGGTGGCCCAGAGCCAGACCTGTAGAGAGCTGCAGAAACACTGGGCACAGGGATGATTTAGTTCATTTTCAAAAACCCAACAAACTTTAAAAAAATTACCAAAAGGATACAAACATATCTTTTCTTTGTTTCTTTCTTTTTTTTTCTTGGAACCCTCAGAGGAAGGGGACACCATTTTGCAGGGAGCAAAGGTACCAGTTCCTCCAGGACCCCCACTTTCAGTGTCCTGGGATTTGTGTCCAGTCTCGGTGTTTCTGCAGAGGAAGAAGGACCCCTGGAACTGTTGGCAGGAGCAGCTAAGAAGGTCGCTCCTACCAGCGAGAGGAGGGACCCTTCTCCCTTCTGGAGGAGAAGTGGGAAGTGGGGTCCCCAAGGCTGTAGAGATGGCCGGAGCCCCCCAGCCATGCACCCAGAGTTTTCCTCCCACCACGGTCTTCGTCTTAGGGCTTCATCATGGGCACTGTAGCCCTGAAGTCCCAGCCAGAAGCTTCGGTGTCTTTAAGGCCCACATCCTTGATCCCGTGAACTGGGAAGGGTCAGGCTGGACTGGATGGAAGGACATTGCCACAGAGGGTGACCTAAAGGTAATGAAGCCCCAGAGGCCAGGGATCCTGGGGATCTAGCAAGGCCTGGGCTGGGGTCACCGATGGCTTTCCTCAAAATCTAGGAAGTAAGGAAGCGTCCAGACAGGCTTAGAAAAGGCTTTGAACACAGATCTCCATAATGTAATAGAACTGGGCCCTTCACTAGTTACCTACAGGATTTACATAAAAAGAAAGGAATTCTGCATGCTGTACAGATGGTGTAGTATAGGAGTGGGACACAAATATAGCGTCACATGGGAAAAACTTCTTTTGCCAGGCAGGAGGATGCCTGGGACTATGCAATACTCTGATTTGGAAATAAAGACAGAAGGCAATGCTGGGGGCACTGGGGTAGACGCGATGGTTAATCCAGGTTTGTCCCAGTCATCCCTTCACCCACCGCCTGTCAGCAACTGGTTCAGCAAATGACCCAGCCTTGGCCCACAGACCACAGGGGAGACAGCGGTCCTTCTGGGAGAGGGCAGTGCACCTGTGCTTTGGCCATCCTTCTACCTGGTTGGGGCAAAGATGCTAGGCAGGCAGCAGGGCCCTTGGTGCTGCGGTTAAGCTCCGTGGCCACCACACCTGTAGACTTCCGGGTGCGTGAGCTGATGCATTTCCTCATGGTTTAAGCTGGCTGTCTTACTTGCAGCCAGGAGCATCCTGAGGGACCCAAAGGCCTTTCCCAGATGAGGGGGCTGGACAAAATGGCCCCCGACCCCAGACAGGGGCCAGACACAGGTGAACCCAGAGATTTAGACCCCAGCTCAAGTGGCGTCACTGCCTGACACACCCAGATAGCCCCTTTAAAATTTTTCTCTGTTCTCTCTGCTAGGCTGAGCATATGTGTAAGTGGACAATCACAGATAGGCATTAAGCTACATCCTTCCCTGGGCCATTAATGCTTAGACTGAGTCTGAGTCTCCATCTTGCATCTCCATGTAGAAATGTTAACTGAGCCCTGATCCCCAAGCCTCCAAACCTCAAGCACTTTGTCTTCCACTTCCAGGCAGAATCGATCTCAGTGGCGAGGGGATGCCTCCGTGCTGCAATGGCAGTAAAAACAATTGCTACTGAAACACCACCCACGTTTCCTCTTTTGCTGGACACGGCTCCCTATTAAAGTGTGTACATGGCGTCGGGGAGGGGCACGCTCAAGAAACAGCAAGAACCACACTTCCTAGAGGCCACCCAGCCTCCACATTCTGTTCAATCAGCATTCCCTTGACATATGGCTCACCAGGGCCACTCCCGGCCAGAACTCCGCCAGAGCATCTGATGGGACCACTGCACCCGCTGTTTGCCAACAGCAAAGTTGGACAGAGCTGCTGTCCTCAAGGCCCCTCGACAAGGTAACTAGCCCCTCATGCTTGGCCCGCTCTGCACACAGGCACCAGTGAGACTAAAAGAGTCCAGCTCCTTTCCCACAGCCCCTAAGAGCTTGTTTGTCATTAGGGAGGGCACTGAAACCTCACTGCCTCCATCTGCTTGGCAGGTTGTGCCAAGAAAGGTGACTTTGTCAAAGGGCAGGAGACCTTCTCAGGGGCTGGTTTCTGTGCAGACATTAGGAGACAGCAGTGGCTCTCAAATGGGCTCCTGTCTTTAATGAAGTCTGTGCTGACAAATGTGACCTGGAAGCCTGAGCCAGACCAGGGAGCCCGACCCTCCTCTCAGGGCAAGGCAGGGCACCCACCCACTGAGAGCTGTGGTGGGCAACAAACATTCCTCCTCCTTAGTGTTTCTTCTGCCAGGGATGTGGGGTGACTCGTGGCACCCAAGATGACCCGGAAAGGTCCTCACCTCTTTCTGCACCACACAACTTTGGGAAGATTTTAAGGGGGTTGGGTGTGTAAGGCCCGAGCTGACGCTGACTTGTCCTCACTCCTCCCTACAAACACTGGGCTTCTCGGTGAGGGTGACAACTCCAGGTTTTCAGGGATCATGGTGCTGACAATCACGAGCAATAGGCAGGTGTAGGGCAACAGGGGGTGGTGAGGACTGCGGTAAGCTGGAGAGCACAGCCAGACCTGAAGACATTCAGGCTCCAGTAGAAACGAACGCACGTGGCATGTGCTCAACAACACATCCGGCGGCGTTGGCCCAGTGGCCCTTAGTTTTTGTCGTTGGGACCTAGACTGAACATGCAGAGGAGCAGAGAGCCACTGGGGACTTCTATGTCCCGTATTTTACCTGGAAGAGGAAAAGGGGGACCAGAGAAAGAGGCAAACACCAGTAAGGGGGGAGAGGCAAGATTTGAATCATGGAGGTTTGAAGAAGTAGCAAGATTTTTGTTGTTGTTCTTTGGTTGTTTTTTGTTTTTCTGTTTGTTTCTGAGTGGAGGACAAATGATCACGGGCTGGGATGTGTCTGCAAGTCTCCTCCACCTCCCTGAGGGTTTAACTGTGAAGTTAGGTGCATGTGAGCCTTGTTCATCCACCACCCTGGTGGGTGACAGTGGGGGCACTAAAGGAAGGGCCAGGCAAGGGTGCTGCTCCATCCCCAACTCATCCCTGGTGGCAGGGGCACGGGTGATGTGGGAAGAATCAGCTGCCTGGGGTTATTCAGTGTCCAGGAGACAAATTCTTTCCCCCAAAAATATCCCAAAGCAAGTATCCCAAAGTATACAAAATAATTTAGCTCTGTGAACCTGTTAGAAGATGCCATCAACTCATAAAGTCAGAGTTACTCCTTTTCAGGCCTCCTTTCATCCTTCCAATCACATCAGAACAACGACCTCTGTGCTAGTCCATCTTAAGGCTTTTGTAACACTTACTAATCAGCTTCAGCCTTCGGTATCTTTAGCAGGTCAAAGTATCTGGAATTTGATAACATTTCTCTTCTTGTTGTATTTATTTTTAGCAATTATCTTTGATTTATGGAAACATGGTGAGATGCTGGCTTTTCCATTTATAGTAGTGATTTAAAGTATCCTTTAAAAAATTGAAAAAAGTTTTAGGCGCTGTGTAAAGAAATACCCAACCATAGACACGGCAGGAAGGTGCAGAACATGCCCCTTGAAGTAGGGGCGGCTGCTGGTTGGGTTTCACTCGTGTTTCGAAGAGGATGGAAGCGCTGACAACCACAGGAGGAATGCGTCATGGGTTCCAGGACAGCAACTGGCTGGACCCAACTCTGGGCTGCCTAGCTCCCCCAGCCTTCACAATTCAACTCATGCCACCTCTTACAGGAAGTCCTCCTGGATGCCCAGCTCTGGAGTCATCTCTGTGGTATACTAGGATTCCAGTTCCAACTTTCTCTGGAACCAGTTGGGTCATCACAGGTCACGAGAGCAGATGCCTACAGAGAGTGAGGAGAGGCGGGACCTGCCACAAACTGCAAGGTAAGTGCCCATTTAATGGTTGCTAAGCAGGACTGTGGGGCTAGCGTGGCCACATCTTCCAATATCTCAAGAAAAGTTACCAATCTAAATTTCCATGTGACATCTCACCATGCCTGGGAGCTGGATCCAGCCTCGGGCACCCTTAGGTGACACAGAAAGAGTACAGCTTGCAGGTGAAGATGGCTGTCCAGCTGCGATGCTCTCACACCCAGGACCCACAATCGAAAGAACCAAGGACGTGAGATCACAGTTAGAGCCTGCTGTGTAAGTCGTGTTTCCCCCAACGACTGGGACCTCCTGGCCAGCAGGGAGAGGCCTGAGTCATCTCCGGGTCCTCTGCCCCTGGCCAAAGCAAAGACCAAAGCCCTGGCCACACAGACCTGGGGCAGGGCAAATGAGAAAATCAAAGGGGTGGGTGTTCACCCTCTGGGGAAGTGAGGCAGAAATTGGGGGTCCCAGGGCAGAGATGATCAACAGCCTGAGAGGGGGCTCTCAGGCAGGCCCTGGAGAGAGGCCGCTGAGCTCAGACAGCATGGGAGGATCAGGGCCTTGCTGGAGAGGAGGGACTGGGGAGGGGTTCCGGTTGGCAACGGGCTCTAACAGCAAACTGGCCCCAGAATGGGCCCAGGTGTCCTTGGATGCTTGGGTGGAAAAGGTAGGCAGAGCTTGGAGAGGCCATTTCAGGTTGGGGGCCGGGAGTGCAATGGCGGGAGGACAGAATGCATACGTGGGGTTGAGGACAGGTGAGGGCAGGAGCCTGACTGTGCTCATGGGCAGAGAGCCCAGGTCTGGCAGGAAGAGGCTGTGCTGAGGCTGCAGCGGAGGGATGGGAAGGCAGATGGGGGACAGGGGACAGGGACTTCAGAGGAAGAGGAACTGGGGACTGAAGGAGCCTTGCCTCTCTCAGTAAGGGCAAAAGTTGATCTTTGGGGTCGCGCCCTGGGTGTACCCTCCTAACAGCATCTTCTGGCCTTTGCGGCCTCTATTTGGGCATTCGGCCTGGCTCAGACCTTGGACCCAGTAGTCAGTCCCCCCTCCCCTTTCATTCCCTCACCCTGTCCTGCCCCAGAGCACAGAGACAGGGGGATGCACCCCTTGAATTCCAGGGCTGATGGGTGGGACCCGGCACCCCAAGGGCTCTCTAGGTGGGGACGTTCGGCCGGCGCCGCTCCTCGGAGGTTGTGCCCCTGGGGTGGCTGGCGGCGGGGCTCCCCCGGCCCGGCCCGCGGCGCTTCTCTGCCGCCGCCTCGGGGTGTCTCTGCTTCGCTGCGAGCCCGGCACCGCGGCGACGGCGGCGCGAAGAGGGAAGCGGGCGGCGGCGGCGGCCGCGCCAAGATGCGCCGGGTCACCGCAGGCTGAGGCGCCCGCCGTCCCCGCCCTCCCCCTCGCTCGCCTCCCTCCCTCCCGCCTGCCTCCCTCGCTCGCTCGCTCCTTCCCTCTCCCCGCCTTCCCTCCGCGCTCCCCCGCCCGCCCCTCCGCGCCTCGCCTCCTCCGCCCCGCGCCCTGCGGTGCTGCAGCTGCGGGCGGCTCCAGCTGCCCCCAGATGTGGGCTGGGCGGCTCGCGGGGAACTTTCGCGCCGGCTGCGAGTGCGGGGCCCCGGCTGCAGTCCGGCTGCCATGGATCCGCCGGCGGGAGCCGCTCGCCGCCTGCTCTGCCCCGCGCTGCTGCTGCTGCTGCTGCTGCTGCCGCCGCCGCTCCTGCCGCCGCCGCCGCCGCCCGCGAACGCCAGGCTCGCCGCCGCCGCCGACCCCCCAGGTAGGTGCGGCCCGGCCCCTACTCCCCGGGACCCCCGCCGGCCTGGCCCTGTCCCGCGTGCCCCGCCGCCCCCTCCCCAGGCGTCGTCCAGCCTGACTTGGGCAAACTCCGCGCGCCCCGCCCGGGGCCAAGTTGGCCAACTTCGGGGCCGGGTTGGTCGCGCAGGGGGCGCCCCGCACCGCCCCCGAGCGCCTTGGGCCGGGGGAGCCTCGGAGCACTGGCGGCTCCTGAGTCGCGGAGGGTGGGGACGGAGGGCCGGGAAAAGCCCCGCGGCCAAGAGCGCAGAGTCAGCCCCAGCGGGTCCGAGGGGGGAGCCAGGGCGAGGCGGCGCCGGGGCTCGCGTCCGGGGACGCTCCGGAGGAGCCGGCTGCCGAGCGCGTAGCCTTGGGCCCTAAGGATTGGTTGGGGCGCCCCGCAGGGAATCCCCGGAGATCGGAGGGACCCTGTTCCACCCCTCCCAGTCCTCGGGCGCTCGGGGAGACGGGGCCGGCAGCGGGCTGAGCGGGAGCTGGACAGGCAGGACAGGCCGCTCGTGCTCGGGGAAGCCGAGACTCCGCCGCTCCGGAGGCTGGCGGTGAGGGCACTCGGGCGGCAGGGGCCCGCCGAGGGGTCGTGGCACACGGGTAAGGGGGCCAACCCGGAATGGCTTCCGAGCAGCTCCACGTCCTGCCAAGGACGGTAGGTGCAAGGGTCGGGGGACTCTCTGACGGGGTCGTCCCTTCGGGCACGGGGAGGTTCCCACCGAGCCCCAACCCTGAACGGGGCAGGGGGCAGAGCTCTTGGCAGGCAAGGTCTCCGGAGGAGGGAACGGCTGGGGAGTGGCGGAGCCCCGGAGTGGTGGCCCTGTTAACGCCCCTTCCCGGTTGCAGGAAAGCCGGGGAGGTGCAGGCTGGCTTCTGGGGTCGCCTGGCGGAATGCCCCTTCCCTTCGCAGTGGGGCGGGGTCTGGGGGGGCGTGGCTTGCCGGCGGGTCTCTGAGGCACTGGGGCTCCGTGGTCTCCGCCGATCTAACGCCCCTTCCCGTTGCAGGCGGGCCCCTGGGGCACGGAGCGGAGCGCATCCTGGCGGTGCCCGTGCGCACTGACGCCCAGGGCCGCTTGGTGTCCCACGTGGTGTCGGCAGCTACGTCCAGAGCAGGGGTACGAGCCCGCAGGGCCGCCCCGGTCCGGACCCCGAGCTTCCCCGGAGGCAACGAGGAGGAGCCTGGCAGTCACCTCTTCTACAATGTCACGGTCTTTGGCCGAGACCTGCACCTGCGGCTGCGGCCCAACGCCCGCCTCGTGGCGCCCGGGGCCACTATGGAGTGGCAGGGCGAGAAGGGCACCACCCGCGTGGAGCCCCTGCTCGGGAGCTGTCTCTACGTCGGAGACGTGGCCGGCCTAGCCGAAGCCTCCTCTGTGGCGCTCAGCAACTGCGATGGGCTGGTGAGTACGCACTTCTCTAGCTCCTTTCTCTCCGCTGCTCTCGCCTGGGTTTTGGAAAAGGGTTACCTGGGAGTCCCTTGGGAGGGCAAGGCCTGCGCTGAGGACTTTCCGCGCCCTTCCCGTGCTTTAGTGAGCCTCGTGCTCCAACTGAAGGGCTTGGCTGGAAAGCAGGTTGTTTTGACTGGTCTGAGCAGGGGGCCATTTATGCATGGGGAGCGCCCGGGTCTCCAAAAGGCTCAGCAGGCAGGAGCGTGCGCCTCTCTCTTTTGCCTGCCTGAACAGGTCTCTGGCTTGCATCCGGGGGTGGGTCCGTGTATGTGTGTGTACCTTTGTGAGTGTGTGCACATGTGTTGTGGAACGTTGGTGTGTACCTGCATCTGGGTGCCCGTGCACCTGTGTGAACATGTGCGTGTGCCAGTGTCTCTTGTGCACGTATGTGTCTGGGTTTCTGCACATCAGTGTGTTGAGCATCTGTTGAGTTTGTGTCCGTCCTTGTGCATACTGGCGTGATATGTGTGTGGTGGACTTATGGGCTGGCAGTCAGTCTTCCTGTTTCCTTGCGTGCGGGTAATACCAGCCCAGGGAGCTGGCAGTGATGCTGAAATGCCCAGTTAGCCCTCTGCCCCTTGGCTGACCGGGAATCATTGGTTTTTCTGCTGTGGTTTCCTGTTGAACTCCAGCTGGTTCTTTGAAAAGTTGGTTTTCTCTATTTTGAGCTGAGGGGTGCATTTGGAAATGAAGGCTCTAGTGCCCATGAGCTGCTCGATCTTTTGGGGGCAGCGCCTGAAGGACAAGAGAGAGGCTAGGGGATCCCTTTTGAGACTGCCTGCGCCTCTCTAGTCCTGTGACTGGAGCTCTGGGAAGCTCTGCTTCCTGGAGAGGGCAGGAGGGACCGTGGCTCAGCACAAGGGGGCCTCAGAGGAAGCCTGGATCGATGCTGAGGGAGGAGGCTGACATTGGCGGTGCTCTGTCCGGCTGCCCGGGGCCTGGCACACAGCAGAGGCCACTGCAGTTTTCTATTTTGGATTGGGTGTGTGGTGGTCAGGCTGGCTGTGCTGGCCAGACATCTGAAGCCGCCCACCATGGGTTCCGCTCTAATTGCTACTCAGGGAACTCCTGCCCCGAGTGAGTGGCCACTCTCCCAGCCCCCGTGGCCCCTGAGCACGCCCGTACTCGGGCAGCTGAGGCTCATCCTACAGTCTGCAGAGCCGGCAATTACACCAGGGCTCTGCAACCACTGTCATTCTTTTTATGGAGACACAGAAAATATCACTTGTTGCTTTGGAAAATCACTGCCTTTGGCTGGATTTAGTTAGAACTTGGCCATATTGCAAACAACTGTAAATATCCCTGGAGGAGCTGGGTTAAAATGGTGAGCCCTTGACATCGCCCACTGTCTCTGAGGACATCCTGGGCCTCAGAGGTGTGTCCCATTTTACGCTGGAGGTTAATTTCCTAAATGAAAGGAGATGTTTGCTGCGGACTTAGGGTGAGGTAAGGTGGTGGGAGTTGACATGGGGTTGCAGTCTGTTGGTGGGCCAACACCTGTGTACTATGCATTCCTGATGGAGAGCATTTTGGGGAGGACTTGTCACTGTTTCATTCATTCAGCAGTTCATTTGGTGATTCATTTTTCAGCCAGCACCTTCTCATATGTTTATCCCCTGTACTGGTCAGCAATGAGGCAGGTCTGGTACCCACCCAGGGCTCCTGTCGTCAGGGTGGCTGACGGACACTCTGGCCAGGACTTGGAGAGTGTGCTCCTGGGGGGCTGTTTGAATGGGGGCTGGAAGAATGAGTGGCCAGCTGGAAAAGACGCAGGTTGGCAACCCGGGCAGAGGGAGGAGCGTGTGCAGAGGTACCAGGTGTGGATTGGCCTGGGCAGGACAGGCCTGCTGAAGTGTCCCATGTACCAGACAGAGCTGGGAAGAATATTGGGGTTGGAAGAGGAGCTGGGACCTGCCTGAGCGGCATTGAATGCTGTCACTGAATAATGGCCTTGGACAGTGGGACAGCACCATTGGTTCTGTTTTCTTTTTTTTTTTTTTTTTTGAGACGGAGTCTCACTCTATTACCCAGGCTGGAGTGCAGTGGCGCGATCTCAGCTCACTGCAAGCGCTCTGCCTTCCGGGTTCACGCCATTCTCCTGCCTCAGCCTCCCAAGTAGCAGGGACTACAGGCGCCTGCCACCACGTGCAGCTAATTTTTTTTTATTTTTTTTTTAATTTTTAGTAGAGACGGTGTTTCACCGTGTTAGCCAGGGTGGTCTCAATCTCCTGACCTTGTGATCTGCCTGCCTCGGCCTCCTAAAGTGCTGGGATTACAGGCATGAGCCACTGCGCCCAGCCTCTTTTCTTTTCGCTTGTCCTCTTTCTCTTCTCTTCTCTTTCCTTCCTTCCTTCCTTCCTTTTTTTCTTTCTTTCTTTCCTTTTGATCAGGCTGGTCTCAAACTCCCGACCTCAAGCGATCTGCCCATCTTGGCCTCCTAAAGTGCTGGGATTACAGGCCTCAGCCACCGCGCCCGGCCTCTTCTTTCCTTTTCTGACTTTGTTGCTGCGTATGTGTCTGTCCTACTGTTAAATCCCCCTCTGCTGCCACCACGATAGGCTTCTTTGCTAAGGACCTGGGTCTTTACACAGGGCACCTCTTGTCCTCACAGAGCCCTGGTCGGGGAGGCATCTCATCCCTGGTTACAGGTGGAGCACTCAGGCTCTGGGAGGTTGAGTGACTAGACGGAAGTTATTCATAATAATATCCACAGCGAGGGGTTATTCATAGTATCCACAGCAAAATGTCCCTTTGCACAAGGCATGAGCAAAACAGGCTGCACAGAGTGGTGTTGTGCCTCACGTTGCTGCGGAAGAGTTTTCCAGTATCTCCTGGGCAGCGTGGTAGGCGTGCTAATTTCACGTGGTTTTTACATGCCCATTAAAAACCCAGTGAGAAGCCTTTTGGCGTAAAAGGTAATGATGGTAAGTGACAGTTGACTGTGTTCCTATTAACATTGTGTGCCAGGCTCTCAGCTGAGCCCCCTGTGCCACCTCGCCTTGTTTAATCCTCACAGCACCCTACGGAACATATCCCGACATCATCCCCCTTCTACAGATGAATAAACTGAGGCTCCAAAAGTCGAGATAGCTTGCTTCAAGCTTCGAAGCCAGTATTTGAACACAAATCTGATTCCAAGGCCATGCTCACTATGTTTTGTTGCCTTTTCCTGCATGCCTACAAAAAGAATTTTAAAAATGCATTTCTTTACAACATTTCCCACCTTTCTTATTTGACTCCTGGAGACGTTCTCATTGTGGGTTTGACCATCGTCAGTGTGAGTGGAGCCGGGAGCAGGCCTGGGAGCTGAGTGGCCTTGACTGGCTCGTGACCTGCGCTGGGCTGCAGCTCCTATGGGTGGCCTAAGTCCTCACTGGTGGGGGACTGCAGCTGGGACTTCCGTGGGATGGAAGCAACCCTGCCCGCCTCTGCCTCCCCACTCAGGGCAGCACGGGGATCCTCTCCTGCCAGGCTGGGCAGCAGTGGATGAAGCCTCCATGGGCTGGGCGGTGGAGATGGTCCGCCCTCCAAGGCCTGGTCCAATCCTGGGGCCCAAAGGAGGAAGTGTATGCCCTTCCCTGGATGCTTGATGCGAACCCCACAACCCTGTGAGATAGGGCTGCCCCACTGCGTGGCTGAGGCTCAGAGAGACCCAAGGTTGCATGGCAAGAAGAAATCCAGGGCTGCTGCCTTTCAGGCTGGGGCTCCCCTGCGGGGCTGCTGTCTGGGCCAGGCACCCACTCTGTCTTGCTGGACATTAAGAGTCATAAAGGCCACAGAGAGAAGTCAGAAGCCGGCCTAAGGGATTGAGATGAGTTTCATTTTTCCCAGCAAGGCTGCTGCCTTCGAGGCCACACACTGGGCTCCAGCAGGCTCAGGTGCTAGAGCAGATCAGGCAGGTGTGAGCGGGTCCTGGGACTGTGCAGTGGGGTGAGGGGCACCTGAGATTTGCAGCTGCCGCTGGTAGGGTCTTCCTTCCTCCCACCCCACCTTGGCACTGCCTGGATCGCAATGAGAGGTTGTCAGGAAGACTAAAGAGGGGCTGCAGGAACCTCTGGGTTCCCTAGGGTGTCGGGGCTCCCCAGGTAGGAGCAGAGGCTCCTGTGGGCCCCAGCTGCAAGCAGCCTACACAGCTGCTAAGGCCAGTCTCAGCCTCCGCCATACTTGTCACCTTAAGACTTGCTCAGTTTAAGTGACAGAAACCCCTGCTCATATTGGATGAAACAAACAAGGGACAGCATGGCCCCAATTATCTGGGGGTCCTGAGGAGTGTTGGCTTCAGGCCTGGCTGAATCCAGGGGCTCAGAGCATGCTATCCATTTCTCAGCCCTGCCTCTCAGTGTTCATTTCAGAATTGCTCTCCACCCCTCAACCCCCGGCCCACCAGCGGCTCCAGGCCCAACTCGTTTTCCAAGGAGGCAACCTTTGAGATGGAAAGCCCTCCTCTCTGGGTGACACCTGTGAGAGTTGGGGGAGGGATTGGAGGCCCATCTTCAAACCCATGGCTGTGATGCGGGCCTAGCCCAGGTCTCCTGCCCACCTTTGGGACTGAGGGGGAGGGACAGACTCCCAAACTCTGGAATGAAGAGGGGCCTATCATACAAGAAGGGAGGAGAATTGTGCAGGGTGGTGAACACGGTTGTGGCCACCCTTCTCCTGGACTCCAGACCCCATGTTGGGCTTAGAAGTCCTCCTGGGCTCCAGGCTTGCCTGCTCGGCTGCCTCTGGAACCCCCTTCCCTGGATGACCCCATACTCAAGTCACGTGGCTCTCCCCACTCTCCTCCAGACCCCACCCTTCCAGGATCGCCCTCCCCTAGCCAGCTCCAATTCTAGAGCTCTCTCAGGGCCCGGCTTCCCTCCACGCCTGGTGCCAACCCCTGCTTTCTGCTCTTGTACCCCCCACTGCCCCATGGTCTCTCCCCGACAACCCTTCTCCACTCTGCAGCCAGAGGGATTTTTAGAAACCATGCAGCAACTCATGTCACGCCTTCACTTAAGACCTCTCAGTGGTTCTTACTGCTCTTAAAAACATCCAAACCCACTGGCCTGGCATTCAAGGCCCCCGTGACCTGGTCAGGGCCCTCCAGCTCCGGCCTGAGTCGCCTGCTCTGCTGGTCTGGAATGAGACTCCGGGAGAAAGGGCTGCAGGAGGCAGAACTCCAGCGTTCCCCTCAGGTGCCCCTGGGAGGGTGGGGCAATGACTCCCTCCCCTGCTGCCTTACGTGAGCTGAGGGCCCCTACAGAGATGCCTGAGGGATCCAGCAGTGCAGCGCAGTCCCTCTGGAGGCGGCGGCCAGCCTCAGGAGGGGGTCCGGGGAGCAGCATCCACACCATCTACCTCTGCCTGGGGCTTTGAACCCAGTCCCTGCGGTTTTCCTGTGAGCCAGCCACCGTGGCCCCATTTCACAGGTAGGAAACCGAGGCTCTAGGAGTTACATATGCAGGTTCTCTGTGTGGGCTGGCGTCTCTCCTGGAATCCTTTAGGGAGGGGCAGAGTGGAGCCGGCTCCCAGCCCCTCATGAAGGCCGGCATAGTCAGCACTGGTCTCAGCCGGAGCCCAGCAAGGCCAGCTCTCCCTGAGAGAGCTGCACTCCATTGTGTGGCTGGGTATGTTTCTGGCACTGGTAAATGTGCGCGGCCATGTGCTCATTCAGGTGTGGCAGGCTTCTCCTGCCCAATGGCTCGCCGTGGCTTCCCTGTCCCCCATGTCTCCAGTGCTTAGCGAGTCATGCCTGAGTGAATGCAGGCCCTCCTGCAGAGTCAGCTGGGAGGTGAAGGCCAGGTCCTCACCCAGGCCTGCTGTGAGGCTCATAGGGGCCACACCTGGGTGAGTGAGTGAATTCAGGCCCTCGTGCAGAGTCAGCTGGGAGGTGAAGGCCAGGTCCTCACCCAGGCCTGCTGTGAGGCTCACAGGGGCCACACCTGGGTGAGTAAGGGAATCAGCCAGGGACATCCGCTCAGCAGCGAGGCTGGCTTTGCCTCGTGGCTGCCTGAGCTATGGTCTGGGCCTGCCCACTGTGGTATCTGAAGACCCAAAGAGGCAAGTGTGCATGGCAGCCCTCCTGGGACCCTGGGTCTGTGCTGGCAGGCAGACATGTCCTTCTTTACCCCACCTGCCTCTCTGGCTTGGGCAGCCCTGGGGGTCCCTGTGTTGCTGCCGGCACAGCAGGCTGGTGGCTGCATGTGGACGTGTGCGTGTCCTGGGCCTGTGCATGGCGGGAGTGTGTGCATGTACATGTTGCCTCTGCATGTCTTGCATGTAGGAGTACGTGCATGCAGTGTGCGTGTGGGGGTGCATATGTTTGTGCACGTCTGAATGAGTGTGTACACGTGTGTGCACATGAGTGTGTCTGCATGGGAGGGTGTGCATTTGAGTGAGCATGGGCCAGCATGTGTTTATGTATTTCTCGGGAGGGGTTTCCTGCACTCTGTAGAAGAGGGGCCTTAAGTGGGGTTGAGGTACTCAGGGGAGAGGAGGACCCCAGCCCCCTCAATCTTGGCGCCACGTTAGACACCCCCATCCCCTACTGGTGGTTACCCCGGAATGGGAGGATCCAGGTAGGAGCTGCACACTCTGCTGCGTATGTTTCATATTAAATATCAGCTGTCCACAGGGTCTGCGGTGCTGCCATTAATATGGAGAAGTTATTACCGAGCCCGGAGCTGGCTCCTCGGGCTTGTCCATGAATTTCAATTACACTGCACGACGACTCCAGGGCTGCAGAGTGGGGTGCACAGCTTCCGCTCAGAGGCACAGGGAACCCTAGTGTCCAGGACCAAGGCCTGGGTGCTGCTGAAGCCAGGCAGGCTCTACGCCATCCCCACCCTGCCTTGTGCATTTCACGGGTTAACCCAGGGAAGGCAGGGGCCTATTGTGGGCTGGAGGCTGTTGCGGGTCACATGGTCCGCTGTGCTCCTCGTGACCGGCAGGGTGGACAAGCACCACGATCCTGAGAACCTTAGTTCCTCCAATAGCAAAAGATGGGTTCTGTCCGCACGCACTTCAGTGGCAGTGAAAGGGTGGGTGTGCAGCAAGCGCCTACCCCAGGCCCGGGGGTGAGAAAGCGGTGGCCGTGTCTGCATATCATTAGCTCTAAGGTGCCATCGGTTACGGGACACACCATTACTTTATACGCCACCAAGAAAGAGGAGACACTCCCATTTAAACTGCAACTCTGTGCCTTGTGGTTCCCTGGAGGCGCGGGCCCCACTGCCACAGTGCTTGGTTTCTCTGATGCTGTCTGCAGCCTAATGGGTGGGCCATTTCTGCTGCCTGGCCGTCGCTTGTCACGGCTCCCGGGAACTGAGTTCGGTTGGCTTCGTCCGCCTCCGGGGGTCTTCCTCTTGTGAATTACGAAGTAGCGGTCCTTCCTCCAGGGATAGGTATTTGCCTCACCGATGCAAAGCTACATGCGCCTTTCTGCGTGCACCCTAACTTTTTGACCTCACAGCGTGACTCTTCAAAGACATTTTGAGTGTCCAGGGTGTTGACAGTGAGGGACTGCGTTGGAAGTGTCGTGGCCCAGGAGGCGGGGGCCAGGGCCGGGGCCTGAGACCCGCCGATTGCATCCTCAGTTCAGGGGTTGGGAAATGGAAAGATGCGTGTTGGGGGGACCAGCCTTCACCAGCTCTGTGCAGAATGTCCGGGATTCATCTTTAAACCTGGGTATTTTTCCTTTGAAAGCCCTAATCTGAAATTTCAATGTATTAAAAGTATTTCCAAGTGTTAAAGCCTGTCATCTTTACACCCGGGTATTTTTCCTTTGAAAACCCCTAAACGACAAGGTTTGGAGAGCTTTGGGTTGGTGAACAGGTGAGGTGCTGGGAGGGTGAGTGCCCAGAGAGGGCGTGGAGGCTCTGCAGCCCTTCCCGTTACCTTGCCCTGCCCATCCCTCCCACGCGGCTGTTTGAAAGCAGGGATTGGGAGCACATGGAAAGTAGGGTGTCTTCACGTTTCATGCAAGGCTTGTCTAAGGCTTGCTAGTGGCCATTCTGATTGGGACAGAGCTTCTGGACATATGATGAAAAGGGGCTTGAGAGCTGTGAGCATATTGGTATGTATTTACATCTGTCTATTTTATGGGTTATAGTACACCATCGCCAGTCAGTTGCAAATGAAACCTCAGGTTAAGCAGTACCGCAGATACATTCTACTTTTCCATCTTTCTGTTCTTGTACCAATATTAAGCTGTGTTTATTATTAGAACTGTAAGGCTCTAATAGTCAAAGTATTAAGTACTTTGAAGCTTTGCTGTCCAATACAGTAGCTATAAGCCACACAAGGCTATTGAAGACTTAAAATGTGTCTGGTCTGAATTGAGAGGTACCCTGAGTATAAAATATACATTGGATTTCAGAGACTTCGTACCCCCCAAAAAGAATGTGGAATGTTTAATAGATCATTTTAAAGTATTGATTACAGGTTGAAATGGTAATATTTTGGGCATACTGGGTTAAATAAAATATATTTCTGAAATTAATTTCACCTGTGTCTTTTTTTTTTAAAAACATGGCTACATATAAAGCTCGAGTTCTATTTCTGTTGGACTGTGTGGCTTTGGAACATCTGGCTGGATACGTCCCCCTTTGCTGGTATTCTCTTACAAAATTTTCTTGGCTGGTCACATATGTTTATTCTTTCAAATGAATTTTAGAATTGTTTTGTCGGGTAGAAAAATCCCTCGTGAATTTGATTGATAGTAAATTAAACTTAGAAACTAATTAAAGGAGGAATTGACATAATTTACAGTATTCATCAGGAACATAGTATATTTTTTCAGCTTATTTCATTCTGCTTTGATGTTGTACCATGAAGTATTATATATACATATTTTTATACAGGTCATCCATTTTTAAAAATCAGGATTATTTCAAGGATTTTTTTTCTTTTTGCCATTGCTCATTGAATACTTTCCATCTATTGGTACACAGGAAGGCTACTGATTTTTATAGAACTATCTTTTATCAAGCAGCTTGATTGAACTCATTAATTCTAATATATCTTTGTGGAGTCCCTTGGGTTTTCTAGGTATACAGTTGCACTCTGTAAACACTGATAATTTTGGATCCTCATCTCCAATCTGCACCGTCTGGAACCTTCAGAGCGATGTTAAGTCACAGCCGTGGCTACACGCATCCTCATCTGTGCCTGGCTTTAACGGCAACGCCCCCGGTATTTCTCTGCTTAATACAGCGCTTGCTGTGGATTAAGATGGATTTCATGTGAAGGCAATATCCTCTGAATTCTCGTTTTCTAAGATCCCATTTTTATCAGTAAAGGAGCTGAAATCAAGATAAAATGTGTCTTAACTCTTAACGCTCCCTTCTCTCACCTCCAAAAGCCAGAGGTGTTGCGATTCCGGGGTGTTTGTGTTCTCAGCCTCGGCCTCAGCTGTCCACTTTGCTGGGCCAGGAATGAAACCCAGTCCCCATTTACGCACCATGGGAAGCCCTCGTAGGGAGGGGCAGCCTTCCTGCAGAAGGTGGGGGAGCCAGCACCTCCCGGCCACGCGGGTGACTTCTGGAAGAACAGGACCCTGTTCTTGGAAAGCCCTTTGGGCCATGTGTGGGGGCATTTCCACTTTCATCTGTGGGTTCTTTCTTCCCTCCCAGTGGCGTCTCCCTCCCTCTGTCCAGTTTCTCTGGAGCAATCCCTCCATTCTCCTCCTGTGTCTTAACAGCGGACTTTGCCCGCTGCTCTGAGGTGGTGGCACTGTCTGCAGAGTCTCCTGCTCTTCCAGTCCCACTGTTATCTGTTATCCCATGTGCTTCTAGAAGGTGTTTTTCCAAGCAAAGACATTTCCCTCCTTAGAAGAAATCTGTAGGCGGGGCACAGTGGCTCACGCCTGTGTAACTTGAGGAGGCTGAGGCGGGCAGATCACTTGAGGTCAGGTGTTTGAGACCAGCCTGGCCAATATGGTGAAACCCCATCTCCATTAAAAATACAAAAATTAGCTGGGCATGGTGGCACACGCCTGTAGTCCCAGCTACTTGGGAGGCTGAGGCAGGAGAATCTCTTGAACCCAGGAGGCGGAGCTTGCAGTGAGCTGAAATTGCGCCACTGCACTCCAGCCAAGCAGCAGAGTGAGACTCTGTCTAAAAAAAAAAAAAAAAAAAAAAACAGAAAAAAACCAAATCTGTGGCTTGTCTTGCAGAAGAGCATTTCCATTGTGTGATCTCTCTGCCTGCCCACTGATGGGCATGGGATTTGAGGAGCTTTGCACAGCATCTGTACATAGGCCCCATCCTGAGAGATTCTGCTTTATCAGACCTGCGTGAGCCCTGGGGTCTGTACTTTTCAAAAGCTACACAGGAGAGTCTTTTGTACAGCATGACGGGTGCTCACTAGCGAGGGCTGTGGGGAGTGGGGGCTCACAGACCAGACTTGGGGCCTGGCTCTTCTCTTGCTGGCCTGTGACCCTCCATTTTCCCAGTTAAGACACCACCTGCCTCACAAGGTGTGTGTCAGTGAGGGAGCAGAGGGGGATGAGGCTGGCTGGCCTCAGTCAAAGGGAATTCCATGGGGGGCTTGAGGTGGAAGGAAGCGATGGCCAGTGGGCATGGCCCGGCTTGGGATGCGGGAAGCTGCCACAGCGGTGTCGGCTCCTGGCCCTCTGCTCTCGGGTCTCTCACCTGGAAATTCAGAGCCCCGGCAGAAGGAAGGCAGCCGCCGTCGCATGGCTATCCCCAAGGCCACACAGTAGGGAGGGGTCCTCACAGGCAAGCGGGCAGGATAAGGGGGTGAGGGCTCCCAGGGCAGTAGCTGGCCTTTGCTGCAGGGCTGTCCACACTTGGCGGCCACCTGGAGCTCCATGGGCGTTGAGCACTGATCCTGCAGACCTGATCAGGGCAAGGTGGGGGCAGTGGTAGGCATCCTCCTTGGTGCTCCTCAGTGCCCTCCCAGGCAGGTGCCCAGGCCCTGGGAGGCTCCTGGTCTCCTCTCCTTCCCTTCCTTCCCCTCCCTTCCTCTCTGCACTCCTCCCTCCCTTCCTCTCCCATCCCCTCCCTCCCTCCCCTCTGCCCTCCCCTCTCTGCACGATGGCTGGCCACTGGCCACTGATCCCAGCACACTGGCCCTGAGCTGAGGTCTGGGCTTCTGGGGCAATGCAGGTTGGGTCACAGACTGAGGTACTGTCTGAGACCCTGTGATAGTGGGAAATTATAAATGTATGTTTGTTCTTCATCTCTGGTTCCTGCCTCAGAGCTCCTAAAACCTTTGTAATTTCCTGAGTGTTAAGGGTGATAGAAACACCTTTTATTATCAGATTTGGTCTGAGTCCCCTTGTTCCTGATATAAGAGTTTCTGGATTGTTGGGTTGAGAATTCAGCCTCACTTCCCCAACCTCTGGGGATGGGAGTCATGGAACTTCCATGAAAACCCCTAAATGACAAGGTTTGGAGAGCTTTGGGTTGGTGAACAGGTGGAGGTTCTGGGAGGGTGAGTGCCCAGAGAGGGCGTGGAGGCTCTGCAGCCCTTCCCGTTACCTTGCCCTGCCCATCCCTCCCATGCAGCTGTTCCTGGGTTGTGTCTTTAATAATCAACTGGAAATAGTAAGTAAAATGCCTCCCTGAGTTCTGTGATCTGTTCTATTAATGAACACATGTCTGTCTGATTCCAAGGTCACAGTTACTTTTGCACCAACCTAATAGCAAATTACAGAACCTGAGGAGGGAGTTGTGGGACCCGCCCAATTTATAGCCGCCTGGTCAGAGGCACAGGTGGAAAGCTGGAACTTGCCACCGCAAGTGGGGCTGCTGTGTGGGACTGAGGCCTTAACCTGAGGGCTAAGCTGACCCCAGGTAGTTGGCATGAGCATTGCACTCAACTGTGGGGCACCCAGCTAGCGTCTGGAGGTTGGAGAACTGGTTGGTGTGAGGGAAACCACATGTTTGGTGTCAGAAGCATTGTGAGTGAAAACAGATCCCAGTGGACCTCACCCAGCCTGGGGGCTCTGATAGAACAAGGGGAGGTCCCAGACCAGGGCTCAGCCCTGCCGACAGGGAGAAGGCCTGAGTTTCCAGAACAGCCCTAAATGCAGCTGCAGAGACAACTGTCATAGGACGGTTGTGCTGGGTCCTGGTGCTGGGAGCCCCTCCCTCCCTTCCCCCTCCTCTCCCTCCCTTCCCCCTCCTCTCCCTCCCTTCCCCCTCCTCTCCCTCCCTTCCCCCTCCTCTCCCTCCCTTCCCCCTCCTCTCCCTCCCTTCCCCCTCCTCTCCCTCCCTTCCCCCTCCTCTCCCTCCCTTCCCCCTCCTCTCCCTCCCTTCCCCCTCCTCTCCCTCCCTTCCCCCTCCTCTCCCTCCCTTCCCCCTCCTCTCCCTCCAGCTTCTCCTCCCCTTCCCTCCTCTCTCTTCCCCCTTCTTTTCTCATTCCTCTTTTTCCCACTCCCCTCCCTTCTCTTCTCCCTCATCTCCCCTTTTTCCCTTTTCTCTCCATTCTCCCTTTATGTCCTCTCCCCTCCCTGCCCCTTCTGTCCTCTCCCCGTTCCCACCTTTCTTTCCCAGAGTCTTTCATCAGCCAGGACTCCTGGGGACCCTTCCTGGCTGGGGGCCCTTCGTCGTCAGCTGCACTCTGCACCTGTACCTTCCTGGTACATTCTGGGAACCAACAACGAGCCATCCCAATGTGCTGGGAGGAAATCAGGGCACAGCGATGGGGATGACCCACCCCAGGTCCCACAGAGCCCAGAGCCAGCTCCTTTCACTGCAGCTGGAGCACCAGATGAAATCTGTACCTCCTCAGAGGTACAGATAACTCCCCACCTGTACAAGCAGGGTGAATTGCTGAAAAGGGGAATTCATGTCTCCTCTCCTTGGCCTGCTACTGAGTTCTTGGTGCATTTTCTAGCAAACAAGGTCAAGGCTGAGTCCCTGCCCTGCCAGAGCATCCTCCACCTCAGATAGGGCGGCTTGGCCTTTGGGCTGTCTTTCCTGTTGGGGTGCCCAGGCTGTCACGGGCTGTGTCCTCACTGGGGAGGGTGGCCCGATGAGCAGGGCTGCTGGGAAGGTTGTGCAGGTGGTGTGCTGGGCAAGGTGGCCAATGAGGCCAGCCTTTGCTCCGTCTGGGAGTGAATGGAGTGGAGGTTGGAGGGTGCGCAGCGCTGGGTGGAGATCACGGGCACTGGGGGAGGGGAAATGTGTGCCAGGTGTCTGCCTCCACAGTCAGGTTGCCAGAGTTGCTGCGTTCTTCTCTTTGCAGAGCTTCTGCATTCTCGGGACTAGGGACATTAAAAACCAAAGCCGGGGCAGTTGCAGGGAGGCTGCTGGACATTGCAGGTGGCCCTGATTGGGGCAGTCTCAGCTGTGGTGACTACGCTGTGGCCTTTGGGGCCAGGGATGGCTGGTCCAGGACTGGGCATGGTATGGGGTGGGTAGATGTAGGCCGTCTCTGTCTTGGTGTCAGCCTGTCCTGATAGACTCTGGGGGCTCAGAGTCCTCACAGCCTTCCCCCAACCTGCCTGCAGGTGCCCACCTGGCTCCCCAAGGCCTGCAGGAGTCCGCTGGGGCTGGGCTGGCCTGGGACCCTTGGTGGGAGTCAGGCAATCGTGTTATTGTTGAAACTTGTTTCCTTTTTTTTTTTTTTTTTTTGAGACGGAGTCTCGCTCTGTCGCCCAGGCCGGACTGCGGACTGCAGTGGCGCAATCTCGGCTCACTGCAAGCTCCGCTTCCCGGGTTCACGCCATTCTCCTGCCTCAGCCTCCCGAGTAGCTGGGACTACAGGCGCCCGCCACCGCGCCCGGCTAATTTTTTGTATTTTTAGTAGAGACGGGGTTTCACCTTGTTAGCCAGGATGGTCTCGATCTCCTGACCTCATGATCCACCCGCCTCGGCCTCCCAAAGTGCTGGGATTACAGGCGTGAGCCACCACGCCCGGCCTGAAACTTGTTTCTTTAATGGCTGGTGGTTACGGCCCCCAACTTTCCTCCTCTGAAGCTGATTGGTTCTCCCTGGGGCTAGTCATTAACCCTCTGCTAGCTTGGGTGGGTTTATATTTGCAGAGCTTCCTTTTTTATTCTGCCGGGCTGGTGTTTTGTTTCTTCGGTCAGCTCTGTCAGCCTCTCTAGTTGCTTTCTTCTGGTTACTCAGCCTGTAGAAAAGTATCAGCCTTTCAAAGAAATACTCCATTATATGTTTTGCTTTTTTCCTGACTTGATTTTTAAATATATAACTCCTTTAATTCAAGTGAAATGTGTTTCTTATACTGTATAAGGTGTTGGTTTTAAGTGTTCATTTTTTTCTAAATTGCCATGCTGTTGTCTCAACACCATTCGTTTGCTAATTCACTCTTTCTTCTTGACTTTGGAATGTATATTCCATCATCTGTGAAGTTCATGGAGGATATGGGGTTTATTTCTGGCCTTTCTGGGTTTTGTTTTGTTTTTTTTTTTTTTTTTGAGACGGAGTCTCACTCTGTTGCCCAGGCTGGAGCGCAGTGGCACTATCTCGGCTCACTGCAAGCTCTGCCTCCTGGGTTCACGCCATTCTCCTGCTTCAGCCTCAAGAGTAGCTGGGACTACAGGCGCCCGCCACCACACCCGGCTAATTTTTTGTATTTTTAGTAGAGACGGGGTTTCACCGTGTTAGCCAGGATGGTCTCCATCTCCTGACCTCGTGATCCGCCCTCCTTGGCCTCCCAAAGTGCTGGGATTGCAGGCATGAGCCACTGTGCCTGGCCTTTTCTGTTTTTCTTTTGCACCAGTCCAGGGGTCTTTAATTGCTGTTGGTTGACAATATGTTCTGACATCTGATAGGGCAAGTATCACCATCGTGAGGTTTTAAAAAAATGCCTAAAGTAGTGTCCCCTTTGCAGAAGGCCCTCAGCAAATCTTTGCTGAACAAATGAACGACATCTTCATGATGTTTAATTTTCTCACGGAAATAAGAAGATTGATTCAGATGTTTAAAAACATAGCCCAGTAGGTTTATTACTAAGAGACTTAGAATGTTATTGCCATTGTCAATAGGGTCTTTTCCATTATATTTTACACCAGATTGTTATCTGGGAACACTTTTAATTTATAATACAGTAGGTGATTATTTACTCAGAATACCTGGGACCTGCTTCTTTCAGACTAATGATATTCTCAGAATTTAGACATCTTTATTCCCAGGGAGAAAACAGAGTTAAAAATGACACATTAGTGCAAATCATACATGCATGTGCAGAGCTGCCACGAACCACTTGATACCCATGGTTGACCTGGCAAGCCCAAGCCCCAGCATTGCTGTCCTCAAGGCGCGCCCTTCCTGGCAACAGCCCCTGCTTCAGATCCTTTGCTCCCAATGACCTGCATCTTCCCATGTCTTAGCAAAGCAGTCTCTCTGTTACTAGAATGGCACAAATATGAACCACAGATAATCACAAAAAGTCCTTCTGAAATAAATCTCTTGCCGGGTGCGGTGGCTCACGCCTGCAATCCCAGCACTTTGGGAGGCCGAGGCGGGTGGATCACGAGGTCAGGAAATCGAGACCATCCTGGCTAACACGGTGAAACCCCGTCTCTACTAAAAATACAAAAAATTAGCCGGGCGTGGTGGTGCGCGCCTGTAGTCCCAGCTACTCGGGAGGCTGAGGCAGGAGAATGGCGTGAACCCGGGAGGCGGAGCCTGCAGTGAGCTCAGATCGCTTGCACCACTGCACTCCAGCCTGGGCGACAGAGCGAGACTCTGTCTCAAAAAACAAAACAAAACAAACCTAAATCTCTCGCTTGGATGTTTCCCATGTTTGCGTTCCCAGATATATGAGTTTCTCTATTTATTTTGCATCTAGACTTTTTATGAACTTCCTTGTTATTATTTGGTTCCTTTTTTTGGATGTTTTTGGGGGTGAGGATTCTCTACGTGTGCAGTTACTTTCTGCAGTTCATAATATTGTCTCTTCTTTTTCAACATGTTTTCGTTTTATGTCTTTAGTAATTTTGTGTGGGAGCTACAACCATGCCTTCAGAGCATCTAGCCCCGCTTCTAAGGGAATTGAGAACCAGGTGCTGCTTCTTCTGTGAATGCTGGTGGTGGTAGACCCAAAGTGGACAAACCTTGGCCTGAATGGATCTCCCAGGCCCATTTCCCCACGGTGGCACGGCTTTCCTTTCCCTGCTCTCTTGCATCAAGTAGAGCTTCGAACGCAGGATGTGCCCATGTTGTGGTTTTATGGGGATGAGTGGCGGCGGTTGACCTTCCCTTTCAGTCAAGGAGGCTCTCTCAGTCCCTCGTGGTCTGTTAGGTGTCCCCTGTGGTTGGGGAGCAGTGCACCGGGCATGCACAGGGTTGTTTGCAGGCTGGCAGGAAAACTGCGGTCTTTGAAAGATGCCCTGAGTTTCTACGGGGGATGTGGTTCAGTGAGACACTTTCAGGAGAAGGCTGGCGAGTAGATTCGGTGGTACAACCTGGAGACTCTATGAATGTGGACTGAGGAGCCCTGTTTTGAGTCCCTGCCTTACCCTTCACAATGAGATAATTTTCTGCACTTCAGGGTTCCCATTGTGCAGGGCGGAGTTTGCACACTGGTGGGCCACGGGCCATGTCCACCCACAGATGAGTTTTGTTTGGCTTTTCCAGTGTTTGAAAATTTCTCACAAAGCTCAAGATTTCCAGTTTCTCTTGAGAACCAGGAAATCTGCCGGGCCTATGTGCTGGAGGGCTAGAGCTGAGCAAGGATGGAACCCTCTAGAAGGGTCCCACAGTTCCAGGTGCCTTGGGAGTCTCTGCTGCTCCCTATCATTACCCTGGCGGGCTTCACGCGCATTCACTCCCTGTGTAGGCACCTGAGAGTTTCTCTTATTTTGAGATGAGTGCTGCATGGGCTTTGGAACGGTCATTTCTTCCTCCCCTCTCTCTCCCTCTCCCTCTCCCTCTCCTTCCCATGACTTCAGTTTTTGGCCATCAGCCCCTGCAAGGTCCCGTGCGCTGGAGTCAGACGCGATCTCGCTCCAACACGTGGGCTTGGTTTTCTGCTCCCTCCCTCCCTGGGCGAGCGAGCCTCCTGTTTCTCATCTGTGAAAGGTAAAAGCTGATGACGGTAACTACTCTGGTGGGTTATGATGAGGATTAAATGAAGCGAGGGCCAGCACTGAGCAGCGAAGGGCCTGTTACTACAAGATCATATTTTCCTGATGGCGCTGCTAGGAGGGACCACAGTGTGAAAGCGCTTGGACACACGGAGCCAGGTGCAGATTTTGTCCCTTTTGAGAGCTCTGTGGGCGGGGCTTGGGCGGGCATGGGAGTGGGGGGCGGGGCCGGGGGCGGGGCACAGGCCGGGGTAGGATGCTCTCCCTGCCCCAGGCATCACCGGCCTGGGATGTGTTGCCAGTGGAGGCCGTTACTGTTCTGAAATGGAATTCCTGGGTCAGAATAAGAACAGATGTTTACTGGAAGAGGCCAGGAGCCGCTGACATCACCGAGAGCCCCTCAGGACATGGCTGAGGCCAAGGGTCCTCTAGCTCTTCCCGCCAATACAGCATTCCTGGGGCAGCTGCCCGGCTGGGGGTGGACACACACACACACACACACACACACACACGCACACACAAACGCCATTTCTCCACCAAATCCTTCCCACCTGAAAACAATTAGTCAAGATGCGGAAAAGATTTCCAGTCTGGAATGGGAGAAGAGTCTCGTGGCGGGCAGGCCCCAAGAAGGGAAATGGAGGTCAGTGTGGCGAGGGGATGTGCAGGACGGAGAGGCAGCCTTTGTTGGGGGAGCGCTCTGATCCCTTCCTCCGCACCCCTCAGCTGGGAGGACTTGGCCGCCTGGCCGTTCTCCTTTGGGAGTGAATCCGGAGGGTGTGGCCCAGAGGCGGCTGGCCTCGCTCCTGTCCTCCCATCCACACCTGTGCAGCTGGTGCCTGTGCCCCTGTCCCTCCCACAGGCCATCCCCAGGTCCACACTCCTGTGACTGCAAGTGACAGAAAACCGGGGCAGAAGCGGCTGGGGCCAAAGGGGGAATGCGGGGCTCAGGGCGGCAGCCCAGGCCTCCCGCACGGTTTCAGCTCAGCCGCCCTCCCCGTGGGTCCTGCCTGGGCAGTGCACCAGCCGCCCGGCAGAGAGAGGCCCAGGTTCCCCGAGGGTTTCTGGGAGAGCCCAGTGGTGAGTTCTCACTGGCTCAGGTTGGGTCACATGCTTCAGGCAAATCACTATGGCCAGGACAGCGGAGCAGGACTTCGGCTGGCCAGGCCTCGTCACAGGACTGCTGTGGCTCCAGGGCTGGCGTCTGTCCTCTGACCCTCTGGGAGTGGGTCGGGGAGAGGATGGGCCCCAGAGGAAAGCCAGGCTGATGTGTCAGGAGGAGCTATGGGTCCCCATTGCCTTCTGTCTCCAGGACATCTGCCCTGTCTTCTCCCTGCCCCCGTTTCTCCCACTCCCTTCCAGCTGCCCATGATAAGCACGCGGTCTCCCTTCCGTGCCCCACCCGAAATGCTCCCCATGGCTCCTCCACTTTGAGGGTAAAGCACAGGCCCCCAGAACCAGCATTCAAGGCCCCTCCTGACCATCATCATTTCCTGCTTGCTCTACCCACCATGTCCACCTTCCCGTTCATCCTGTGGGCCTGGGACAGGAGCTCCGAAAGATCACACACACCCATCAACTGTCAACTCTGCCCACGTTGGAAACAGTGCCTGTGGCAGGTGCAGGAGGGGACCATTTGTCTTGGCTGAAGTTGAATCTGAAAATGACCTAAGGACTTGAAGGAACCAGGGCCTAGTGTGTGTCGGGGTGTGATCGGGTGGCTGAAGAAGCTGAGACTCCTTGGGCCTCATGGGCTTTGCATTAGCAGAGCAGACAGTGGGGGGGTCCCTGAGGACCTCTGGGCTTTTGCCTGAATGCTGGGAACCCCATAGGCCTGGCCAACTTCTCATCACCCCTCTTCCAGCAAACCTTCCTGTCTTCTGTCCTGGTAGTTAGCACAGCTGTTCCATGTCGTGAACCCTCCTGCCAGCCTGGTGAGGCCCATGGACCCCTGATCAAAATAATGTGTTTAGTGTACACTACAAAATACAAAGGAAATAAATCTGATTGAAATAAAGCTATCGGCCAGGCATGGTGCCTCACGCCTATAATCCCAGCACTTTGGGAGGCCAAGGCAGGAGGATGGCCTGAGCTCAGGAGTTTGAGACCACCCTGGGCAACATGGTGAAACCCTGCCTCTACTAAAATACAAGGAACTAGCCGGGCGTGGTGGCGGGCATCTGTAGTTCCAACTATTCAGGAGGCTGAGGCACGAGAATTGTTTGAACCCTGGAGGTGGAGGTTGCAGTGAGCTGAGATCGCACCACTGCACTCCAGTTGGGGCTATAGAGTGAGACTCTGTCTCAAAAAAAAAAAAAAAGAGAAAAATAAAGCTATCAACATACACATGCTTTTAAAATTTTTAATCATTATTATACCTTACACATTTTTGATAATAATGTTATTGAGACATAATTCACATACTATGTATTTTACCAACTTATAACGTAAAATTCAATGAATGGCTTTAGTATGTTCACAGAATGGTGCAACCATCACCACAATTTTAGATCATGTTCAAGACTCTGAAAAGAAACCCCAGACCCTTTAGTAACCCCCAATTACCCCGTCCTCCCAGGCCTAGGCAACCACTGACCTACCTTCTGCCTGTATAGATTTGCCTGTTCTGGGCATTTCATTAGTATAAATGAATCACACAATATTTGCCCTTTGTGTCTGGCTTCTTTCACTCAGCATAATGTTTTCAAGGTTCATCTAGGTTGCAGCATGCATCAGAGCTTCATTACTTTGGATGGAAAGATATGATTCCATTGCATGGATGTACCACAGTTTTTTAAATCCACTCATGGGTTGATGGATTGGGTTGTTTCCACCCTTTAGCTCTTGTGAATAATGCTGCCAGGAACATTCATGTAAAACTTTTTTGTGTGCTTTTAATTGATGCATTAAATAATAAGACCTAGGAGTGCATCTTACAGCCTCTATAATTTAAGTTGTGCTGAGTGTAAACACCATTTGGTCTGGTCTGCAGCAGCGGTGCTGACAGTTGCCGAAGCCTGTGATTTCTGCCCTGACGGGCGCAGGTGCTGTTAAGTCTGGGGTTGCTGCCTCTCTCCAGAGTTGAAGGGAATGGCAGCTTTCAGTTCCCAGTTAGTAAAGATGAAGTTGAAGTGTTCTCTTTTCCCAGTTTATGGAGCCCAGGTTAAGAACTCTCCAGGGAGCTCCCACAGGGCAGTGACAGGTCCCAACGGCCCCTGGCAAGTGCTGTGGCCTGTGGCAGGACCAGGTGTCCAGATCAAGCTGGCGGCTGTTCTGCCTGCCCTCAGCCATGCTGACACCTGCCACGAAGCCTGGTGTCTGCTTCTTTCTCCTCCCCAAAGTATTCTCTCTGTCCTTAGCTTGGGAGTCCTACAGCTGGAGGGTGGGGGGCCCAGGCCCTCCTGGACTGCTGCCCCTGGGGCCCCATTGTCTTTCCTTCTGCCAGGCCATTTCCCTTCGCAGCTATTTAGAAGGGAAGGCAGCCAAAGGCCTGTCAGAAGGGGGACCACGGATGGATTTTCCATCAGATGTGCAGACCTGCTCCCTGACACTGGCTGGCTCGGTGCCTGCCTCTCGAGGGCACCAGGCCTCTGTCACTTCCTGTGCAGCCCCTGCCAGCCATGAGACAGGTGAGGGCTCCTTGGTTTTGTGGAGACTGTCAGTCTTGGCTCTGGAGTGGCCTCAGTCCTAGGCAGCTCAAGTTCTGCCTCCCGCCAGTCCTGTCTGCAGGCAGGATCCAGTCCTCACGCACCCATGCTGGGCACGGCCCTGCTTCCACACCGTGCTCAGGAGGAGAGCGTCCACTCCCAGGAGAGGACTTGCCAGGCACCTCTCCTTAGGGACACCTGCAGTTAGGGGTCTGGCGCCAGCTTGTGTGTGAGAGATTAACTCCCCCTGGTACCGTCAGGCCCCGAGTGAGGGAGCCGCAGCCCAGAGAGGCCTCTTTCTGTCCAGTTTGCATCGCCACATTTGGGTTTCTGTCCCGCCTGGCCTGGGCCCCACCTGCCTGCGGAGCTGCCGAGGCCCTCGTCTAGTGCCCTCCCAGAGGGGCCTTCAGTCCTGGTTCTTATATTACAGAGGCAGCCAGAGGCTTCCCTGACTCTGTGGCTGGCGCAGCCTTGACAAGTCATCTGGAATTGGCTCACGGCCTCCTCGCGTCTCCCGGTGTCTGATGTGGCAATGAAGCTCTATTTCAGGGCCTGCGGGAGGACCCAGCGTGGCTCAGGGTTTGTCCTCAAGGGAGGGCGTGGATCAGAGCCTGTAGTGCGGACCTGGGTGGGGGAGGGAGAACTGGACCCTGCACTCCCTCCTGTGTGACCATGGGCGGGTTATTTCACTTCTCTGCACTTTCAGAGTCTCCACCTTGAGATGGCCCCGTGAGGACTGATTCAAAGAAGGCACGGGCCGTGGGTGCATCCTCTGCTCCTCTCCCCACCTGCGCTGGGTCCCATCAGATTTTGGCATTCCCAGCACCGGCAGTCCTGGGGTGACTCACGATGGCTGGCAACTTTTTGTCCTGTCTTTAAGTTAAAAACTGTCGTATGTGCCTTCATATAAAACAGAATGCAGAAATAAGCCAAAAGGAGAAAATGGAAATCCCTGCAGTGCCATTAGCTTTCAACATTTTTGTGTGTCTCCCACGTCCATGCACATATGTGTAAACATACTTAATGACAAAAGGGTCGTATTGTACCTTCCCTTTGTGATCTGCCTCTGCCCATGCCACATATAATGGAAATATTTCTGGATCATCCAGTGTTCTGCCGGAACATCTTTCAATAGAGGCAGCATAATCTACTCAGGAAACATGGAGAGGCCGGGATCTCCAGGCACTTGGGTCTGTGGGCCTGGGGGCTGAGGGAGAGGCTGAGGAAAAGCACTCCCCAGCTTTTGACTTGCACAGATGGGTGGTAGAGAGGAAGGGTAGCTTGGAGAGAGGGTTTGTCACTGGGGCTGTCTCTTGGAAGGAGTCTGGCAGCTGGAAATGCAGGTCCTAGGTGCAGGGGCAAGGTCTGGGTAGAATTCGGGTTGGGAGCGCTCTGTATGGAGGGCTGTGGATTCCACATCCTAGGGTGGGTGGGCGGGCACCAAAGGAAGAGGGAGGCAGAAGGGGAAGGAAGTGCTCCTTGGCCCCCCACCATGTGCAGACAAGTGGAGGAGGCAGTGGAGTCTTAGGAGCGGGGCTGCCCACCTGCTAAAGGATGAGAGAGGTTCAAGAGGAGGGGGTTCAGGGAATTGGGATGGCAGGGGGCATCAGGCCCAGCAGCCAAGAGGGGGCTTTGCAGGGTCGCTGGGGAGTTGGTGGAAGCTAGACTGACCAGGTGAGGGGCCAGTGAGAGGCAAGGGAGTGGAGGGAAGCTGGTGCGCATGGCACACATGCTGCGGTGGGGCAGACATCAGCTGCGGAGGGTGTGCAGTCTTAGATGTGAGTGCAGTGTTTACGTGTGCGCTTGTGTAGATGTGTGTGTGGCCCTGCCTCGAGCACAGAGGATTTTAGGTGGCTTGAGTTTGCTCAGGGACCGAGGATGAGGATCCGGGAGATGGAGAGTTTGAAGCTATAGAAGAGAGAGTGTATTAGTCAGGTGTTATTCCTCAAGTGTTGGAAATCCAAGTAAAAGTGGCTTCAGAAAAAAGAAAAAAAAACTTATTGGTTAATCTGCAAAAAGAAAAATATCTAGAACTATCTAGCTTCAGGTGTGGCTGGATCCAGGTGCCCAAATAAATTTTCAGTTGTTTTTTTTCCCACATCCCCAACCCTTGGCTTTGCTCTCCTCTGTGTCGATTTCACTCTCAGGCCTGCTCTTCTCTGAGGCAGAAAAATGGATGCAGGCAGCTGCTGCATTACCTCCTCACAGGGCAACAACCCGGGGGAAACAGCTTTTCCTTTCCAACAATTCCAGCAATAGTTCCTGGATTTAACTTCATGGAATACCTTGTGGCAAGTCCTCATCCCTGAGCTATGTTCATGTAGTCAGATGACAACGTATTCTACCTGGCCTAGGCTGGGTCATGTGCCCTCCTTGCCCACTGGTGACGCAGGGATGAGAGCTGGTTCCTGAGTGACACAGGGGCTGTGCTATCAGAAGGAGAAGGGTGGGCCAGGAACAGTGGCTCATGCCTGTAATCCCAGCACTTTGGGAGGCTGAGGTGGACGGATCACAAGGTCAGGAGATTGAGACCATCCTGGCTAAAATGGTGAAACCTCGTCTCTACTAAAAATACAAAAAAAAAAAAAAAAATTAGCCAGGCGTAGTGGTGGACACCTGTAGTCTCAGCTACTCAGGAGGCTGAGGCAGGAAAATGGTGTGAACCCAGGAGGTGGAGCTCGCAGTGAGTCAAGATCGTGCCACTGCACTCCAGCCTGAGTGACAGAGCGAGACTCCGTCTCAAAAAAAACCCAAAAAAATGGAGGAGGGTGGACTCCAGGCAGGCTTAGGGTTCCCAAGGAAGTGGCTGGGGCCAGGATTGGGAGACCTGGAAGGCTGGAGGAGGGAGCTGCTGCCCAGGAGCACAGCAGGAGAGAGAAGGACACGAGGCAGACATGGAGCGGGAGGGAATTTCCTCCGTGGCCTCCCTTCCCTCACCAGGCAGGGCAGGGACAGTGAGGCTGCTGACCAGCCTCTACAGCTCTCCTGGGAGTCGGCTGGCTCTGCAAGGCAAACAGAAGGCTGGGGAGGTTGACTGATCACCGGCTGCTCCAGGAGCCGTCAGGCTGGGCAGCAGGAGTGGCCTGAATGCAGAGAAGCAAGCCTTGAGATCAGGCAGGGCAGTCTTCCTACATTAGGAGTCTGGGACCAGGCATTCTGTGGGCCAGGCCGGAGATGTGGCAGGCTGGGTGTGAACGTGCTGACCAGTGGGGACCTGGGTTTGGGTGCTGGGGAGCCAGGCGTAATGACTGCGGGGGCTGGTGAAGGCTGAGTCCAGTCTGCACGCATGCTTCCTGTGGTTTCTGGGTGAAAAGAGGGTCACAGCTTTTTGCCTCAACAGAGGGGAGAGGCTTCTATTCTACTGGTTGAGTGTGGATGGGGAGGGCTGGGAGGGGTAGGATGAGGTGGTAGAGACATACAATAAGCAAAAGGCCAAATAAACACCTTCTCAGGTAGTGGCAGGAACTGGGAAAGTAAGCAAGCAGGCAGTGAGGCTGGGAGCAGCAGGAGGGTGTGAGTGAGTGCATGTGTGTGGCTGATGTGTGAGCACGTCAGTGATGCATGTGTGCAAATGTGAGGCATGTGTGAGTGCATGAGTGTCATGCATGTGTGCACATGTGTGGGCGTGTGCATGTATAATGCATGTGCTTGATGCATGCATGTGTGCACTGCATGCCTGTACATATGATACCTGCATATGATACACATGTATGACCGATGCACATGTGTATGTGTGGGTAATGTCTGCCATGCACATGCATGGGGCATTTTTCTGGTGCATGTGTGTACTTGTGTGTAGTGCACATGTGTGGACATGTGTATGTGATGCATGTGTCACAGGAGATGCACATATGAGTGATGTGTGTGTGCATGCGTCTGCATGGTGCCTGTGTGACGCCTGCGTGTGAGTGCACACGTGGTGCATGTGATGCGTATGGACATTTGTATGTGGGTGCATGCATGCTGCATGTGGGAGTGCATGAGTGCACATGCATGTGTGTGGGGGCCTGTGTGTTGAGGGAATAGCTGTTGGGAACCCTCAGTCATAACAGGGCTGTGTGAAATCTTCAGCTGGAGGAAGACAGGAGAGAAATAGCGTGCAGCTGTGTTCCTAATGGCACACACGCCCCTTGCCCAGAGTGCATGGTGGAAGAGGGCTTTCTGGCCCAGGGACCAGCTCTCTTTGTGGCCCAGGCCTGCTGCTTTTGGGCTGGGGTCTGACCTTCCTGGAAGACCCTTCGGGGCCCCGCCTCTCAGAGGCCAGGCCCCAACGTCTCAACGCTCAAACAGCGACATCAGTGTTTCCCCCAGGGGAGTCATCCTGGGGAGGCTCAGCTCCATCCTGAGCCGAGGGGGCCTTGGCATTGCCCCACCTGCCCTGGTCTGAGAAGGAGCTGTCCTCTGCCTCTCTGTGGTCTCATGGGGACAAATGCCAGCCACTGGACAGTGGCCCTTGTCGTCTTCTAACTGTCAAGATTCCAAAAAGACGGAGGCGAGGGGTGTGCGGGAGCACCCTCTGCGTGTGCTTGGCTTCTTCCCCACCAGCCTTCTTGTGAGAGGGCTAGAAGCAGCTGTCCCACTTTGCAGTGGGCCCTGTCCCTCCTGGCAGGGCAGCTGTGGCCGTCCCTGGCTGTCCCCGCCCCGCCCGGCATCTCCTTCTCTCCCCATCCCCTGTCTAGCTGGCCCCGCCTCTCCTCCCTGTCTTGCTTTAGTCTCATGCCTTTTTAATGAGGGCTCAGCCTCCTGTGTGCTGAGGCTCAGCGGCAGCGCATTTAATTAATACTCTCGCATCGCAGTTCTTCAGAGTAAATGCTGCCATTTTATTCCTCACTAATTGGAAGGGGCTAGTTAAGCTCTGAGATAAATGACCCTTTCTGCTGGGAGTGTCTCAGCTCAGAGTCTCCATGAGAGTGGCTGGAGCCTTGGATGGGAAGGGCAGGAGGGCTGGCCTGCTGTGTTCCTCCTGGTCCAAGGGGGGCCTCTTTGCTAATGGCCAGGGTAGAGACGTGGCCAGGGTGAAGCCTGCCTGACCTTTGGGGAGGACGTGCAGGTGGAGGCTCTGCTGACCAGCAGGGCTTCAGATTCATCACTGCCCGTTCCTCATGTCCCGGCTCCACCCCAGCCCTGGATGAGCCCCAGGGACCCCAGGGAACCTTCAGTCTGGGTTTCCAGAACCTTTCCCTGGCCCAGTCTACACCTGCCTCCCTCCCTCACTGTGGACCAGCCCCACCTCTACCCTCCATCCTGTACGTCTGCTCCACTCTCCCCAGCTGGCGATGAGTCTGGCCAGGGAGTCTCAGCTGGTGCTGGCACGCTAACCTCCCCTAGACGCGTGCTGAAATGTACACGTGTGTGTGTGGGTGATGTATGCGATGCACATGTGGGGGCGTTTGTGTGGGGCATGTGTCCCTCAGCACACATATGCTCTGTGCCCGCTGGCCATCCGGGGGACATAGATTACACCAACACTGCAGTGCTGCTGGCCACCCATGGTCTGGGCAGCAGGAAGAGGTGCAGGAGTCCCCACACAGTGTCGCTGGGATGGCCTCTGGGTCCGTGCTTATAGAAGTCTCATGAGTGCACCCTCCGCCCACCTGCTCGCATCTCTCTCCCTCCACGAGGAACTGTGCTGTGGCCTCCTGGGTCTTCAAGCTCCTTTCCTGTTGTGTTGGTGACAGGAATCGGGGTCAGAAGGGCAGCGTCCGAGCAGGCTTGGATGAGATGTGTGATATTGTGTTACCATATCAGCGACTCTGCTAGCTGAGTCCATCTTCAGGGACAAGGATAGCTGTAGCCAGACCTACGCATGGATTTATGAGGAACTACCAAGAAACCACTGGGAGGAAAGACGCCAAAGTGCTGAGGAAAAGGATGCTCAGAGGTGGCCCTGCTGCCAGCTGGCAGAGTGACAGGAGGGCTGGAGGCTGTGGGGACCCAGGCCACGTGGGGTTGGGGCTCTGGGCTTTGTCCTTGTGTTCCTGTAATTGTCTGTTGCTGAGAATTAGCTGGAATTTCTTTCTTTCCTTCTTTTGTTCTTTCCCTATCCTTTCCTTCCTTTCCTCTCTTCTTTCCATCCTTTCTCACCACTGTGTATTCTTTTTAAAAAATTAAATATATTTCCTTTTTTTGAGACAGGGTCTTGCTCTCTCCCGGGCTAGAAGGCAGTGGTGCAATCGTAGCTCCCTGCAACCTTGACCTCCTGGTTCATGGGATCCTCCTGCCTCAGCCTCCAAAGTAGCTGAAAGTACAGGTGTGCACCACCATGCCTGGCTAATTTTTTAAATTTATTTTTTGTAGAGATGGGGTCTCACTATGTTGCCCAGGCTGATCTTGAACTTCTGGACTTAAGCGGTTCTTGGCCTCCCAAAGTGCTGGAATTATAGGTGTACACCACTGCGTCCCGTCCCCACTTCATGTTCGACAGCAGTTCTCCGTGCCTGCTCTGCCCTGGGCCTTGCTGGACTGGGGTTGAAGAGGCAGCCTTCTGTTCTCTTGGAGCTCACAGGTTCCTGGAGGGACACAGCAGGAAGGTCTCAAATGCCATCCCTGGGAGTGGGGAGGGTGTTCTGTGGGGCTGGGGAGCCCTAGGGGGCCTAGGCAGGAGCCTGGGATGCCCACATGCAATGACCCCCTGAGCTGTGGCCGACTCCCCAGCCCTGCTCCTGAGGGCCCTGCTGCTCTCAGCATCTCCCAGGGTGTCACCCTTCTGGGTTGCTAGATCTCTGCTGCTCTGGTGTGGCCTCTGTCCCTGCCGACCCCTCTGAGGGACACAGCTGTCCTCTGCTGCGGTGGCTCTGGCCTCGGAATGGGGCAGCCTCTTCCCTCCAGGCAAGAGCCTTTGAATTCTTTGCCAGCAGGACTTCCTGGGCTCTTGTCTCCCGTCTGCTGCCCGGTGCCCACGCCCCAGTCTGGGACTTGGATGTCTGCCTGCTGCCTCCCTGTTTACACTGATCTGATCTGCTCTTTCCCTCTGGGAGCTTTTGAACTTTCTCTTTGTCTTTGATGTTCTTAGGTTTCATTATCGTGGGTCTAGCTATGGAGCTTTTTCTTATATATGTATTGATAAGGCCTCTAGGAACCCATCCATGCTGGAATCTTTCATGTAATTTTGTTTTTTGAAATATTCCTTCTCTCACCTCCCCGACTCTCTTCTGGGACTTGCCCACGTCTCGCAGCTTTTCTCCCTGCCCTCTGTCTCTTGCTCCTTTCTTAGCACACAGCGAGAGCTCTGTCCAGATCCCCCAGTTCTGCGGTGGCTGTGGCTGTTCAGTTCCTCTGTTCTGCTCTTCGGTGCAGCCACCAAGCCCTCTCTCCAGTGGCGTTTGTGCTCAGCAGCTCCTGGGGGCGGCCAGTTCCTGTGGCCATCTGGGGCTGTGCTTTGTCTCTGGAAGGATCGTTGTTTCAGTTTTCCTCTGCGTGCCATGGGCGGTCCTGGGTACGGCGTCTCTAGAACGTAGTACCTGCGCCACTCAGATCCCAGCTCGTGTCCCCGGAGGTGGAGACTGTGGCTGGTGGTGCTAGGAGGGCTCATGCCAGCTTCTAGCTCTGGCTTCTCCTCGTGAGCGGGACAAGGGAGATGGGAGGAAAGTCCCCAGAGATGGCTTCCCTCCCACCCAAGCTCTGTTTCCTGACCTGGGATCCTGGCTCCCAATGGTGGGAAACAAACCCCCTTTGGGGACACCCCCACTTCACTGGCAGGAGTGCAGTCAGCCCTGGGATCCCGACATGACCTTCCCAAAGCACTGTGGCCTCAGTGCTTTCCAGAAGCCAACTGTGGCCTCAGTGCTTTCCAGAAGCCAACTGTGGCCTCAGTGCTTTCCAGAAGCCAGGGTATTTAATCTTGTCCATGGCGACGTGGACGCGTGTCTTGGGAGGAGCCCTCTGGGGTGGGGCAGAGGCTGTGTTAGGTGGGAGGGTCTGAGGCAGGGACCCAGGAGGAACAGAAGAGAGAGAGTGAGTGAGGCCTGCTCCATGCAGGGGCAGGGGGAGGAGGAGGCCGGGGTGGGGCCTTGGGGATTGTGGGGGGGGTGGGTGTAGGAATCCAGTACCACTTCCAGGTTCCTTCCAGGCTTGAATAACTGGGAGAAGGGGGCGTAGCTGGCTGTGATTAGGCTCTGGGAGGGGAGTCGCTTAATGTCAGGAAAGAGAGTTACTTCTAGGTAGGCCCTGGGCTTGAGGCTCCCGGGCCATGCTAAGGGACATTCCTATGTCCCTTGCAGCTCTTGGTTGGGCCTGGCACAAAAAAGTGTGTGCCCAAGACTCCTGTCTGTAGGTGGAGGTCTGCTGGAGTAGAGGTTGGGGGCACTGGCGGGGGACAGGAGCCCCACCTGGGTGCAGGAAGGCTACAAGGGCTTGGTGGAAGAGCGTGGAAGCCCCCAGAATCAGGGGCTTGTAATTCTGGCCCGTCACCCTGTGGGACAAGCACATGGGCCTCTGCATGCTGTCTCACCTCATCTGTAAAAGGGAGACAGTCCAGTGAGGATGTGGGCCCGTGAGAGAGAGACACGGCCCGGGGGGCTGCAGAGGCAGGAGCGCTGTGGGTGGGAGGGCTGCTTCCTGGGCTCTGAGTACAGCACGGTGCATTTACTACTCTTGTCTCAAAAAGCAGGGAAAACTGAGTATTCCGGCCACGCCACGCCACGCCACGGGGTGGGGAGGAGCCTGGCCTTGCCGCTCCCTGCACTCTCCTCTGCGCTCACTTAGCTCAGAGCTGGCGGCCGCCCAGCTCCCAGTGAGACGTGGCAGCCAGGAGGCTGAGGCCCAGCCAAGCCCCAGATGGCTGGCGAGAGGTGCTTCCCCCGAGCTGAGCAAGACAAGGACAGGGCCGACCCGGTGGGAGGGGCAGGATGGGACCAGGAGCCCGGGAAATGCCAGTCCTGGCCCTGGCCCTGGCCGGTCTGTGTGCTCCCAGGCTGCGCCCAATCCGAAGCCTCCGTGTGGATGCAGAGCCTGAAGCTGGAGGTCTGGGCATAGGCAGGGGTGTGGGGTGTGTGAGGAACCCCCCCGCCCCACCATCAGGTTCTGCCTGGGAACTCCTGGTCCTGGAGCTGACACCCCTGCTCCGGCCAGGCCCTCCTCTGTCTCGGTGTGAGTGTGTGTGTGCACGAGTGTGAATGCGTGTGCGTCCCCTCTGCTGACACCCCTGCTCCGGCCAGGCCCTCCTCTGTCTCGATGTGAGTGTGTGTGTGCACGAGTGTGAATGCGTGTGCGTCCCCTCTGCTGACACCCCTGCTCCGGCCAGGCCCTCCTCTGTCTCGGTGTGAGTGTGTGTGTGCATGAGTGTGAATGCTTGTGCGTCCCCTCTGCTGACACCCCTGCTCTGGCCAGGCCCTCCTCTGTCTCGGTGTGAGTGTGTGTGTGCACGAGTGTGAATGCGTGTGCGTCCTCTCTGCTGACACCCCTGCTCCGGCCAGGCCCTCCTCTGTCTCGGTGTGAGTGTGTGTGTGCATGAGTGTGAATGCTTGTGCGTCCCCTCTGCTGACACCCCTGCTCTGGCCAGGCCCTCCTCTGTCTCGATGTGTGTGTGTGCATGAGTGTGAATGCGTGTGCGTCCCCTCTGCTGACACCCCTGCTCTGGCCAGGCCCTCCTCTGTCTCGGTGTGAGTGTGTGCATGAGTGTGAATGCGTGTGCGTCCCCTCTGCTGACACCCCTGCTCTGGCCAGGCCCTCCTCTGTCTCGGTGTGTGTGTGTGCATGAGTGTGAATGCGTGTGCGTCCCCTCTGCTGACACCCCTGCTCTGGCCAGGCCCTCCTCTGTCTCGGTGTGAGTGTGTGCATGAGTGTGAATGCGTGTGCGTCCCCTCTGCTGACACCCCTGCTCTGGCCAGGCCCTCCTCTGTCTCGGTGTGTGTGTGTGCATGAGTGTGAATGCGTGTGCGTCCCCTCTTCACAGGCCACTCCTGAGGAGGGAGCCCCGGTAAGGCTTTAGGCTGCTGGCTGGTTCTGGGGTTGCCATGAAGTCCTGAAATGCTATTCTATTGCTGTTTCTTGATGTATCGGGTTTCGATGTTGTCCATTGACTTCCTGCCCTGGAAGAGGAGGGTTTAGCTCACTGACAACACTGCTGCCCCTCCCAGCCCCATTCTTCTACCATAATTCTCTCACCACTTTTAGTCCATATCAGAGTTCCCCATTGTATTGGTTTCTGAGGCTGCCTGCAAATTACTACAAGCTTGCTGGTTTGAAACATTAGAATTGTATCCTCTCACGGTTCTGGAGGCTGAAATCAGTTTCAACAGGGCAAAACGCAGGTGGCGGCAGGGCCGCGCTCCCTCCGGAGCCTCTAGGGGAGGATGCGTCCTGGGCTCTTCCAGGTCCTCGTGGCAGCCAGCAGTGCTTGGCTTGTGGCCTCTTCGCTCTGGGCTTCAGGGCCGACATCCTCCATCTCCCTCTGCTCTGCCTGTACGTGGCCTTCTCCTCTGCCTGGCTCATCTTGCTCTGCCTTCCTCTGATAAAGAGAAGTGTGATTGCATTTAGGGCCTGTCTTAGTCCATGCAGGCTGCTATAGCCAAATACCATAAACGGAGCGGCTTAAAAGCATCGGAAGCTTATTTCTCACGGTTCTGGAAGCTGTGCATATGGTTGTGGTGAGGGTCTGCTCCCTGGTTCAAGAAGGCATCTTGTTGCATCCTCACATGCTGAAAGGGTGAGGGAGCTCTCTGGGGTCCCTCTGATCGGGGCACAAATCCCATTCGTGTGGATGGAATCTGGTGACATAATCACCTCCCAAAGGCCCCACTTCCTAATATATCACCTTGGGGGAGTAGCTTTCAACATCGGAATTTGGGGGGAATATAAACATTCTGTCTATCCCTGGGCCCACCCGGAAAATCCAGCAGTCACTCCATCTCAGGATCCTTGGACTCACCGCATCTACAAAGTTCTTTTTTGCCATGGAAGGTAACATTTATGGGTTCCAGGGATTGGGACCCGGACGTGTCTTCGGGGGCCATTTTTCAGCTGACCACTGCCATGGTCGTCTGACTGTTATATTTGCACCTCTGCAGCTTCTAACATTAGCCTGGGGCAGAGGGTCTAGAGTATGCCCTTAGCGGCACAGGGTTCCCATGCCCCTTCTCCCTCCTCCCCACTGCTGTCATTTCTACCTTCCCTTCAGCAAGGCAGAGTGTTGTTAAATGAAAAATGATTCAATGATACTTGTTAAAGCGCGGTAAGGCGGACTTTATTCAGGACCATGGAGATAGACACAGGAACCGCTAGAGTGGGCTCTTGCAGTCGGGGAGAGAGACTGGGCTCAACTCCGAATACAGCACGGGCGAGTGGGGGGTGATAGCCAAGGAGCAGGGTAGGGGCCAGGGGATGGGGAATTACTAAGAGCAACATCAGGGGTCGGGGATTCTAGCTAAACTCACCTAACATGATTCTAGCTGAAGACAGGCTGGGGTGACCAGACATCACCAGAGGGGTGATGGGGAGGACGAGCCTGACCAGATATCAAGGGTGATCAGATATGGAGAGATGGGGCATTCATGACTTAGCAGAGTTCTTGATAAACTGGATCTTACAAGGAAGTGGGCGAAGGAGAAGGTTCAGGAGCTGGACTAAAGTTTGGTCAAGCAGGAGAGTCCCTGTCAGTGTCCACTGTTCAGGTCCTTTGTTGTCATTGAGGCTTTGCTGGCAGGTGGATGTCCCTGTGATTCTTGGCATGCTGCTCACCACTGTCTGACCCTGGCCCATTGCTGTGCCTCTGAGCCAGGCGGCGCCTGCCCATGGGCTAGAGAGAGCAGAGTGGAGGGGCATGACCCTGCACAGGACAGAGCTGGACGAGGCCCTTCCAGAGAAGTGGCCAGCCAGAGGCCAGCTCCACCTGGGCCAGGAGCGCCAGGCCCTGGGGGAGAGGGATGGGGACGTGGCCTTCCTGTTCAGAGGGCGGGGGAGGCTCGGCCTCAGAGTGAACATCTGCTGAACATACGCATCCTCCCCTTATATAATGCTGTCTGGAAAAATGGTTTCCTGTTGTTGTTGAGATAGGAGTCAACGGGCCCTGCACTCGGTGGGTTGGGGGGTGGGGGGCTGGGGAGTGGAGAGGGTGGTCTTTGGCTCCAACCTGGGGTGGAAAGGGGCGGAGGTCCAGAGGACCCAGCCGGCAAGTGGGTTGGGGCAGGCAGGGGCAGGTGGGGTTGGGCACCCTGCTGAGCTGCTGTCCTGGGCCATGCCTCCCTGACCCCTGCAGTTTGGCCATGGTCTGGGGTGGTGGCCCTTTCACTGTCCCCAGGAGGACTAAGGCCCTGATGCCTCTGCGTCCCCAGGGCAGGGCAGTAGGGCCTCTACACCCACCTTTGAGGGACCCTGGGAAGGTCTAGAGCAGTGTGTCCCAGACTTCAATGTCATCAGACCACCTGGGAACTTGCCAAAATGCAGGTTTTAGTTCAGCTGGTCTGGATGGGGCCTGGATTCAGCATCTCTAACAAGCTCCCGGGGGCCCCCAGGCTGCTCCAGGCCACATTTTGCATAGCCAGGCTCTGCACCACCATCCCTCACCCCAGCCGGGATTCTAGCACCGGTGGGTGGCCCAGAGACGCCAATCAGATTCTTCTGTGGACTTGAACCTCTCCTTGTTCCTGGAAATCCTGAGATATTTAATGACCAGGGGAGCCCTCTGGGGCTCTCTAGGCCATACTGTACCCTGCAAGGCAGCCTATGGGGGGGCTTCGGAAAGGCTTGTAGATGCCTCCTGATCCTCCAGCTTGGAGCTGGGGGGCTGAGCCCCCAAAGACAACAAGACCAGTTCTCTGTCTTTCTTCACTGTGTTTCTGCCTTGTGGTATGAGCAAGGCATGCCTAGATCCCTGCCCGCTGGGAGCTGCAGCCTGGTGGGGGAGGAGGGCCGTCCACAGGCCCCCACAGCAGACAGCAGAGCATCTCAGCGCCTGAGCGCTGTGGGGACATGGGACGTGCAGGGAGCCCTGGGCAGGCGTAGTCCGGGGTGGTCTCTCCTGGAGGGTCCTGGGTGACAGGAAGGAGCAGTCAAGGCATCAACCTGGGCAGATCCACAGGACATTCAGGGGCACCCTTGTCTGTCCCCAGGGCCGCAGGCTACTCCCAAGGCCTCCCTGACTTGAACCCCAGAAGCCAGAGGGCAGGGGTGGGGCAGGGAGGACAGGAGGGACATGCAGTGGGGGCCTGCTGGGTCCAGGGTCCTGCCCTGCCCTGAGGCAAACCCAGGGTGTTTTGCCCTCAGAGCTCCTCCCCTATGCATTTTAAATAGAAGAAACTGAGGCACGGAGAGGTGACCCACCCGGTCAAGTGGCAGGGCCAGAGCCTTTTTTTTTTTTTTTTTTTTTTTTTTTGGAGACTGAGTCTTGCTGTGTTGCCCAGGCTGGAGTACAATGGCATGATCTCGGCTCACTGCAACTCCGCCTCCCAGGTTCAAGCGATTCTCCTGCCTTAGCCTCCTGAGTAGCTGGGGTTACCGGTGCGTGCCACCATGCGTGGCTATTTTTTTTGTATTTTTAGTACAGACAGGGTTTCACCATGTTAGCCACGATGGTCTCTATTTCCTGACCTCGTGACCCGCCCCACCTTGGCCTCCCAAAGTGCTGGGATTACAGTCAGCCCCAGCTTTCTGCAGTGTCTGGAGGGACCAGGCTTCAGGCTTGGGGGCCGGGCTAGGAAGCTGTGCACAGTTAGAGTTGAAGGTCAGGTCTGGGTCACTGTTGCCAGGGGAGCAGGTGTCTGCAGACATCTGACTGGGATGGCTTTGGGGGGACATCCTGTGACCTGGGTCCCGAAGAGGTGGCCTTTCTCCAGCTCTATCCACCAATGGCCCCAGGCCTGTGGCCACTGAAGGCAGAAGCAGTGGGACTGGGTCTGCCCCAGTGGGTGCCTGGCTGAAGTCTCCCTGCACAACCCTTGGGAGGCATGCTGGCTCCTAACTGGCCTCTACCCGGGGAACACAGAGTTTTCAACTGAATTGGTGTTTGCGCCTCTCTGCTGAGCTGGCCCATCTCTCCATGTAGCTTCCTGTGGATGGCGCAGCTGCAGAACTCCAGTCCACAGTCAGGAGGCACGGGGCTGCCAGGGCAGCGGAAGAGACCCAAGGGCAGGAACGCCCGCCTCAGCCCTCTTCGTATCTTTCCCTGGACCCAGGGCCTCACCATGGCCTGGCCTGTCCTCCTAGAAGAATGGCTGAATGAATGGGCAGCTGAGGGGGATGCTAAAGGCAGGGAACAGTACCCCGAGGGCTTCAGTGGCTGTCTGGCTCCCAGCTGGCCTAGCTGCATCCCAGGGCCCCTGGGGTGGGAAGGAAGAGGAGGCAGAGGGGCCAGGAACCTGCAGGAGGGTGGGGTTCCATGGCAGCCCGCGCCCTGCTTCCACTCAGGACGCCAGCCAGATTCATCTGCTGGGACACCACCTTAGGAAGGAGGCACTTCTCTGAGAGGCCTTGGGAATTTCCCCCAATCCACATACACATGGGCATCATGTTGGGAGAAACTGTTTTGCAAATACAATTAAAAAGGATCCTCCCAAAGTTTTGCCTAGAAAAAAAAAATGAGGCTGTCTATTATGGGGGCCTGCAGGCATGGTCATCGCATTGCAGGAGCTCCTGTGGGCTCTGGTGCCCCTGCACCCTTGCTCGTGAACAGTGGCGGCTGCCCGTTCCTGTCCTCAGCCTGCCCAGGGGCTGCGCGGCTCCCCTTCCAGCTGGCGTGCGTGACCTTTCCAGCTGGCATTTCGAGTGCTCTCTCTGGGCACCGCTGAGCTCCACGGATCCCCAAGGCGGTCATTTGTCAGATGGTCCTGGTGACTCCCGACATCCCATCAGCGTCTCCTGCTGCTAAGACAATTGTGTCAGACAACTCTCAGCGCCTGTCTTCCCACCTCCACCGAGCAGCCTGAATGCTTTACTAACTGGGGAGAAATCAGAGCACCGGATCCTCCACTTAAACCCCTGTTTTCTCCTTGTTGTCGCTCCAGAAGGCGGCAAACTTGGCCCACTCTGCACCACAGGGACCTTGGCAAGGAAACCTTACACCATCCTGAAGTAGGGGAAGGGAGCCTCGGGAGGGCCGGCGACCTCCCGTACTCAACTCCATGCCTGTGAGATGCCAGGCACTGGTCTGGTGACGTGGACCCAGCAAGGACAACTTTGCTCTCGTAAGATCCCTGGTCAGGGGGCAGAGAGTGACCCAATAAAGAACCCACGTGTCGATGATTGGGAAATGGTGTTACAAAAAAATAGGACAGGATGGCAGTGTGGAGTGTGATGGAGAAGGGACACCCTTCACCAAGGTCCTTGTGAGGAGGCATCGGAGCTAGGACCTGGACTTCTGGAAGAAGGCCATTCCAGGTGGAGGCAGCAGCAGGTGCAAAGGCCCTGAGGCAGGTGCTGAGTTGAAGTGTGCCAAGGACACAGAGGAGATCTCCACGGCTGGCACTTGAGTGAAGGAGAAATCAGCGGGGACCGGGGCAGTCATGTGGTGGGAAGCCGCTGGAGGGCTTTGGGCAGGCAGTGACAGGTCTGAGTCGTGTTTCAGAGATTCTGTGGGGCAGCCGTGAGGAGCATAGAGAATGAGGTCACAGGCTTGGGACGCCCGGGCTCCCAGCCTGGCATACGTGATGGTGCTATTAGTGGATGGTGCAGCATGACCCGGGAAGCCCCTGCGTGGTGGTGCCCCCCGGACCGGGCTGTTGAATGCTCATGGGCAGAGCTGCTTCTGTGTCATGGAGCTGTCCTGGAGTGCTGAGCAGTGGCCACCCAGGGTTGGCCGGGTGCTCGAGCCCTGAGAGGGCCGGTGGACCTCCTGTGGGCCCCAGGTCTTGCCGTCCCTGAAGGCTGAGGCTTGCAGGGTGCGATGCTCTCACAGCACTGCTGGGGCAGATGGCGGAGCACAGCAGGGCAGGGGCGCGTGGGCCGGGGCAGCTCTGCAGTGCGGGCCCCCTGTGTCTGTCTCATGCTAGCAGGGCGAGGGTCTGGGCCGGGCTTAGGCTGGCTGGCCACTGACTTCCCCGAGAGGTTCTTCTTACTCGGCTGCCCCTCTACTACGTGCTGGCCTCACCTCCAAGGACTCAGGCCCAGGGTTGATCCTGCCAGGGCCACAACAGATGTGGGACTGGCCCTGGTGGCCAATTCCCCACCCAGCAGAAGACTGCCCTGCCCTCTCATCCCTCAGGCTGTGCTCCTGTCAGGCCTGGTCCTGGAATAAGAGCCATGTCCTCAGAGCCTGTGGGAGCACTTGGTGCTATGAGACTCGATCTCATGGAGTTGCTTCCTTCCTGGGTGTCCTTTCCCTGGTTGAGTTCATCTGCCTGGCTCTCTGCTGGCACCGGGCTTGGCACTGGAGATCAAAGCTTCATGAGGCTGGAGCAGGAGGGCCCCCGCTTCCCCTAGGCTTTAGGGGCCAGTCACCCTTCCTGGACATCCACCTTCCCCAGGAACACGGGTTTTGGGGAAGCTCTCTGGGGCCCTTTCCTGCCCTGGCCTGAGGGTCTGTGCTGGGTGCTGGGTGTGTACAGAGGTGCTGTCTAGGACTCAACCCAAGGTTGAGTAGGAGTCGTGAAAATGCTCCTTATTTTAGGGGAAAACAGTTTCTCAGGATGCGGTATTGTGTTAGCTTTAGTTTTTTTGTAGATATTCTTACCAGGTTGAGCACGTTTCTTTCTCTGTTAGTTGAGAGTTTTTAATTTTTAGTCATGAATGAATCATATCATATGGTTTTCTCTATCACTTGATATAAGCATATTTTTTTTCCTTCTTCAGTCTGTTAATATGCTGGGTTACACTGACTTTTGGATATTGTGCCAGACTCTGCAAATCCAGGACAAACATGACTTGTCTGTTGTGCACTCTGCTGTTTATACATGGCTGGACTAGACTTGCCAGTGTTTTGCTGAGGATTTTTGTGTCTATGTTCATTGAGGGATATTGGTTTATAGGTTCATGAGGGATATTGGTTTGTAGGGTTTTTTTTTTTATTGAACTGTCTTTGTCTGGTTTTAATATCAGGGTAATGTTGACCTCATAAAATGAATGGGAGAATTGGTGCCATTTTTTCCTGAGAGGTTAGTAGAATTTTCCAGTAAAACCGTCTAGACCTGGAAATTTCTTTTTTGCAGGATTTTAAACTATGAATTCTTTTTCTTTAATAGTTACAGAACTTTTTATGCTATCTACTTTGTCTTGGGTAAGTTTTGGTAGCTTATAGTTTTTGAGGAAATCATGCATTTCTTCAACACTGATGGATTTATATGCATAGAATTGTTTATACTATTCCATTATCTTTTTTATGGCTGTGATGTCATTAGTGATATCCTTTTTAAAAATATTCTGATACTGGTAATTCATATTTTTTTCTGTTTCTCTTCTTCAGTCTCACTAGAGATTTATCAGTTGACTGATCTTTACAAAGAACCAAATTTGGTTTCATTGATCTTCTCTATTATTTTCATATTTTCAGTTTCATTGATTTTTACTCTTATCATTTCCTCCCTTCTACTTGCTTTGGGCTTATTTTGCTTTTTCTATTTGAGCATGTTTTGGTATTCAATTTTAATTTACCTATTGTGTTTGGTTGTATATCTTTGTATAGTGTTTACTGGTTGCTCCAGGGATTATAATAAACCTATATAACTCTTCAGAGTCTTTTTCAAATCAATATTTTACCACTTCAAGTTGAATGTTGAGACCCTGCCATCATATAGGTCCCTCTGTCCTCCCCTGAATGTTGTTGTCTTTTATACACCTACATACATGGAAAACTACATCAGACAGCATTATCATTCCTCTTTAAAATACGCAAGAGCCTAATCTGTTATATTTTTTCAGGTATTTCTGTTGCTCTTCCTTTATTCCTGATGTTCAAAATTTCTTTCTAGCATCATTTTCCCCCTGTCTGAAGAACTTCCTTCAGCAACCATCTTAGGGTAGATCTGCTGGCCACACATTCTATAAGTTTTGCTTCATCTGAGAATGTCTTTATTTCTCCTTAATTCTTGAAGTGTATTTTTGCTGGAGATAGAATTCTGGGTTGACAGTTCTTTTTTTTTTTTTTTCAGCATTTTAACAATGTTTTGCACTTCCTTTGGACTTCACAGTTTTGATAAGAAATCTGCAGTTATCTGAACCATTTTTCCCCTATAAGTAATGCACTGTTTTTCTCTGACTGCTTTCAAGACTTTTTTTTGTCTGTAGTTTTCAGAGTGTGTTTATAACGTGTGGGATTGTGTTTCCTTGGATTTCTCTCATTTGAGGTTTGCCGATCTGTTGAATTGGTAGGTTTATGCATTTCACAGAATTTGAGAAGTTTTCAGCCATTATTTATCCAAATATTTGTTTAGTAATACATTCTTTCTCTTCTCCTTCTGGGACATGACTGTTAGTTAGATCTTTCGGTATTTTCCCACAGTCTCTAAGGCTCTTGGCATTATAAAATATTTTTACTCGCTGCAGTTTGAATTGGGTAACTTCTATTGCTCTATCCTCAAGTTCACTGACTCATTCCTCTGTCATATCCATTCTGCTCTTGAGCCTATCCAGTGAGTTCTTAAAGTTTCTGTTATTGTATTTTTCAGTTCTAAAATTTCCGTTTGGTCCTTTTTAAAAATATGTCTTCCGTTTCTTGCTGAGACTATCTTTCCATTAGTTGCCAGAGTTTTTGCCCTTACTTTATGGAGTATTTTTATAATAGCTGCTTTAAGATCATTGTCAGTTAATTCCAACATATGTGCTATCTCAGTCTTGTTATCTGTTGGTTGTATTTGCCTGGAGGAGTTGAGATTTTCCTGGTTCTTGGTATGCCAAGTAATTTTGGACTGTATCCTGGACACTTTGATATTACCCTATGAGACTTTGGATCTTGTTTAAATGCTATGGAGAAGGTCATTATTTTTGTTTGATCAGGTAATTAACCCTTGGGTTAATTGGGTTCCGGCTGCAAGTTCCAATGTGCCTGTGGATTGCGGTTCAATGTCAGGTCCATTTTCAAAGCCTGTGCAGTCCTATTCTGATCAATCCCATGTAAACACAACCCAGTGGCACGTCTGGGACCTGGGCATTGGTCCACCTCCTAAGTCAGTCCCCAGAACCTATGGCGTGTTGTTTAGGGTCAGACCCACTCGTGCACGGCTCAAGCACGAGCCCAGGAGTTTCTAACCAACTTTCTGATGCCAGTTCCCCAAGCTCTGCTGTCTCTGCCATCTTCCTAGCCCTGTCCAGTTTCCTGCGGCTCCTTGTTAAATCTCTCTGGCCAGAAAGCTGGGGCTTTATTGACCCTGCTGTCTTGCACACTTCCTGCAACTACACTCCTGGGAGGACCAAAAGAGGAAAGAGCAATGGGGTTTCACTCCACCTTTCTAGGACCACAGCACTTCCAGCTACACAGCCAGGCTCCCCTCTTAGAGTTTTAGGTGCCTGTGGGCTGCCATGAGCTGGCGTGTGAGAACACGAAGAAAAGAAAAAGGAAATAGGAAAGAAAAATGAGGTGTTGGCTTGGCTCTGAGCATTCGGAAATGCTTTTTCTATCCTTGAGCTACAACAACAGGGCTTGTCTCGAGCTCTGTCTGTCTGTACCCAGTGCCCGCTTCTGGAGTTTGACCTGCCTTGTATCTAGGCTGAGGAATACCAGAGAATGAAGAGTAAACTCTGCGGGTTTGCTGAACCTCACATTCTAGTCTTCTTCCCCAATCTGCATGCTGTTATTTATTTTGCAGGGTCCTCAGCTAGCTGCTCATGAATCCAGTGCATTTGGGTGGCTGCAGGCAGTGGGGGATGCAGGTGAGGCGTGCTCACACCATCCTACTGGAACCTGAACCTTCTCCTAGGGACCTCTCTATGTGTTGAGCGGTTTATAATCAGGGAGGGACTTCTACCAGCAGAAATACAGCCATAGGCAGATCCCTGCTGAACAGGAATTTCATAGAGAGAGGGAGGGAGATCCTGCCCCCAGCAATTCTCACAACATGCCCAGAGCAACTGACAGGGGAATCAGGTCTCTTCCACCCTCCAGGGGCTGCCCACTGCACAGAGGAGAAAATCCAATCTCCTCCCCACAGCAGAGGAAGCTCTGTGCAGTCTGCCCCCGCCCACCACTCTGACCTCCTGTACCCCACCCAGGCCCACCACTCTGCCCTCCTGTACCCCACCCAGGCCCACCACTCTGCCCTCCTGTCCCTCGCCCCCGCCCACCCTTTGCTCTCCACACTCCACTCACATTGGCCTTCTTCCCTTTCCTCAAACATGGCAGGTCTGTTCTGACCTCGGGTCCTCTGCATGTGCTGTTCTCTGTGCTGGAGCCCACTTCCCCAGATCTCTCCATCGCTGCCTCTTTCCAATCATTTAGGCCTCAGCTCCAGTGTCATCTCTTCCAGGAAGTCCCCCGCCCCCCTCAACAATACTCTGTGCTGTTGTCCTCACGGCTGCGTCACTCTCTGTCGACTTCCTCTTTGCTTGCTTACTGCCATTTGCCCCCCCGGGAGATAGCACCCAGGGTCTGCATTCAGCCACAGGTCGCAAATGTGAATGCACCTTTGTGGCCACATCTATCGGTGCTGCTGGCAAGGTGGAGGTTGGGAAGCCGGACCCACTGGGCCACAAGTCCTCAGGGCTCCTTCCTGGTCCAGAGGACCCCCAGGAGGAGGCAGCTCTGCCTCCGCAGAGAATCTTGCTGCAGTTTGGGTTGTCCGGGGCCTTATCACTCCCCCGCTTTTTTTTTTTTTTTTTTTTTTTTTTTTGAGACGGTCTTGCTCTGTCGCCCAGAGCAGCTGGGACTACAGGCGCCCCCCACCACGCCCGGCTAATGTTTTATATTTTTTTAGTAGAGACGGGGTTTCACTGTGTTAGCCAGGATGGTCTCCATCTCCTGACCTCATGATCCGCCCACCTCAGCCTCCCAAAATGCTGGGATTACAGGCATGAGCCACCGCACCCGGCCATCACCCCCGTCTATTTTCATACATGCAGTGGGGTGAGAGGCAGAAGTCCCGGCTTCTGCTCCTGTGTGGCTTCCTACTCACTCTACACTCCCCTTCCTGACGCTGGCCAGAGGCTGGCGGAAGGGCTGTGCTGGGCCAGGACTGGCTTGCAGTTCCTCTGCAGGGAGTCCCGGAGCCTGGGGCCTGAGGGCTGCCTTGGAAGGGCACCCAGGGGCGAGGTGTGCAGGCTGACTGTTCCCAAGCAGCTGGGGGCCTGCCCTCGCTCCTCTCCCGGGCACAGCACGCTGTGAGCGGGGCATCCCGCACGCCCTGCTGCCACCGGCTCTCCGGCTGCACTCCTTCTTCACACGCTGGATGAGAGGACACTGCTGGGGCAGCAGGGCACATGGTGCAGGGGTCCTGCCCTCATTTGTGTCTTTTCCCAGAGGATGGGTTGTCTCCAAGTTCTGCGTCAAAACTGAAGTTCAGCATACTTAAGCCCAGTGGTTCACAAAGGAGATGCTTGAAACCCACTTCTCTCCCCCAGTTACTCAGGTGCTGCCCAGTGGAGAGAGATCTGTGCACACAGCCTTGTCTCCCTGCGGCATCTGGGCGCCACAGGGCAGCCCTCAAGAGATGCCCCTGTCCCAGTGCGGGGCTGGGGAGGAGCCCAGCCCTGTGCGAGCAGATCCGGATCCACCACTCATTAGCTGTCTAATCCTGAAAGAGTCATGTCATCTCTTGGAGCCTGTTTCCCAATCTGTAAAATGGGCATAATGATACTGAGCTCACTTCCTTTGCCTTCATTATCTTATTTTCAATCCCTTGACAACTCTGTAAAGTAGGTAATATTGTGCCATTTTAGACACGGAAAAGCAGAGGTCGAAAGAGGCCAAATAGCCACAAGTGACAGAGTGGGGATTTAAGTCTAAAGATCTCAAGTTTCGGCTGGGCTCAATTCTTTCCTTCAGCCCAGGATGTTCAGGGATGACAGCCAGGCTGGGCCCCTGAGCAATGCCCTCTGCTGTCTTTTTTTTTTTTTTTTTCCTGGGGGACAGGAGCGAGCAGAGCCTCCAGAACCTTTGCCCAGATCACAGTAGGCGGTTCTTGCAGCTGGGACCAGTTCCTCCCACTTGGACAGAGTGAGGAGTCCAGGCTTCACTGAGGCCAGGAGGGGGCTGGCCGCCGGCTCCAGACTGGGGAAGCCTGTGTTTGGGGCTTGTGCTCAGTGTGTGGGGACATCCTCCGGCCTCTGTCCTGCGGGACCTCTCCGACTTTTAATTGGCTTTCTTCTGGCTCCGCGTAGATGAAGAGTTTTTGCCAGAGCCAGAGCCATAACGGTTTATCTGTCTGCTGGCTTGCGTTTCTCAGACTGTTACTGAATTAAGTTGTATGTATGAAGACTCTTAAATAAAATAATATCATCGTGTTTATTCGGAGCTTGGCCTTAAAGTGCACTTTTGAGTGTGCACATCATTCTTCTTAAACCAGGGCCTCCTTTATAAGGGGATTTATCTTCACTTTGAGAAACGTCTGCTAAAGCCTGCTGTGCCAAAGTCCTCATGCTTACTGCTAGAGCCACAGAAGTGAAGGGGGGTCTGGCTTGTCCTCAGGCAGCTCAAAGTCAGGGGGACGGGGACAAAAGACCAGCCAAAAAGTGTTGCAAAGACATCAATGGGTGCTATAAGAGGATGCTATTCTTTTGTTTCTTTAGTTTTCCATTGTTTACAATTAAACATTATTCACAACAACTGACAAAACATGATTCACAATAATTTACATTATTCACAATTAAAAATTACTTTTGAACATACAAAACATATGGTCATTATCATTGAATAATGTAGAAAAGTATTAAGGAGAAAGCAAAAACCATGAAATCCTACCCTTTTGAGATAGTCTCTGTGAGAGACAGAATAATCCTTCTCCCAAAGTTGTCCATGTCCCAGTCCCGAGAACCTGGGAATAAATCAGGTGACATAGCAGGGGCAGTGAAGGTTACAGATGGAAGTCAGGTTGCTAATTAGTTGACTTTTAAGATAAGGAGATTATCCTGGATGGCACAGTGTAATGGCAAGGATTCTTCTTTTTTTTTTTTTTTTTTTGAGACGGAGTCTCACTCTGTCGCCCAGGCTGGAGTGCAGTGGCATAATCTCAGGCTCACTGCAAGCTCCACCTCCTGGGTCCAAGTGATTCTCCTGCCTCAGCCTCCAGAGTAGCTGGGACTACAGGCGCCTGCCACCACGCCTGGCTAATTTTTTGTATTTTTAGTAGAGACGGGGTTTCACTGTGTTAGCCAGGATGGTCTCCATCTCCTGACCTTGTGATCCGCCCGCCTCAGCCTCCCAAAGTGCTGGGATTACAGGTGTGAGCTGGCCATGACAAGGATTCATAAAAGTAGAAGATGGAGGCAGAAGTTCAGAGTCAGAGAGGGGTCAGTAGATGCTCCGGTGCTGGCTTTGAAGATGGAGGAGGGGGCCACAAGCCAAGGAATGTGGGTAGCCTCTAAAAGCTGGAAAAAAACAAGGAAACATTCTCCTTAGAGCTTCCAGAAGGAATGCAGCCCTCCCCACACCTTGATTTTAGCCCAGTGAGACCCATTGTGGACTTCAGATCTCTAGAACTGTCAGATAATAAATGTGTGTGTGTGTGTGTGTGTGTGTGTGTGTTTGAGTTGGAGTCTTGATCTGTTGCCCAGGCTGGAGTGCTGTGGTGTGATCTTGGCTCACTGCAAGCTCCGCCTCCTGGGTTCACACCATTCTCCTGCCTCAGCCTCCCAAGTAGCTGGGACTACAGGCGCCCGCCACCACGGCCGGCTGATTTTTTGTATATTTAGCAGAGACAGGATTTCACCGTGTTAGCCAGGATGGTCTCCATCTCCTGACCTCGTGATCCGCCCGCCTCAGCCTCCCAAAGTGCTGGGATTACAGGCGTGAGCCACCGCGCCTGGACAAATTTGTGTTTTTAAGCCACTACATTTGCAGTAATTTGTTACAGCTATACAAACTAACCGTTTTTCCATCTTGTTACATATATGTCACACTCAGAAGTGAGATCTTGTCACTCATGCTATTTGTATCAACATCTTTAGGTTTATGGTTGCTCTCTCTTCTGCCCTCTTGACTGGAGCACTGGCTTCATTTATTTTCACTCTGGTCTATAATTAAGAAGGTTGTGAACTTGCTTCTGGTGGTGGCTTTGGTCTCATCCACAGGTTCTGATGTGCTGAATTCTCACTGTCATCATTTTAAAAAGATTTATGATTTTGATTCCAGTAACTTAAGAGCTATTTAGAGGAATGTTGAAAAAACTTCCGAGTGGTTGGATTTTAGGTTATTAAGCTTTGCGTTGATTCCTAGTATAATCCAAATGTTTTCAGACCTTAGCATCTCTGGGTTTAAATTGGGTCTTGTCAGCATTTATATCTGCATCTTGCCATTCCAGTGACACCCCACCCCTAACCAGCGCAGATCTCAGTTTCCTACAAGGGCTTGTGAATGCCTCCCCCTCAACCCCTCTAGCATTTCTAGGCATCTCCCAGTTCCGTAGAGCCCGTCCACACCCCTCCTGCCACGTGTGTATTCTGAGCATCCCAGGCTCTGCAGGTGTCCCTCCGTTCAGGCTGCCATAACAAAATATCACAGACTGGGTGTTTAGAAACAACAGAAGTTTATTTCTCACAGTTTTGGAGTCTCACATGTGAGATCGGGGCGCCAGTGGGTTTGGTGTCTGGTGAGGGCTGCTTCCTCGCTCATAGCTGGGGCCTTCTTGCTGTGTTTGCACACAGTGGAGGGTGCACAAGCTCCCTGGGCCTCTCTGATAAGGGCACTAATCCCATTAACGGGGTCCCCACCCTCATGACCTCATCACCTTCCAAAGGCCCGCTTCACACCATCACCTTGGGACAGGAAGAGCTCATCTCCATGGAGGCTTGGCAGGGCCAGGCCTGCCACAGAGTTAGGAGTGAAGGGGACAGCCTGGGTTCCCCGAGCCTCGGGGAATTTCTGAAATTGCCTCTGTCTCCTGGTGTTTGCTCAGCTTCTATGAATGTCAGGTGGGCTTCTGAAGGGAGCACGGAATCTGCGTTGCAGGGTCACTGTGGCACGAGGGGACCCTGGCCTCTGGTGCTGTGGAAACCGGAGCAGCTGGGGGCGGCCAGAGAGAGGCTGAGCAGGAGGGTGTGGAGGTCCCCGGGGCCCTGGGGAGGAGGGACAGAGGCCATGGGCATTGGTGCGTGGGAGGGAGCAGCAGAGGCCAGCCTGCTGAGAAGGGCTGTGAGGGAAGGGAGGTCCTGTGGCTGGAGGGGAAGCAGAGTCTTCTTGTTCAGGATTGAAGAGACCCGGTTCTGTTGTTGGGCTGAGAGAGGACTTTAGAGAGGAGGAGGCCGAAGACGCAGCAGGGGAGGCGAGAAGGGACTTGTGGAGAGCCCTGAGGGAGCTGGTGGTGGGCAGTGGGTTGTCTCGGCTCAGAGCAAGAGCTCTCCGTCCTCTGGGATTATAGTGGAGGGCGTTGGGGGCACTCTGCCAGTGACTTCATCAGTAGGGGTGGGGAGTTGGCATTATGCCCCATGATGCAAGGGCCCAAGTCACCCTGGAGAGGGAAGCCGGGGTCTTGAGGGAGGGTCCTGGGAGACATGGGGCCTCAGCGTATTGGGGAAGGGAACAGTCAAGAGAAAGGGGCAGGCTGTGGGGAGGGCCTTCTGGCTGGACAGTACTAGCAGGGAGTGGGGCAGAAGGGGGTCCCCATACCAACTTCACCTCTTGGTTCTTGGTGCCGAGAAGCAGCAATCTCAGGTTTCTGCATTGCCAGGCAGGTGGGGTGGGAGGCTACGGCTGACAGGCTTGGGGGATTCAGGCCAGGCAGGCAGGGGAGGCCGGGATCAATTTTTGTAAATGCTCCCCCATGCTTGTAAAGAATACTCATTTGCTTTCGGTTGTAAGTCGTCAGATCCATCCAGAAATCAATCCGGCCCATTTCCCGAGTCAATGAGTCTGTGCCCCTCTGCTGTGGTCTAGGAGACCTGTCACCCACTGGGAGTGGCCGTTCGCATTTCCCTTTGACAGGGCTGTTGAGCCACTTGTGTTTCTAACCATGGCAGATGCTGCGGCCCTTGGTTTGTAAAGCTTGGTGACTGTGTGCTTTCACCAAGCCTTGTCAATACAACAGGAGTTTCCAGTCATTTAGTACTTGCTCTGAGTTCTATTTTGATGATACTACAGACACCCTGCTTTCTGGGTTTGCAGTTTTCTCTGTCTCTCTTTTAGCATGTTTCAGGCATGTGTTACAGACGGCATGCCTTGTTTGTTCCATCTCAGTCTGGTTGATCTCTAACTGCAATGTTAAACCCATTGATGGTTGTGTTAGTGATACCAGTGGCCCGTCCTTTTTTCGGCCTGCACCTTTGCATCTTTATGCTTGACTTGTCCCCTGTCCACCCTGGGAGCAGGCAGGCAGCTGGTCTTCCCAGGCACCACCCTCCTGACCCACAGCACGCAGCAGCCTCTCTCTGCCCGCCGCCTCTCCCTCCTGCCCTCTGCCCAGGCCGCCCCTGGGGACCTTACCCACTGAGCCCATCTCCACCTGCCTTGCGGTCCTTCCTTATCCGAGTCGGATGCCACTGGTCCTCTTTGCTGTACTTGCTCCCTGCCTGTACCACTGTCTCCCGCCTCCTGCTTTCCTTGCTGAATTGCTGGGTCCAGCCCCATCCCTCCTCCCTTACTTTCCTGCCTCCGAGCAGGGGCCCCAGCCTCGCTGAAGGATCTACTTCGACATTCCTGACTGCTGGCCTCTGCAGGCAGCATCCCCCCTTGGGACCTTCCCGCTCCCTGCTCACCCACCTCCTTGCTCACCCACCTCCCCCTCCTCCGAGCACAGACAGGCCCCGGCATTGCCCCTGCCCGTCCCTTGAGCTCCGGCTGCTCCCGGGTCCCATCATTGTCAGCATTCTCAGAAGCACAGCCCCTGCCGCCACCTCCTCCATGGCTCTCTGGCATCACCCAAAGCGTCTGCTGAGGTCCCACGGACCACAGAGGTGTGGATCCTGTGGTCATTCTCCTGTCCCCACGGCTCAGGCCTCCCCCATCCTCCTGCTTCACCATCACTGCATCGTCCGAGGCACCGCCAGCTCCTCGGTTTGCTCTTCCCCTGGGCTCTGCACCTTGGCACGTGCTGTGTGGCTGAGCAGGACCCTCAGTCTCCTGGACCACAGCCAGAAAGGCATTTCCTCCTGCAGTGGGGCGTCCTGGGTTGGAGGAGCCTTCCCTCCTCATGGCAGCCTCCTTCCACAGCCCCACCTGTCTCCACGCCTCCCTTGCTCCCAGCACAGGCCCCACTAGTGGTTTCAGCGGAATATGGAAGGGCTTTTGAGGACGTGTGTGGAAGGTGGCCTTGGTGGCTGCTCCTGAATCCCTTCCAGAGCCTCCAGCTCCTCCCACCCCGACTCTCACTTGCGGGACTGCCCCAGCCGCCATGGACGGGGCTCCTCTGCCCTGCTCAGAATGTTCTGGACCAGCCTGGGACTTTGTGTCCTGAGTCTGTGGTGGTTGCAGGGAACTGGCTCACCCGTGTGCTTCAGGGTGGAAATTGGGCTGGAGTGTGGAAGTCCCATCCCAAACCCTAGAGATGGGACCAGCACCTGGACTATGAGAGTGAGGGCTGCCTGGTCGGGCTACAGGGCATGTCGGATCAGTCAGGGGCCTGGGACACATAAGGGATCAACAGAAAGGAGTTGACAAAGGCACAACTCACAGAGCTGCGGGCAGGACGAGGGAGCTTGCAGGGCGGGGAGGCTGGGGGCCACCACAGCGGGAGAAATAAAACCTTCTGTCTCTCTCCCCAGCCCTGGTTTCCTGTCGGTGCCCCCCTTCACCCAGGGAGAGCCAGGAGGAGCCAGTCCATCAGGTCTGCCTACTGGGCTGTAGGACAGGGCAGAAGGTGAAGGGGTGGGGAGCCCAACAGAGACCCGCCAGCCCAGAACATCAGCCTGGAAGGAAGGGACGCAGGGACCTGGTTCTTCTCTGTGTCTTTTCAAAGCCAGGTTTCCTTTCTAATCCAGAATCTATTTATTCAGCCAGGCCTGGTGCCAGATGCTCTCAGGCTCTGAGGATGACAGACAAACCCAGCAGCCTCCAGTAGGGTGCTCAAGGCCTGGTTTTGAAGTGGAAACAATGATCCATGCGGCCAGTGGGAACCCGCCAAGTTCCCCACAGGCCCGTTCGCCTAGAGGCAGTAGTTGAGAGCGACAGGAGGGCCTCCATGCCAGGAGTCTGCACAGTGACTCTTCCTTCCTTCTTTAGACTGCCTCAGAGGCTGTCAGCATTTGGGGTGGAAAAGAGTTGTCCTGTTGAGTGTATACATGACCTAAGTCTACTGGAGACTCAATGAGGGAATTGAAGGATTTTTCAGGGAAAATGTTGACATTTCCTGCTGACCCTAGAAAGCAAGCCCCTCCGCTTGGCCAGCAGGAAGTTTCTCTGGCATCAGGGGCAGGCCACCTTGGAAGCTGGGCACACGGGGCAGGGGCCACCCTGCGGATGTGGGTGCAGCCCTGCGGGGAAGCTGCAGTGGGGGCGGGGGCAGGGCTTGGGGTGGCCCTTCCACTCCCCAAGTCTGTGGGTGCCCAATCTCCAGACCACCATTCCGGACCTCCACAAGCTGCCTCCTTGGGCCACGTGGGTGGGTCAGACTTGCATGGGTGCTCAGCATCCCTGGGTCGGGTTGATCCTGGCACCCCCTAGGGTGGGTCTGCTGGGCAGCCCTCGGAGCCTGGACAGAGCTTCTAGCCATGCACCCATCTTCCCTGTTCATGGGATTGAGTCACCAAAGGAAGGGCATTCATTAAAAATAATTGGCTGGCTGGACGTGTTTCTGGGCTGTCAGCTCTGACTGTAGGCTGCGTGCCTTCATCAACATCTTTCTCCCGGTTCCCAGTCATATTTTTTCTTTTTGAAAGTGTCTTTTTCTGTTACCCAGGCTGGAGTGCAGTGGCAGCATCTTAGCTCACTGCAGCTTGGACCTTCAGGGTTTAGGTGATTCTCCCACCTCAGCCTCCCAAGTAGCTGGGACCACAGGCATGCACCACCACACCCAGCTAATTTTTAAATTATTTGTAGAGATGAGGCCTCACTATGCTGGTCTGGAACTCCTGGGCTCAAGCAGTCTTCCTGCCTCGGCCTCCCAAAAGTGCTGGGATTGCAGGCCCCAGTTCCCAGTCATTAAGTGGAATGTTTGAGATGCACAAATACCTTAAAACAAAAAAACAAAAAAACAAAAAAACCTTGGCCAGGTGCGGTGGCTCACACCTGTAATCTCAGCATTTTGGGAAGCCAGGGCAGGCGGATCACAGGGTCAGGAGTTCGAGACCACCTAGCCAATGTGATGAAACCCCATTCTACTAAAAAAATACAAAAAAAAAAAAAATTTAGCTGGGTGTGGTGGCGTGTGCCTGTAATCACAGCTACTCGGGAGGCTGAGACACGAGAATCACTTGAACCCAGGAGGTGGAGGTTGTGGTGAGCCCAGATCATGCCACTGCACTCCAGCCTAGGCGACAGAGCAAGACTCCATCTTGAGAAAAACAAACAAACAAAACCCTACCCTGGAATGCCAACTCCGGTGCTTGTCTTGGGCTGGGATCTATGGGGCACTGGCCTGTTCTGGCCTAGCAATGGGAGGCTGATGTCCCACGCTTGTCCTGGGCTGTGGCCCGGAGGCGTTGGCACACTCCAGTCCACATGGGAAGGCCATGTTCCCTATCTGTCTAGCTCAGCGCACGGCTCTGACTCACTGCAGTTAGCAGGGAAAATACTCTTCACATTGAGATGTCAGTTTTCACTTCAAGCCTGATTTCTGATCCATAAACAAAGCCTGCAAGAATCAGAGGCTGCTCATGTGGGAGTCAGCTAATTAATCTGACTTTCCTCAAGGAAGGCACAGGCCGCTGCCTCTTTTGTGAAGATTAGCACTTTTTAAGGACGTGTGAGTCTGTCAGGACAAAGCAACACCAATAACGTTCCTTATTTTCGGGGAGCAGAGGAAAGTGGGGTCAGACTGTCTTCCCCGTGGACAAGGAGGAGCGGCTTCAGGTTAGCACTTACACCAGTGCTGTGAGTGAGAAGCTGTGGCTGTCACCAAGGTGAGGTCATGGCTGCAGGAAAGACGCTTCCCACCCTCTCCCCCCAACAACAGAGGATGTCCCAAGCCCAGGGGACCGGCCAGCGTAGCTCCTGACAACCTCTAGGAAAACAGGAGGGCTTCTCTTTGGATGGCAAAACTGACCTCAACTCACTTAAGCAGAAGACAATTCAAGGCAGGCTATTGGGGGGCTGGGGCTGGAGGCCTGGAAATGGGGTACCTTGGAGGGCCCCAGCCAGGACCTCAGGAAGCCGTCTGGGCAGTGGTCTGCACTCCAGGGTGGGGTGGGAGCTTGGATTGGCCCTGCTTACAATGGGCTTCTCTCTCAGATGTATCTTGCAAGGAGAGAGAGTCACCTTGGGCAAGCTGACTCCCACCCACCCAGGCCCCTTCCTGACAGTCCTTCTAGGCTGTTCCCAAAGGCATGGCTGGCTGTCCCTAGGATACATGGGGCCCTGGGCATATATTTCCTGCAGGACTCCTGTCTATATAGACAATTTGATTAAAAAATTTATAACAAGATTCATGAGCCCACATGGGGAATAGCAAGATGTATCAAGGAAGATTTAGGGGACGGGGAGGAGAAGCACGAACACATTTGCTCACTGTCTGCTCAGTGCATGCAGAGACCCTCGTTACTGCTCAGGCTCAGGAGCTATCTCTTCCTGTTCTTTATGGTCGAGTGTGCTGTCCCAGCTAATTTCATATTTATATCTCCCACAGCTGGGGGGTAATAGCAAAGCTGTTACCGCTCACAATGTGTGGCTCTTTGGAACCTGTTTGTGTGGAGATGCTGTATATCTTCTTGCCCCGCATTCCCCAGCCCCATGTATTTAGTGCTGGTTGTGGCATTTCTCCTGACTCCGCCGCTTCTCTCTGCCCCCGGGAATGCCGGCTTCCGTTGTTCCCTTGAAGGTGGTTACCGTGCTTCATTAATGATGACCACCAATGTGGATCTTGCCCAGAGTGTGCAAGAAAATGTGAGCCATACGTCCTCATCTGGTCGTGTTAAATTTAATGTTTGGGCCAGGTGTGGTGGCTCACATCTGTAATCCCAGCATTTTGGGAGACCAAGGCAGTAGGATTACTTGAGCCCAGGAGTTCAACATCAGCCCTGGCAACATAGCAAGACCTCATTTCTACAAATTTTTTTTTTTTTTTAAATTAGCTAGCTGTTGTGGCACACGTCTGTGGTCCCAGCTACTTGGGAGGCTGAGTTGGGAGGATCACTTGAGCCCAGGGGGTCCAGGCTGCAGTGAGCTGTGTTTGAGCCACTGTACTGCAGTGGGTGACACAGTAAGATCCTGTCTCTAAATAAATAAATAAATAAATAAATATCGTTTGGACCTTTATAGCGAAGGGAAGAACCACACATCTTGCAGCCTCATCTTCCCCATCAGTCCTGAGGCTGTTACTTCTGCACTCCCAGAATTCAACCTCGTTTAATGGTGGGCACACTCCCGCCTTCCACACTCTGCCACCAGCAGGCAGAATGACAAGAGAAGAGGGATCCCAGTTGTGACAGGCATTCCATCCCTCTGCAGACCAGCCTGGGAGGAGAGCATGATGTCCAGCACGGCTTGGAGGCAAGAGAGGACACGGGAAGGGTCGTGGCATTGCAGGGCAACAGCTTCCCTCTGAAAGCACTCCAAGCAGGTGGATGCAGCCAGCCCTGGAAGACTGCCCGGAAATGACACGGAACCTTTGAGGGTGTGGGCCACCGCCCTGGGCACCAGTGACAGAGGCACAGAGTGAAGGATGTCTGCTGCCACTGCCCACCCCTGAACACCAGAGCCCGGAGGTGGCCCCACAGCCGATGCAGGAGCCCACAAGTGCCACTCAGGCTTGAGGCTTGGGCAGCTGTATCCCAGAGCCCCGCACTCATTCTGTCTGATGTGAGTGGGAATCCTCAAAACCCACGTGTCAGCATCATGCTGGTGGCTCAGTCCCATTCACACCTGTGAAGGAAGTCCCCTCCTGGCCAGTGAGGGTGGCTCGCTCATCAAGCCACTCACTGAGACCTGAAGCAACCTCATAGTCAACAGCCCTAGAGCTCCTGGGGCATCCGTGGCCCCATGCACAGGGCAGAGGGTTGGAGAGTGCCCTGAAGGGAACGGCAGGGCCCACAGGGTGGCTCAGGCATAGGCCCTCTGCACAAGAGCATTGCTCCGGCTACACGGTTCTCCCTGGTGTTCCTGGAACACGCCAGGCTTGCTTCCTTCTCAGGGCCTCTGTACTTGCTCCCCGATCCCTGGAACCTACCACCTTCTACAGGACCTGCTCCCTGGACACTGGGGATGCAGTGGGCGCCTCCACTCCAGGGAAAGGCAGCCAATGTGAAGAATGGACCGGCCAGAGAGCACTGAGGGAGGCTGGGGCCCAGTTTTATTTTTATGTGTTTAAAGTTTTAATTTTGAAATAACTTTAGATCTATGCTGTCTTGGAAAAATTGCAAGAAAAGTTGCAAAAATAGCATAGATTTCCTCTGTGCCCTTCACCCAGCTTCCTCCGTATGCAACGTAGAACAAGGACTGAAACCAGGAACTTTGTAGGTTGATACTAAGCGTTGGTACTTAGTGTCTTAGTTTTAGTCTATTTTGTGTTGCTATAATGGAATACCTGAGACTGGGTAATTTATAAAGAAAAGAAGCTTATTTAGCTCATGGTTCTGCAGGCTGGGAAGTTCAAGAGCATGGCCCTGGCTTCTGGTGAGGCCTTTTTGTGCTGTGTCATAACGTGGTGGAGAGGGTCAAAGGGAAAGCCCATGTGTGCAAAGAAGGGAAACCCAGGGAGTGTCCTGCTTTTATAACAACCCAGGCTCGGGAACTAATCAAGCCTCTCCAGAGCAAGAATTCCCTTGCTACCTTGAGAACAGTATCAAGCCACTCACGAGGGATCGGCCTCCATGATTCAGATACCTCACCCCAGGCCCCACCTTCCAACACTGCCACACTGGGGACCAAATGTCAAGATGAGTTTTGGTGGGAACAAACCAGTCACATTCTAACCGTAGCACTCCAGACTGCACTGAATTTTGTCAGTCTTCCGACTCATGTCGGTTGTCTGGTTCAGGCTCCCCCTCAGGATCCCACGTGGCATTTAGTTGTTGTGTCTCTCCCGTTTCCTCCCATCTGAGGTTTCATGACCTGGATGTTTTTGAAGAGGACTGGTCAGCTGTTTTGTAGACGGTGCATCCCCATGGGTTTTTCTGGTGTGCCTTGTACTGGCTTGAGCTTACGTGTTTCTGGCAGGACTGTCACAGAAGCACTGTGCCCTCCGTAGGGCACCACGCTGGGACTGTCACATTGGGATGTCCAGTTGTCTCCTATTGTCAGTGATGCCCTTCTTCATTTGGCTAAGGTGTTACCTACTGGGATTCCACTGGATGCCCCGGGAGCTCTAGGGCTGTGACTGTGAGGTTTTTTCAGGTCTCAGATGAGTGGCTTGATGAGCAAACCACTCTTTCACTCTTTTTTCCCATTGCGATGATTAAATCTCCCGTGGGTAGCTGCTGTGACGTGATGTGAGCATTCTGTTTCTTGTTATCCTTTTGCTCACTAATTGTAGCCTCCACGGATAAGTCGTACCTGCCGCAGTCCTGACTGTGCTGTTGCCGATGGGGTTTACTACCATGATTTTCTATCTCATCATTTCTTTTACATTTTTAGTTGAATTACCCTGTGAGAAAGAGCTGCCCTTCCCCTCCCACTTATTTATTATTCAGTTATTTGTTTCTACCAATACTGATCTGTGGATATTTATTTTATTCAATGGGTTCTAACCTATTACTATCATTTATTATTGTGTTCAAATTGCCCCAGATTTGACCACCGAAAGCACCTTCCAGCTGCCTCCTCCATCGTTCCGCTGTGCTTGGGTGTGATTTCACACGGGGCGGTGGGACAGGCCGTCTCTGAGCAGGGAGTGTGGGTGTGAGCAGAGCCCTGCAGGAGGGGCGCAGTCCTGTGGCAGTCAGAACCAGCTGGGGGGCTGCAGCCTGCTCTCGGGGAAGGCCTGGTATGCACAAGGTCAGCACCTGGCCTGGAGCTGCCACCTGCTCACCTGTCTGGTTTCTGGTGGGGGCCCTGAGATCCCGGGCTTGGCACTGCCGGAGGGCGGGGCTGTGCTGCGGTATGGATGCCGTGCCGTGCTGTGCTGTGCAGGCAGGGTTACTGGACATAAGCCTGGTGTGGCCTTTCATACCCTGGGGTGCCACTGTCTCCCAGTGTGACACCTGGTGGCCTTGTCCCTTGTGAGGACCAGGATCTGTGGGGCACTTGATCCCATGAGTTCAGTCTCCCCGAATCTGTAGTGGCATCCAGGGAGGGCAGGTGCGCCTGAGCCTGCCTGCATTCTGGATACGGCGCCTTTGGTCATTGCTGGCCTCGCTGCTCCGGCTCTCCAGTGGGCCAACCACCCACAGAGGGGCCTAGGGCCCTGGCGGCTGCTGTCCTGGCTCTAGAATAAATACACATCCCAGAGTCACCAGTGTGGGCTCACCAGTGCTGGGGCCCTGCCCCCGCCCCTCCCCCGGAGCCACCCTGGGTGGGTGGGGACACGGGCTGGGCAGTGTCTGAAGGCCTGCAGAGCAGCCTGGCCACAGCCCAGACAACCTGGCCCTCAGAGCCCTGGCTCTTCCCATAAATAAACCAGACAGGATCCTTCGTCAGATGGTATGGCCTGATTTTTGTTTTGGGAACTCTGGACAGAAGGGGAAGCAGACAGCCTCGGGCCTGGCAGGGCTGCCCGCCCGGGAGTGGCAGCTGGGCAGGCGGGCAGAGGACGGTCGGCGGTCAGCGTGCCCTGGATAGCACAGTGGGCCCCAGAGATCACAGCAGGAAAAGAAGCCCAATTCAAAGGAAGCAGGAGTGAGGCAGTGCACAGGCTCTGTGTGTGCATGAGGCCGGAGGGGTCCTGAGAGGGGCCTGTGGCCCAGGGACCCGGGGAGATGACAGCCTGTGATGGAAAGTGAAAGGGGGGGTCCTCTGGCTGGGAAAACTGCCTGATCTGGGCAGCTTTGCACAAGCAGACATGGAGGACATGCCCCACTGAGTCTCACCATCAACTCTCAACTGCAGCCCCCTCTGGGGGAACCGAGGCTTTGAGAGAGGAAAGGCTGATCCTTGTTGCACAGTGGAGTGGGGGGACTGGCGTTGGGCGGGCTGCGTCCCAGCCTGTGCTCTCCCCATGGGAGTTCCTGTCTGCCCCTGCTTCTAAGGGGGACGTCCGTCGGGTAGTGTGTCTTCCCCACACTGCTGGGAGCCAGCCAGGCAGCTGGGCCCTTGGTGGGCACTGGTTTCCCTCTGAGCACCTGGCCCCTCCTGGAGGAGCACCCGCTGTGGGAAGGAGCAGACCCTGCCTCCTGGGTCCTCGAGACTGGGGACCTGCTCTCCGGGCTGAGCTGCCACAGAAAGGGTATTGGATGCTGTTCAAAACACGCCACACATCTAGAATTGCATACCCCGTCTTCCAACAGCTGCGTAGACTCAGCCTTGGGATCGCCCAGAAAATTCTGGGGTGCAGTGGGCATGGGGAGTGCCCCCACACGGGAGCCTTAGCCAGCCTCTCTGCAGGAATGTGAGACACCAGCCTCAGCTGGCTCCAGTCGTGGGCTCTGGAGCAGGGCTCCTGCTGGACCGTGAGAGAGTGGCCTGCTGCTGGCGGAGGGGTCCTGAGGCCCGTCCACCACCCACCGGCTGTGCAGCATTCTTGTCTCCCTGCGCCTGCACTCACTGCCCCGTGTCCCCATGTGAGAATGCCCAGTTTAGAAGGAAGGGTGAGATGGGCATCCCATGTGGCCAGCCCTGGGCGGGCTCCTACTTCCCTGGAGTGGCAGCTTTCCTCCATGCTGGATTTCTGGCCCCTGGGGAGTGATCCTGGCATTGACCTTCCGGCCTGTCCAGAGTGGCTCCCCAAGGAACAGCCCGCCCAGCTCTGGCCACCGGACCCTGCCAGCAGCCTGCTCCGATTCTGTGTGGACTTGGCGCCTGGAGGCTGTTATGGGCTGAGTGACGCCCTCCCTAGATCCCCCAGTTCCTTTGTTGAGGTCCTAAACTCCCGTAGATCAGGATATTGGCTGTATTTGGAGGCAGGGTCTTTAAAGAGATAATTAACTGAAAATGAAGTCACTGATTCAACATGAATGACTGGTGTCCTAAGAAGAAGCGATTAGGACAGAAGTACACACAGGGGGACGGCCATGTGAGGACAGGGGAAAGATGCTGTCGACAAGCCAAGGAGAGAGGCCTCGAGAGAAACCGCCTCTGCCCACACCTTAATTTTAGAGCTCTAGCCTCCAGGACTGTGAGAGAATAGGTTCTGCTATTCAAGCCCCGGCCTGTGCTGCCCTGTGATGGCTGCCCGAGCAACCTAGGGAAGGCGCCGGCCCCGACCTTTTGTGGGAGGGGGTGCTGGCAGTCTACCTGGGCAGCATCTCCTGGTGGATGTGGGTGAGCCTGCTGTGAATGCTGGGGGACGGTCCTGGGTCCCCAGGCCCTCAGTTCTTGGAGTGCAGCCTTGCAGGGTTTGGTTGCTCTCCAGGGTGGGTCCCCTGGGGAATCTGGTAAGGAAGCATATGTTGGCAACTCCCAGACATGTGCCCCTGCCACCCCAGCCCCCTGAGCAGACAGACCCACCGTGCCGGCTCTGTCTCTGGGAGTGCTGGTGCTCAGGCGTGCTGGTCTCCTGGGCTGGTTGGAGGAAGGGAGGGGCGGTGTGTGCAGACCTCCAAGGAGGCAGGGAGGCTGGCAGGGAACAGCTGTGCAAAGGTGTTAGGTTCCAGCTGGTGTGGGCAGGTGCCAGCCCAGGGGAGGGCCTGTCGACAGGGTCTTTTTTTTTTTTTTTTTTTTTTTGAGACAAGAGTCTCTCACTCTGTAGCCCAAGCTGGAGTGCAGCGGTGCGATCTTAGCTCATTGCAACCTCCGCCTTCTGGGCTCAAGCGATTCTCATGCCTCAGCCTCCCGAGTAGCTGGGACTACAGACGCCCACCACCATGTCCCGCTAATTTGTTGTATTTTGGTAGAGACAGGGTTTCACCATGTTGCCCAGGATGGTCTCAAACTCCTGACCTCAGGTGATCCGCCTGCCTCGGCCTCCCAAAGTGCTAGGATTATAGGCGTGAGCCACCGTGCCCGGCCTGTTGGCAGGATCTTGAATGGGGAAGTTGGACCTTATTCCATGAGCTCTCCTCCACCACACGTCTCAAGGCCACAATCTGCTGTGGTCCAGCTGGTGAGACATGGAAGCTCAGAAAGAAAAATCTTGCTTTTTGATAGTTTGGCAAATGTTCCTGCAGCACGAGTCATTTTTCTTCTTTAGTAGAGAGCGCCCTGTTATTTATGTGAATGTTAATTTGTGACTGGGGACGTTCCCCGACGTGGGCTTCATGCTGAACGAGACCTGGGAAATGTCAGCCAGAGAATCTGGCCGGGACGAGTGTCAGTTCTCGTCACAAATAGGCAGGCCTGTTGCAGTCCCAGAGTCTGGGTCTGACCCACTGACCTCTGTGTCCTGGCTGGGTCTGGCTGGCCAGCTCTGTTTCCTGGAGGCTACCCCGGCATTGGTGTGTGCAGGAGCCATGGAGATGGGGGAGCTGGCTGCAGAGGGCTGAGTGTGGGACATTCTGGACAGGCCAGGTCCCGAGGGAGCCACTCAAGCGTTGCTTGATTTAGCAGAAGGCCGCCTGGCTGGCCCCTGCGCTGGCCCCGTGAGGCATTCTTGTCGGCATCTTGTTTATTCCATTTTCCCCCTTATCTTTCTCTCTGTGCTCTCCCCCTTTCCGTCTCTCCTGTCTTCACATGAATTGTCTGTTTTGCTATATGCCCTTTGTAAAAATGTAAAACAAAAAAAATACAGAAAATATTAATAAAAAGTGAAACTCACCCCCGATCGTAACACTGCTGACCCTTTGTTACGCGTTTCCTAACAGCTGTCATGCCATGATCATCATGATGGTGATGGTGCTGCCAGTCGGCTGATTTATCACGTGCTGTGCCCAGTGCTAGAGACGCAGTATCTCGCTTAGCCCTCACATCAGCCATGGAAACCCTGTTATTATCTCCATTCAACCCTGCAGACACTGTCCACAGAGAGGCCACTCAGTCAGAGGTGAAGTAAACATTTGAATCGAGGCAGAGTGACTCGGAGGCCACATGCTTAATTATTAGACTGTGCTGACGTTTGGCACAGAGATATACATGATTTTACGTAAGGAGGTCATGCTGCAGCTGGGCTTGCCGCCTTCTTCGGTCACCAATATGTCATGGGTGTGTCTGTTCCTTAAGTGGTCAAAAAATCTGAGAAACTCTTTTAGCCTAGCATAAATCTGTAAATTTTGTAAAATTATTTTGCAGGGCATAGAGTGTTATTGAAATAATCTGACTGGCTGGGAACGGTGGTTCACACCTGTAATCCCAGCACTTTGGGAGGCCGAGGTGGGCGGATCACCTGAGGTCAGGAGTTCGAGACCAGCCTGGCCAACATGGCGAAACCCCGTCTCTACTAAAAATGCAAAAATTAGCCAGGCATGGTGTTGTGCACCTGTAATCCCAGCTACTTGGGAGGCTGAGGCAGGAGAATTGCTTGAACCTGGGAGGCAGAGGTCTCAGTGAACTGAGCTCAGGCCACTGTACTCCACTCCAGCCTGGGTGACAGAACAAGACACTGTCTCCAAAATAATAATAATAATAATCTGACCATTTATTGTTTTTGTTGTCTGTTTTTGTTTGTTTGTTTGTTTTTGAGATGGAGTCTCACTCTGTTGCCCAGAATGGAGTGCAGTGATGCAATCTCGGCTCACTGCAACCTCAGCCTCCTGGGTTCAAGCAATTCTCCTGCCTCAGCCTCCCAAGCAGCTGGGACCACAGGCGCGTACCACCAAGCCCGGCTAATTTTTGTGTTTTTAGTAGAGACGGGGTTTCACCATATTGGCCAGGCTGGTCTTGAACTCCTGGCCTTGTGATCCATTCGCCTCGTCCTCCCAAAGTGCTGGGATTATGGACGTGAGCCACTGCGCCCGGTTGGATTTTGGGTTTTTTTGAGACAGGGTATCTCTCTGTCTCCCAGGCTGGAGTCTCCAAAATAATAATAATAATAATAATAATAATAATAATAATAATAATAATCATCTGACCATTTATTGTTTTGTTTTGTTTGTTTAGTTTTAGGTTTTGGTTTTTTTGAGTCAGGGTCTGTCTCTGTCTCCCAGGCTGGAGTGCAGTGACATGATCTCGGCTCACTGTAACTCTGCCTCCTGGGTTCAAGTGATTCTCCCGCCTCAGCCTCCTGAGTAGCTGGGATTACAGGTGTGCACCACCACGTCTGGCTAATTTTGTATTTTTAGGACAGATGGGGTTTCACCATGTTGGCCAGCCTGGTCTCAAATTCCTAACTGCCTCAGCCTCCCAGAGTTCTGGGATCACATCATGCCCAGCCTACATTTATTGTTATATATTTGTTCTTACTTCTGTCATCTAATTTATGTTTTCTGTTTTTCTGGATTTTTTTTTTTTTTTTTTTTTGCTGTTTTTCTAGTCTACCATATTTTCTATATGGTCTGCCTTCAGTCATTTGGAAGGTATACATTAGTTTTACTAGTTGTGACTTTTCTAATTTTGAGTAGAATTCTTCAGCTTGTATCTACTGATTTTAGAAACTTACCAGTAACTGTTGATGCTAACTGAAGATTCTGAAGATTAGGAAACGAGTGCAATTAAACTGTAATTCCTTTTTTCTTCCTCTACTCTTTGTCTGATTGTTGTGGGCTTGTTTGGCAATTTTTTGCCTGCCCCCATTTATTAAAGTTAAATTATGAATAGTTTATATATTACATAGCTTTTTTTTTCCAGAATATATGCTAAATGTCTTCTGATTTGTAACCCTCATTATCCCTGTAGCATAGATGCAGAGGGCAATTCCGCTATTTCGACCTGTGATTTCCCCACTTGCCAGGTGTCTCAGTTTTAAAGTCAAGTCCAGGCTGCGTAAAGTGGCAGGTGGGGGGTGCTGGGGAGGGATGCCAAGCAGAACTGAGACAGACGCTCTCGAGGGCATTCTCTAGCAGCAGGGTTGAAGCCATCCCTCTGTGCACCCTCTCCCAGGGCCCAGAGTTGCTCACAGTGGCTCACCTGGTTAGTTGATAGACTTAGGGCTCCCATCTCAAGATGACATGGTTTTACCGTGTTAGCCAGGATGGTCTCAATCTCCTGACCTCGTGATCCGCCTGCCTCAGCCTCCCAAAGTGCTGGGATTACAGGGTGTGAGCCACCATGCCTGACCAAGCCCTTGGTTTCTAATGCAGAGTTTCTTTGTAGGCCAATGTTTCCTAAACATTGGCCTAGGAGGTGAACTAATGGGTACCAAACATGACTCCAGAATGCATTTAATTCTATCAAATCCCAGCTAGCTTTGTGGCAGAAATTGACAAGCTGATCCTAAAATTCATACAGAAATACAAGGGATCCAGACTAACCAAAATGCTATTGAGGAGAAGAACAGAGGAAGGGCTCATGCTTTGTAATTCTAAGACTTACTACAAAGCTGTAGTAATCAAGACTGTGTGGTGTTGGCAGAAGGATAGACATATAGATTGGTAGAATAGAACTGAGAGTTTGGAAATACATCCTCATATTGATTCTTGACAAAGGTCCAAGACAAGTCAGTGGGGGAAAGAATGGTCTTTTCAACAAATGGTGTTGGCACACCTGGATATCCACATATGGAAAAATGAAGTTGGACCCCTTCCTCACACCATACACAAATATTAACTGTAAATGGATGGATCATAGATCTACATGTAAGAGCTAAAACTATAGAACTCTTAAATAATGTAGGAGTAAATCTTTGTTACTTTGGATTAGGCAAAGTCTTAGATATGACACCAGAAGCACAAGTGGACAAAAGAAAAAAATAGGTGAACTGGACTTCAAGAAAGTCCTTCATGACTTCAGTGGACACTAATAAGAAAGTTGAAAAGACAGCCCACAGAACAAGAGAAAATATTCATAAATTGTATATCTAATAAGGGATTTGTGTCTAGAATATATAAAGAGCTCTTACAGGTCAATAAAAAGAAAATGGTCTTATTAAAAATAGGGAAAGTATCTGAATGGATGTTTCTCCAAAGTTAAATAAATGACCTATAAGCTCATGAAAAGATGCTTAGCATCATTAGTTGTCAGGGAAATGCAAGCCGAAGCATGATGGGACACCACTTCACACCTGCTGGATAGCTAGAGTCAAAGAGCCTAAGAATAATGAGTATTGGTGGGGATGAGGGGAAATTGAACCCTCACACACTGCTGGGGGCACTGAGAATGGTCCAGCCCCTGTAGAGGACAGTCTGGCACAGTTACTGTATGACCCAGTAATTCCACTTTGAGAGGAATGAAAACACATGTCCACACAAAAACTTGTCCACAGATGTTCATAGCAGCATTATGCATAGGAGCCAAAAACCAACAACCCACATGTCCATCAACCGGCAAATGGATAAATAAAATGTGGTATATACATGTGATGGGGTATTATTTGACAATAAAAGAGGAATGAAATACTGCTATATGCTACACCATGGATGAACCTTGAAAACATACTAAGTGAAGGAAGCCAGTCACAAAAGGCCACATAGCATGTGATTCCACGTATATGAAATGTCCAGAATAGGCCAATTCATAGAGACAGAATGTAGATTAGTGGTTGCCCAGGGCTGGGTTGGGGAGGAGAGGTTGGGGAAAACATGGGGAGTGACTGCCAATGTGTACGGGGTTTCTTTTTGGGGTGATGAAAATGTTCTAAAATCAATAGTGGTTATGGTTGAATTGTTCACTTTCAGCATATAGTTTAGATGGCTGAGATGTATGGTATGGTAATCACAGCACCATAAAGCTGTTATATATTAAAAAGCATTGAACTGGCCGGGCGCCATGGCTTATGCCTGTAATCCCAGCACTTTGTGAGGCCGAGGCAGGTGGATCACCTGAGGTCAGGAGTTTGAGACCAGCCTGGCCAACATGGTGAAACCCCATCTCTACTAGAAATACAAAAATTAGCTGGATGTGGTGGTGTGTACCAGTAATCCCAGTTACTTGGGAGGCTGAGGCAGGAGAATCGCTTAAAAATGGGAGGCAGAGTTTGCAGTGAGCTGAGGTTGCGCCACTGCACTCCAGCCTGGGTGACAGAGCGAGACTCTGTCTCAAAAAAAGAAGAAAAAAAGCATTGAACTTTATAATGAAAAATGATTCCCTTTTCAGTTGCATTTTAAACTCTCTGGTTGAGTCGAGGGGAGTCTCAGTTTGGTGCTGACAGATCTTTACCAGCTCTCTGCTACTTACTGACCTCTATAACAAGAGAGAAGGGCAGCGGTGTAGGCTTTGAGGTGCAAATAGAAGCCCGGAGAGAGAGGAAGACACTGGGGGTGCGCCCAGGGACAGACGGCTGCTGGGACCCCATGGAAGGCCTTGCGTGCCATGGGACGGCCTTGGCCTTTATTTTACAGGAGTGGGTTTCTGGTTTTTGGTTTGGTTCTTTCTCCTTGGTCCTAGTAGAGTTTTAGAAGGATGATCGGTACCTGCCAACGTGTGCGGGGTTTCTTTTTGGGGTGATGAATAAACAGGATAAGCAGTAATTCATAGGTTACGTAGTCCAGCTCCTCAGTTTGCAGATGAGGGAACTGGGGGCCTGCAAGGGGGCAGGACTGGCCATGACCGCATTGGAAACCAGGGCCCCTGGCTCAGCGTCCAGTGCTTACTCTCCCTGCCTGCCTCGCCCCCCACCCTGCCCTTCAAAGTGGAGTCTAGCTTTCCTTAGAGCCTCGCTGGGCATGTGACTGTCGGGGCTCCTTGGTCCTGTTGGAAATTGGCTCCGGCCAGCTTAGGCCAAAAAAGAGACTTTCTGGAGTAAAGGTCTGTAGGGCCTGAAACCAGGTCCAGGGAAGGTTAGAGTGGCCAAGCAAAGTCATCAGGTTCTGTGGAGCTCAGAGGCAACTCTGTTGTGGTCACTGTGCTCAGCAGAACCCTGGAAGGCCCAGCTCCAGCCATAGCTCCAAGACAGAGCCCTAGACAAGGGGTCGCTCTCCAAGAGGAAGGACGGGAGTGGCTGGCACCTGGCGAGGATCCCATGAGACAGAGGAGGAGCTGGTGGAGATGCGGGTGAGGACAGCTGTTTCCTAACCCCATGGACAGCTCCTGCCCGCTGGCGTCCCTTTTGGAAAAGTGGAAAAGTCAGTGTGTGAAATCCTCTGGGATGCTGAACTGTAAAGGAGCCCCCAGTGGTGAGGACCGAGTGGCTCAAATCCCACTCGATACTTCCCACTCCTGGGACTGTCCAGTGGTGAGGACGGAGTGGCTCAAATCCCACTCAATGACACTTCCCACTCCTGGGACTGTTCAGTAGTGAGGGGTCCAGCCCCCTTCCCTGAAAGCTCCCAAGGTTGTTAGAGACCTCCCTGGGGAGCTGGGAGAGGCAAGAGAGTGCCCGAGCAGGCTCTGAGAGGAGGCGCCCTGGGAACTGCAGGCACTGTGCAGCTCTCCCTGTGAGACCGTCATTCCACCAGGCAGCTGTCACAGCAGGGGAGGCTGCCTGGCCATTGCCCCGTTGTCCAGCAGATCTCCCAGGTTCATTACCAAAAGGAAGATGGGGAGAAAGAATCTTGGAGTTAGAATACTTTCAGGAATGGGAATCTTAGCAGATGCCAGCATCTGGGGGACTCTTGGCAAGGTGCGTGCTGTGTGTGTATTTCGGAGGGAGGTGAGTTTGAGGGCAACAGGGACTTGCAGCCTTGTCCCTTGGCAAAGTCTGGGTCCCTCTGTGCATGGACCTGTGTGCTTCCTATGCTTTGTGCCTTCTATGCTTGATTGTTGCCACTGCAACCTTGGCACACACCTGACAGTGTTTATGCTGGAGGTTGACAAGGTTGAGTGACAGACCAGGTCCCAGTCATACACAGGTGGGAGGCTGCTGATGGCTGCAGCTGTGGCTTCCATGGGAAGGGGCAGTGGGAACCAGCCAGCCTGGGTGCTCTGCAGAAGGAAACAGGATGCATGCTTGTGTTTCCTGTGAACCCCTAACTTCCAGGCTGTCTGTGGTTGAATACTTAAAAATTCAGAGTAATAGAGGAGAGCTGTTAAGCCTTTGGATCTTTATAAATTTTTAACATCTAGTTGCCATTTCTAGTAACTACTTTACCATCAATCCAACTGCAAAGGAGCAGGTTCTATAGAAGGAAGAGGCAGGGCAGGCGTTGTGTAACTCACCAGGATCTGAATGCCGGCAACTTGACTTGATGACCCGGGTACTACCAGGCTCTGGGCCCCTGCGGTGGCACCTGAAGGTCAGGGACAGAGCCCTCCCCATGATCCTCTCTCTGTCCCCCAGGGGAGAACCTGGCTGGGTTTGCCAGACATCCACAGACTTCAAGAGCAGAGTGGGACTCACACTTAGAGCCAGGTCGGGGTACCAACCTTTCTGTAAGACCCCAGGCTGGACAGCTGTGGGGTTGGACAGACAGGCCACCAGCAGGCTCCCAACTGAGTGCTTTTCAGCCTAGTGTGCTTCTGGAGTTTCTTTAATATTTATTGAGTGGGGAGAGGAAACTGATTCTAATTAATAAAAATTACATGTAAAAACAGATACACTTGACACTGGCAGCAGGAAAATCAAAGTCCCGGAAAAAAATGCAGCAAAACATAGCTCACATTTTGTGCTTTGCTCTCCTGTCAATTTTCTTCTGTGTGTTTTAGACAGATCATTCCTGGGATGCATATACTGAAGTGTTTGAAAATCAGGGAATAAAATGATCTCCACTTCTTCCGTGAAGTGCCCCCCGCCCCGAGCATTATTCTGGCCAGCGGTCTTGGCAGGACGTCAGCTGATGGTCTTGGGGGGGTCAGCCTTTGGTCTCGGGGGGGTCAGCCTTTGGTCTCGCGGGGGGTCAGCCTTTGGTCTCGGGGGTGGTCAGCCTTTTGTCTCGGGGGTGGTCAGCCTTTGGTCTCGGGGGGGTCAGCCTTTGGTCTCGGGGGGGTGTCAGCCTTTGGTCTCGGGTGGGGGGTCAGCCTTTGGTCTCGGGGGGGGGGTCAGCCTTTGGTCTCGGGGGGGGGTCAGCCTTTGGTCTTGGAGGGGGTCAGCCGTTGGTCTCGGGGGGGGTCAGCCTTTGGTCTCGGGGGGGGGTCAGCCTTTGGTCTCGCAGGGGGGTCAGCCTTTGGTCTCAGGGGGGGTCAGCCTTTGGTCTCACGGGGGGTTCAGCCTTTGGTCTCGGGGGGGGTCAGCCTTTGGTCTCGCGGGGGGGTCAGCCTTTGGTCTCGGGGGCGGTCAGCCTTTGGTCTCGGGGGGTGTCAGCCTTTGGTCTCGGGGGGGTTCAGCCTTTGGTCTCGCGGGGGGGTCAGCCTTTGGTCTCGGGGGTGTCAGCCTTTGGTCTCTGGGGGGTGTCAGCCTTTGGTCTCGGGGGGGTCAGCCTTTGGTCTCTGGGGGGTGTCAGCCTTTGGTCTCGGGTGGGGGGTCAGCCTTTGGTTTCGCGGGGGGGTCAGCCTTTGGTCTCGGGGGGGTCAGCCTTTGGTCTCTGGGGGGTGTCAGCCTTTGGTCTCGGGTGGGGGGTCAGCCTTTGGTCTCGGGGGGGGGGGTCAGCCTTTGGTCTCGGGGGCGGTCAGCCTTTGGTCTCGCGGGGGGTCAGCCTTTGGTCTCGGGGGGGGGGTCAGCCTTTGGTCTCGGGGGGTGTCAGCCTTTGGTCTCAGGGGGGTCAGCCTTTGGTCTCGGGGTGTCAGCCTTTGGTCTCGGGGCAGGTGCCACCATGTTCATCGTCCAGCATGCGTTGTGCGCATCGCACGGTGGTCAACAGAGACGGGCGGGGCTGTGAGGAGCATGTTGAACGTCTGTGTTGGAGAATGCCACCGCTTGGAGGCTTCTGGCTGTGTGAGGAAGCCTGAGCCCAGGCCCTGCTTCAGATGGACCCCAGTGTGCTCCTGTGCCCTCCGAGGAGTCGCCTGCAGGGGTGCCCTTCCAGGAGGCAAGGCCCAGGGCAGCATCAGATGGAGCTAGTGCTGTTGGCTCAGCCCAGTGATTGTCCTCAGGGAGGCAGCCAGGGAGGGGAGCCTGACCCCTGCTGGTCAGGGAGACCCCAAACTGTCCCCCGGGTTACTCCGGCCAGAGAGTACTGCCCTTCCCCAGGCTGAGCCTGGCCTCATTGTCACACTAGGTCCCTCCAGAATAACCCCAGGGCCTCAGGCCTGTGGCATCGATGGCTCCCGACCTGGGCTGCAAGTTCCCCCAGAAGATGGAGCTGCCATAAGGGGTCCTCATGCCCCAGTGTCCTGCCCTAATTGGCTCAATCGGCCCAGTCTGGCCCAGGGACCTGTCTGGGAGATGCCCTTTCCGTGTAGGTGTGAGTTCTGATCCCTAGAACCTGTGTGTCCCCAGCAGCCTGTCTGCCCATCTAGGCCTCGGTTTCCTCATTTGGAAAGCAAGCTGGCTGGATGAAATCACTTGGGTGGAGGCGTGGCCTGGTTCTCAGTGTCTCCCAGGCTGCATGTGCTCCTGTGTGAGTGTGCACGGGAAATGACCTGCCTCATGTACAGACGAGTCACTGGACGCTTGGGGAGCTTGACACCTTGCCTGAGGTCACCTGGCCAGATAGAAAGGGTGCCAGGAAGTCAGAACTTCACGCTCCAGGACAGCTTGCCCGCTGCCGCCCCCCAGGGTTAATTCCTGCACTTCATCCAATGAGTTTCAGTCATAAGATGGATTTGAGGCACCAGCCTTCTCCACACCACGCACCGGGACCATCAGTGCTGGACCCTCCCAACTCCTGCACTGGTAAACACACTGCCCCTGTGCCAGTGGACAGGCCTGGCTGTGTTCTTCCCGCCTGCCTGCTCGGTGCCTCCCTTGGGGGACGTGGCCTGCAGCTTTGGGGTCATCGGTTCGCTCATTCCACAGGCATCTGCTGAGTCTTCGCCAGGCCTGGTTGAGCCCTGAGACCCAGGGATGAGTCAGAAGCGTGGGGCCTGCAGGGTTCCCACCCCCTCTTCCGCTCTCCTCCCACAGCCCTGCTGACCTCCTTCTCCGACCTCGGTCTTGCCCTGGTAACTCTGGTTACCACTGCCTCCTAGGCCTCTTCCCCAGAAGCCCAGGATGCCTGAGCCCAGAGGGTCCTGCGCCCCTTGCCCTTCTTCTCATGCCCCTCGGAGAATGGCACCCACTTTGCCGGCCACCCACCAGGACCCTGAATTACTTTTCTGCGGCTGCTGTAAGGAACCACTTAAAACAGCAGGAATTCGTTCTCTCACAGTTCTGAGGCCGGACGTCCGAAGTCGGTATAACCTGACCCAAATCCAGGCATCGGCAGGGCTGCGCTCCCTCTGGAGACTCTGGGGGAGGACACTTTCTGGCCTCTGCCAGCTCCTGGGGGCTGCCAGCATTCCTTGGCTTGAGGCCACATCGCTCCAATCTCCAAAGCTGGCATCTGGCATCCTCCCTGTCTGCCCATGGCCTCGTCCTCTGCGCATCTGCCTAATCCCCCTCCACTCCCCGGCATAAGGAAGTGGGCAAGGACTGCATTCAGGGCCCAGCCAGCCCCAGAGCTGACCTGATCACACCCGCAGAGTCTCTTTCCACCATGTCCACTACCCTCACAGCTGCCAGGGATGGGGGCCTGGGTAACTTTGGGGGCCGGTTCTTCAGCCACAGACCTGGAAGCCCACCAGGTGCTTCCTCCTCCCTCCCATCTCAGCCGGCTCTACCCTACCACGTCCTGTCCATTTCGCTCCTCACCTCCTTCATACCTGCCACTCGTCCTTGTCTCTCATGCTCCCGTCTGGACCATTACCCCTCTCCCAGGTGCCTGTAACACCTTCTCCCCAGGACCCCAGACCCATTTTTGTTCCGCAGCCCATTCCCCCTGCCGCAGCCACCATGCTTCTGAACTGGAATCAGATCAAGGCTCCCCCCAGAAGCCCTGGGCTGCCTACAATCTCCCTCACCAGCCCCCTGAGTGATGGGCCACCGGGCACCGTGCCCTTGATGCTCCTGTCCACCCACCTGGTCAGCTCTTCCCACCAGCTGTGCTCCGTCCACCTCCCCGGCCATGGCATGTGCGGTTTCCCCCATATGGAGCACTGGTCCTCTCTCTGACTCTTTGCCTGGCCAGCACAAAGGGATTGGGTGGGTTTGGGTAGATGTCACCTCCTGCCGGAGGCATCCTTCATTCTGGAGCCAGGCCTGATGCTGGGCTCTGTGTTCCTCCAGGCCCTGCACCTCCACCAGCCCCTGCCTGGCACATCAGCTTCCCGAGGGCCCAGGCTGAGTGCGCCGGGAGGCATCTCCAGCCTCCCTCGCTACACTTGAGGCTAGGGGCAGCCGCCCAGCAGGCCCTGGGGGGCACTGACTGCATCTCGGTCTGCAGAGGCTCCCAGCCAGCAACAGGATGGGGCTCACCGAGCACCTGGGGTCAGGGAGAAGGAGGGGCAGCCCGTGCGCCACCGTGCCCCCCCACAACCAAGATGATGATATGGCAGAGGCCATCATGAGGTTACTTTGGGGGGGGTGTGGTTTCCGCACATCCAGATGGCAGGTGCCGGGGGCTGCCCACCAGAGGGCACACTCCTAACTGGACAGGGGACCCCGGCCAGCGCCAGCTAAGCTGGAGTGTCGATGGGTGCTGGAAATGCCAGCTTTTCTGATTTTCAAGAGAGTCTGGAAATCTGGTCGTTTATGTGAACTCTCCTGTTTCTTAAGTTTGGCAACAAATTCAAGCTTTTAAAATCCCCTGCATGGGTCATAAGCTTGTGATCTGAAGGAAACACTCTGAAGGCTGGACACAGTGTGCACTTCCAGTGTGAGACCTTGGTTTATGGATAATGGACCAGAAGATAAAAGTGTAGGAGCTGGAGTTGTCATGGGATGGGTGGACCTGATGGTGCCAGCAGGCTGGATGGCAGGGTATGGCAGGGGAGGGCAGGGTATGGCAGGGGAGGGCAGGCTGGATGGCAGGGGAGGGCAGGAGAGGTGAGGGGGTCTGAATCAGGCCTCGAAGGGGGAACACAGGTTTACCAGATGGCCGAGCTGGGGATGGGGTGGTGGGGTGGGAGAATGGGGATTCCTGAGTTGGCAGCATGGGGTTCAGGGGCTGGGTGGCTCGGCAGGGTGCACCCAGCCCAGTGAGAAGCATGGGGTGGTGCAAGCCGCGGTCTGGGAGGGTGGGGCAGGCCAAGAGCCTGAATGCCAGCATATAGAGCAGCCTGAGTCCCAACGGAAATGAGGACCCAGCGAGGAGTTTGTAGTCAGGGAGGGTGCTGGCTGGCCTAGGGGGTCAGGGGCAGCAGTTCAGCTGCCTGTAGAGTCTGGGCTGGTGGCTGACACAGAGAGCAGGAGAGACAGTTGGGGGGCAGTAGGGACTGGAGCCAGTTGCAGGGGCATGTGTTCCATCCAAGACCCGCTGTGGTCAGGGCCTGCGTTTCCAAGGAAAGCTGGGATTCCATGTTCAAGACATGAAATCTCATCATTCTGAGTGTTAGCTTCAGAGCTTTAAAAATATTGTTTGGCCCAGATGGAACATGTGTGTGGGCAGATTCAATCCCCGGCTGGCTGTTTTGACCTTTGTCTTGGACTCTGGGCTCCTGGGAGTGGGGGCAGCACTTGGCCCATATTGATGCACTTTGGTGGATGCCCTCCTGGGGACACGCACAGGCCCACAGCTGCCCTTGAATGTCTCCCTGCTTCTCTGGACGGTTTTGACTTTATAAACACAGTAACTTTTCTGAAAGCAGACAGGGTTGGTGTATAGGGGTGGAGATGACCCAGACAGAGGCCCCTTTCCTAGACAGGGTGGGCGGCGGGGGGCGGCCTCTGGGACCACATGTTCATACCCTCCGGCCAGCCCAGGGTTCAAGCTGAGCACCAGCTGGGGTGCTGGGCAGGGTCTTCAGGTGGGAGGTACTCCCTGAGGGGGTCTCCTCGCTGTTCCCCTTCCTTGGTCTTTTGTGTGCTGGAAATCTGATCCTGTTGTCTTTGTCCCGCAGGCTGGTCTGATCCGGATGGAGGAGGAGGAGTTCTTCATCGAACCCTTGGAGAAGGGGCTGGCGGCGCAGGAGGCTGAGCAAGGCCGTGTGCATGTGGTGTATCGCCGGCCACCCACGTCCCCTCCTCTCGGGGGGCCACAGGCCCTGGACACAGGTGAGGCTACTGCAGGTGGGCAGGCTGTGTGGAGAGCCCTCTGAGGCCCTGGTCCCCAGGGGAGCATCCCAGAGACTCAGGCAGCTCTCCACAGACCAGCTTGGCTGCTGAGGCTGAGCCCCGGTCTCAGTGGCTCAGAAATGGGCCAGCTGCCTGGCTGACGGCAGGGCGTAGCAGGGCTGCTGGGGCTGGGGCCTCTGTTCTGGGTGCATGTGGGTGACAAGCAGCCCAGACACCTCTGCCTTCATGTCTGGGGCCTCCATGGTGGACTATGAAGGCTGTCCAAGGGCCCATCTTCTGTTGCCTAAAGGCAAGCAAGTGTCGTGGAGCGGGGCGGGGGCCCCCGGCCAGGCCTGAGTCCAGTGCCTGCGTCTCTGAGTCTGTGCCTGTGAAGAGGCCTCCAGAGCCCCAGACAGCGCCTCTCCTGCTCTGTGCTGCCATGGTCCCTGGGAGGGTGCCTGTGGTAGGTCCCAACCCTCACCTGGCTGCTCAGGGAGAAAGGCCCTGCATGCTCTTTCTGGATCCCTGGAGGCATGTGCCCTACAAGGACTCTGGAGGTGCTCCCAGCAGCCTCAGCAGTCTCTGCACAGACTCATGGGCGTCTGTCTTTTTCAACTCAGAACCCACGTGTGCCCTGGGCCCAGAAACGTGAAAGGAGCTGCCAGGCGGCCATGGTGACAGTCCATGACTGTCGCCTCAGATCTGGCCTCACTGTGCCAGCCCACACCTCCCAGCATCCCCCAGTCTCTGGTCCTGGATTGTGGTGAAGCCAGGGTTGGTGTCTGATGTGGTTCTGCAGGCCCATAGTTCTCAGGGTCCCCCGTGTGGTCAGGGACTCCTGGCCTGTGCTTGGCTCTTGCTGGGAGAGTGGGAAGCTGCGAGCTCAGCCCTCAGCCTCTGGTCAGGACCCCTGGGTGAGGAGAGTCTGGAGTCTGGGGCCCAGGATCGGGCACACCTGCACGTTCACAGCGAGTGCTCCAGGGGCCTGGGCTGGGCCAGCCCCCGTGCTGTGATTTACTAAGGTACTCCCGTCACTCCATAGCAGCCCCGCCTCATTTACTGTAGGTCTGTCTGACTTCCTAGCTTGACAGAAAAATTGGGTACAGCCTGGCAGGCATACTTCTAATTTCATGAAACGGCATCAGATACCTTTGCAAAGGAATTGTTCCATCAGGAAGCCCAATGTACTCTGGAGCCAATCAGTGCAACCGGTGGCCCCTTGTTCCTTGGTGACAAATCAGCGTCTGCTATGCTGCAGACAGCCGGGCCACTGGGTACTGCCTGCCCAGCCTTTTCCAGCTGTGGTCTCAGCCTCGACTTATCCCCACCCTTGGACTATTTTGCAGGGAAGGAAGGAGGAGTAATCTAGGAGGGCCAGCGTGGAAGGGGCTGAGCGAGTGCTCCAGACCCGGGGGCAGGGCCCCAGCTTTGCTCCTTGCTAGCTAGCTGCTGTCGGGCAAGCCCAGTGGCATTAGCAACCCCTGTGTCCCCGAGAGCTCAGGGGCTGGTCACTTGTGCTGTGGGCTTGGTGCTTCTGGCTGGCCTCTCCTGGAAGATTCAGGGTGGTTCTGGGGGCCTCTGCTCAGGCGAGGTGAGCTGGCCACGTGCCCTTGGCCATGTCTCTGATCCCAGATTCCATATGGTGCTTGTCTTCCTGAACATGGCAGCCCTTCCCCCACAGCCTGGCCGGCCTTGCCTTATTTTCTGGGCTTCTGCTGGTGTTTGGCATCTTCTGCTGAATCCTCCCTCCACCCCCACCCCCAATCCACATATCTTTAATGAGAACTTGAAATTCAGAACACAGGAAAGGAATTTCAATCTCAGAATAAGCCCAGAAACCATTGGCCTTAGAAGACGCTGGGTGAGGCCAGCTGCCAGGTCAGGGGTGAGGCTGGGCTGGAAGGTGGGGGTTTGGTAATGGGCTGTCGGGGAGGAGGTGAGCCTGTCCAGCCTTAGCTCCAGGCCTGGGGCCCAGGCTGTGGATGTGAGCGTGGGCCTGGGGCTATAGGTCTGGATCCCAGAACTTGGGGCTGGGGCCAAGTCCCCTTTGCTTGATGTTCCTGTCTGGTGTCAGCAGACCCTGCATGAGGGGCTCGGGCCTTCAGTGAGCTAGCTCCCACGCCATGCACCTAATCGTTCCCACGTGGCCCTGGGCTGAGATCGACACACTGACTGGAAGGGCACCAGGCCCAGTGAGTGCCGGAGCTGGGTGGAGGGCCCACGGTGACCTCAGGCGTCCAGCTTTCCATCTGCCTGGGCCTTTTCAGGGCCCAGAGTGGCAACTGGGAGATACATAAAAGCTGTGTCCTGTGGCCAGGCATAGTGAGGGGCACAGCCTGCCTGGCACACAACTCCAGGACCTGGGTGCGGGTGTGTGTGTATGTGTGTGTGTGTATAGGGGACCCTTTCTTCCAGTGAATTCTGAGGGAACCCTGATATATCAGTGTGGCCCTGGCAGAAGCTGGCAGGAGGTGCTGGCTGGCAGTTTCTTCCTGCCTCCCCAAAAGCAACGTCTGGAAGTGGGTGTGAAGCACCCTGCTATTTATGTTCTGCCGGGGAAGGTGACACACCTGCCCTGGGTGTCCCAGTGGGGGATGGGCATCTGTCTGGGTGGCAGGATATCCCTGCAGCGTCAGGGGTGCCTCCTTTTCAGGATGTCCTGTTTTCCCCGAGAAGCCCACGGGCTGCTCAGGGTGATCTCGGGGACTCATGGAGCCTCAGGGAATCATTTTCACTAATAGTCTCTGTCATCCAAGATCAGTTGCTGGATTGCAGATTGCCTGGGGGAAACGGATAGAAAATGACGGTTTTAAAGCATTTCACAGACAGGCCAGGGATGAGTGTGTGCACTGGGCAGCTTAGGCAACACCCGGGAGAGGATGTTATTAGGAGGGGCAAGGGGTGAGGGAGCGGGGAGGGTCCTTTTCTCTCCTCCCTGGCCATGCTGGCCTTGGCAGAAGGGTCCTGCTCAGTGCTGCTGGCCTGGGAACCTGGCCAGGACCGGAGGCCGAGCTCTGAGGCTGGGTGGCCTTTTGGGGAGCAGTGGTTGAGGTGTCCCCCCAGGCATTCTGACAGGCATCTCCAATCCCTGTTCTCTGCCCTTCCCAAGGCCAGCTCTGTGTCCAGGGACACTGTGCTGGGGTACAGGGACAGGGCACCCTGTGGCATTGTCCTCTCTGGTGTGTGTGCATCTCATCCTGTGTGGGACTGTTGAGGAGGGAGTCCTCACGGAGCTTGAAACAATAGGAACATTGATATGGTTTGTCTCTGTGTCTCCACCTGAATCTCATCTTGTAGCTCCCATAATTCCCATGTGTTATGGGAGGGACCCAGTGAGAGATGATTGAATCATGGGGGTGGGTCTTTCCCATGCTGTTCTCATGATGGTGAGTGGGTCTCACGAGATCTGAGGGTTTTAAAAACGGGAGTTGCCCTGCACAAGCTCTCTCTCTCTCGGCTGCTGCCATGTGAGACGTGCCTTTCATCTTCTGCCATGATTGTGAGGCCTCCCCAGCCATGTGGAACTGTAAGTCCAATAAACCTCTTTCTTTTGTAAGTTGCCCAGTCTCGGGTATGTCTTTATCAGCATTGTGAAAACGGACTAATACAAATGCCTCTCTCACAGCTCTGTGGGCCAGAAGTCTGAAATGAATCTCACTGAGCCAAGATCAAGGGTGGACAGGGCTGTGCTCCCTCCAGAGGCTCCAGGGGAGAATCTGTTTCTGGCCCATCCCCGCTCCTGGGGGCTGCCAGCCTCCCTTGGCTTGTGGCTGCATCATGCCAATCTCTGCCCCCGGGTCATGTCGCCCCCTCCTCTTCTGACGTGTCCCTGTGCTTCCCTCTTGCAAGGATGCCTTGATTACATTTAGGACTCACCCGAGTAATCCAGGACAGGCTTCTCATCTCAAGAGCCTTACTGCAAGCACATCTGCAAAGCCCTTTCTTCCCATAGAAGGTACCCGTCTCAGGTTGCAGGGATCAGGATCCAGCATCTTTGGGGGCACCATGCAGCCAGCTACAGGATGTGAATGGCCCTCACGTACAAGGCTGGCCACGCAGTGCACAGCACACCCGGGAGGCGCCCGTCTGGGTCACGCGGAGGAGCAGCACTGTAGGCTTCACTTAGGCCTCCCCAGGGCATATAGCCCAGAGGCACAGCCCAGGCAGGCCCTGGTCCTGCTGCCTCCCTCACTGGACCCTCCACCCTGTCGTGTGGGAGCTCTTCCCTGCATGTCTAAGTGCCAGTCTCAGCCTGGCAGTCCTCCCCCACCGCCCGCGTTAAGGGACCTGGAGCGGCTGACTCCAAGACCACGTGCACAGAGAAGCCAACCCTGTGCTGACACTGAGGGCCTGTCTTAGCTTCCCAGAGACTGACCTTGGGACTCTGTGAAGGTTGCCACACAGTGAGAAAGACCCCGAGTCACGTGTTGAGCATGTGGTCTCTGTTTCAGACACACAGTGCCATTTGCAGAAAGACAAGAGCTGCAAACTCAGAGCCTGCAGGGCCTGGCAGGCAATGCCAACAAGGACAGCAGTGGAGGAAAAAAAGATAATTGCACCCACCCTTGGCCTGGCTTTCATTTCTCTCCTTTTGATGGAAACGTGGAGACCAAGAATACATCTCCACTAAAAAGAAACAGCAGTGGGAATGCAGCCACACGTGGTGTCCAGCCCTGGCCTTGCCATGGGCACAGGGCGTCTGGGAGGCCCTGCAAGGAGGGACAGACCCTCCTCAACTCCCTTGACCTCAATTTGGTAGAAGTTGGGTCTGGTGCAGCTGAACATCCTATCAAGAAAATCCAGACATCAGACTTTTTATGTGAACTTTCCTGATGTTAAAATGTGGCTTAAAATTTCTGGAATGAGAGGATGAACTGAGAAGGCTCCAGGAATCCAGCCACGGCGCTGAGCTCAGTGAGTCGGCAACAGCTGGCTTGGCAGGGCCCAGGCCGACCCGGGTACGAGAGACAGCCCCTATCACCATGCGAAAGGACCAGGCCTCAGGGGTCTGGGGAGTCACTCAGGAAGTGCCTGGTTGGAGACACAGAGACAGGTCCTGGCACAAGGACGCTGGCCAGGTCCAGGGCTCAGCCAGCAAATCCAGACAAAGCCCTCTTTCCACAGAAGCCTCCACATCAGCTCTCTGCCTCCAGCCCTGGGCCCTGCACACCCAGTGGGAGCTGTCATGCCTGGGGTCCCCTCCCGTGCTCACTATATAGACCAAACAAAACACGGTCCCCCATTGGCTACCCATGCTTTCTGTGATGCAGAGGTAGAAGCATCTTCTGCCCTCCTCTGTGGGCTGCTCTCCTGGGGCTCGCCCCGGCCTGGCCTTGGGACAGAGGAGGGGCAGGTGCTTCCCATCCTGGGGAACTGCTACCAGGCTGCTGTGCACACACCCTGCTGGGCTGAAGGAAGAGAAGTCAGACAGCAACGTGCCAGTGACCTTGGCTGCCTCCACCCCAGACACCGCCGGTGCCAAGCCTCTGCCTGCTGCTGTCAGGCTGCAGCATCCTCCCTGACGGGCAGACGAGGCACGCCACCACGGGAGCCTCTCAGCCTCGCTGCACCAAGGAAGGCCCTCCAGGAGACAGAGGACAAGCGCCGGCACTGGGCAGCTCCTCCATGTGGCTGAGCGTGGCTGCCACCTGCAGCCCACAGCCAGCCCTTCCCCACCAGGCCAGGAAGAGCCCCTCCTGACCCACAGTCTCCACCCTGTGACTTTGCCTTGAGTTGGGTAGGAGTTTTCCAGGCCGCAGGGGATCCTGGGGGAAGAGTGGGCGGCGGGGGTGGGGGCGGACCTCAGGCATGACAGTTCCCCCTGGGTGTGCAGAGCCCAGGGCTGGAGGCAGAGAGCTGTGGGGCAGCCTCCATGGAAGCAGCAGCCTTGAATGACCCAAGGTGGGGATGGCGCCCTCCAGTCTCACAAAGAGTTGAGTGTTTCAGCAAGCTCGTACTGGTTGCAGTGTGAGGGAGGCTGGTGGGGGAGGCTGGAGCAATGGCACAGGAGAGAGAGAGGAGCTCTGTTCTGTCAGACCACAGGACTGGGGAGCAGGCGAGACTCATCCATTCAGTGGCGAGCAGATAGCCAGCCCCACTGACACAGCGGATGTGAGGCTTGGCCCAGGTGGGGGCTGGGGGGCCCAGGATGGGGCAGGAGGGCCGTGTGCTTTGTTGGGGGGTGCCAATTTGCTGAATGCCAGGTCAGAGAGCCTTTCTGCCCTGTAGCTGTCGACGTCCATCTCAGCTTCCTGTGGCTGCTGTACCAGGTTACCCACACCTTAATGGCTTAAAACAGCACACCTGCATTCCTCACAGTTCGGGAGCTCAGAACTCTGAAATAGGATTTTAGGGGCTAAGATCAAGGTGCTGGCAGGGCTGGTTCCTTCGGGAGGCCCCAGGGCAGAATCCATTCCTGGCCCCTCCCAGCTCCTGGGGGCTGTTGGCGTTCCTTGGCTTGTGGCAACATTGCTGCAGTCTCTGCCTCCCTGGTCACGTGGCTTCTCCTCTTCTATAGCCAGCTCTCCCTCTTAGAAGGACACTTGTGATAACATTTAGGGCCCGCTGGGACCATCCAGGTTACTTTCCCCATCTCAAGACCCCTGATTTAAACACATTTGCAAAGTCTCTTCTGCCATATAAGGTAATGCTCACGAGTTTTGGGGGATTAGGACATGGACGTCCGGGGGTCATGATTCAGCTGACATGTCTAAGTGTTGAACCTTGGGTCCTAAGGGAGAATGGAGAGAGGGCTTTGGCTGGATTTGCAGGGTGAGCCCTGGACCTGGCCAGCGTCTTGTGCCCAGACCTGTCTCTGTGTCTCCAACCGGGCACTTCCCAAGTGACTCCCCAGACCCCTGAGGCCAGGGCCTCTGGCGTGGTGATAGGTGCTCTCTCTCATACCCTGGTCAGCCTGGGCCCTGCCAAGCCACTGTTGCCGACTCACTGAGTTCAGCGCCTCGGCGCTGGATCCCTGGAGTCTTCTCAGCTCATCCTCTCTTTCCACCCTGGAGCTGAGCCTGCAGCCCAGGCCCCGGGAAACCCAGGGAGAAGCACTGATTGTGAAACCCGAGGCGGCTCCGGGAGGCGTGCTTCAGGGCTGAGCGCACCCTTGGCAGACGCCGCGGCGCTCCTGTCCTCGTGCAGACCGGGCCCTTGGGATGGCTGTTGGAGATGCCAGCGCGGTGATGTGGCCCACGCGGAAGGGGTGGGCGGGGGCCGGCGCTGGGAAAGCCGAGGCTGCACATTCTCCGAGGCTGGAGTTGCCTGGGGTCAGCCGGGGAGAGCAGGAGGGGCCAGCTCCCGGGCCTGGCTGGCTCTCTGGCTGGAGTCTGCTGCTCAGAGCGCTGCCCTGTGGGTGCTTCCCACCCCCTGGGCTGTGAAGGCAGAAGCGAGGCTTGCAGCCCCAGCGAGGGCTGGGCCCCCCTTATTCCACAGTGGAGACGTGCCAGGGTGTGCTCCCCCTCCACGGCGTCTGGGCCTGGCACTCCGCCTGACAGCCCCCACGTGCGCAGCAACTCCCCTGTGCCTCCGACATAAATTTAGTCCCTGAGTCTCAGGCTTGCCCTTCCCCCGCCACCTCTCCCCTCCCGACATGGTTTCTGGTTCAGGGGTGGAGCCGACCAGGTAAATGTGGCTGGCAAGGGCCTGGATCTTTGGTGGAGCACCGTGGGCAGGTGACAAGCCTGACCCGGAGGATGGTGGCCTTGGCCCTGGCTTGGCTGCAGCCCCAACTCGAGTGCAGGGGACAGTTCTGGAAGACCGGCCAGTGGTTCTGAGGAGCTGCATTAGGGCTGCTCCCACAGATGCTTCCAGCACTAGGTGGGTGAGTGGGGTGGGCAGCGGGCAGTTTGGTGCAGGGTTCAGTGTGCTCAGCCCCACCCGGCATGCTGCTGTTGGTGCAGGGGTCAGTGTGCTCAGCCCCGCCCGGCATGCTGCTGTTGGTGCAGGGGTCAGCGCTGGTGCAGGGGTCAGCGCGCTCAGCTCCGCCCAGCATGCTGCTGTTGGTGCAGGGGTCAGTGTGCTCAGCTCCACCCGACATGCTGTTGTTCTGGCTCACTAAGGGGCCCAGAGCAGCTCACCCAGCCCCTCAGGATCTCAGAACCTGGGTGCTGAGATCTCCACTGTACCTGGGTGCAGTGGCACAGGGGCTGCTGGAATTACGCAGGGCACAGGGCGCCTGCCCAGTGCTCACTGCGACACTTGCTCTCCGTCCCCTTTCCCTCCTCTGCCTCGCCATCTTCCACAGACACAGTGAATTGATACTTTCTTTCCTTCCCTTGGATCTGTGTTGGGAATGTCCTCCAAAGAGCTTTTCGGGTTTTGCACAAGGTAACAGTCCCTGGCATGCAGACAGTACACGGCTCAGGGGTGAAGCTGTGATCTGCTCACGGGGGCATCTGGCGTTTGATCAGCAACTGTGGGCTGGGCATGCCCCCTCTTTTCAGGTCCCCAGCATGGCAGAGGCAGGCTTCTGGGAGAGAGGCATGTGTCCAGGGCATCTTTTCATGTCTGTGACATCTGTGCCTTGGATGTAGGAGCCTGCTGGCTGGGGTGAAGTTTGGGCAAGGAGCAGTGGGACCTGCTTGGGACCCAGGTGAGGCTTCCTTCATGCCCTGGCTGCCCCATGGATGACGGTGAAAGAGACATGGGCACCCTGCATAATGGGGACAAAGGGACTGCATCCCATAGTGGGTCCCTAGACAGAGGCCTCTTGGGGATAGAGAGGGGTGGGGCGACAGGTGAGAGGCGTTGGGTACCAGCATCAGGGCTGCAGAGGCAGCTGTAGGGACATCTGAAGGGGACAGGAAGCTCTTCCCCAGCAGCAGCGAGGACAGGCCTGGCTCAGAAACTGCATTTGGGTCCGAGGTCCAAACTCTGCCAGTTTGTGCCAGCCGGAGGCCTCTGACCACAGGCCCCATCTCCTCTCAGAATTCTCTGCAGGTTGGCAGACACTTCAGCCAGCTCCAAGCCTGAAATATTTTCTATAAAAATTTCCAATTTTCTTTGACCCGTTTCTCTTTGAAATTAATCCTAGGCAGCGCTGTGCTCTGGGCCCTGAAGGAGCTCTGAGCGGGGAAAGGTCGCGCAGTCAGATGGGCGTGCTGGCGTCTGTCTTCTCTCTCTCCTGCTCTCTGGCTTCATTTTTCTCTCCTTCTGTCTCACCTTCTTTCGTGTGCCTGTGCACACACACGTTTGGGACAAGGGCTGGATTCTTCGGCTGGGATGTCTCTCAGAGCTCTTGACTTGGTCCCTTTGGCTGGGGCTTGCCGTGAGGTGTGGGCTGCGCCACGAGCACAGCTGGTAGAGAACCCGGCCAGGAGCGCAGCTCACGCCTCCCACGCCTCCCATCCCAAACTGTCGGCACACCCAGAGAGAGCCTGCAGGACAGGACAGGAGGTGACCTGGGCACTGGGCCTGTGTGGAGAGGTGGCTGGTGCGCTGGTCTGGTTGGGAAAAGGCCGGGCACCTGAATGCCATGCGGGTTCATTAATGCTCAATAATAATGCTGCTCCCCAAATCATGGGGGAATAATGCTGCTCCCCAAATCATGGGGGAATAATGCTGCTCCCCAAATCATGGGGGAATAATACTGCTCCCCAAATCATGGGGGAATAATGCTGCTCCCCAAATCATGGGGGAATAATGCTGCTCCCCAAATCATGGGGGAATAATGCTGCTCCCCAAATCATGGGGGAATAATGCTGCTCCCCAAATCATGGGGGAATAATGCTGCTCCCCAAATCATGGGGGAATAATGCTGCTCCCCAAATCATGGGGGAATAATGCTGCTCCCCAAATCATGGGGGAATAATGCTGCTCCCCAAATCATGGGGGAATAATGCTGCTCCCCAAATCATGGGGGAATAATACTGCTCCCCAAATCATGGGGGAATAATACTGCTCCCCAAATCATGGGGGAATAATAGCATTAGCAGCTCTACTGCTTAGGGGGAGACTGAGGCTCAGAGAGGGCACCTTGCCTGCTGCCACAAGTGTATTTTCCTGCATTCACTCGTCACGTTCTTGCTATGTGTCCACCATGTGTCTGACAGGACTGGGTGCTGGGGCTGTAGCAGCGGAGGAACCCGATCGAGTCCCTGTTCTCTGGGCTCACAGCCCCGCAGGGGAGACCTGGTGAGCAGATGCTCGCAGACAGTGGAGAATCCTGTGAACAAAGTAAAACGGGGTGAAAGGGCAGCGTGAGAAGGCAGGTAAGGGAGGGAGGCGCCCCAGGTTGGTGATGATGGGAAAGCCCAGCCCTGGGAAGGGTGTTCCAGGCAGAGGGAACAGCACATGCAGGAGCCCTGAGGCTGGAGTTACCGCAGCGTGACCAAGGGGCAGAAGGAAGAGCTAGTACCTGGAACTGAGGACGTAATGGGGGAGTGGGAGGCGTGCAGGGCCGGGAGGGATGGGTGGCACTCATCGCTTTGAAGGGACGGTCACGGTACGGGGTGAGAATTCATTCCCTGTGCGGTGGAGGCCTTTGGAGGGTTTTCGGTGGACGGTGTGGAAGCAGGGAGGAGTCCCGGTGACAGATGGCGGTGGAGGCAGTGGGTTCAGGATGAGTTTGAGGTGGAGCTTCCGGGACGTGGTGTGAAGGAAGGAATCAAGGACACATCCTGCCCCTGAGAGGTCACGTGGCTGGGAGGCTGGCTGGTGGCCTGAGGCTGGCCGGGCAGGTGTGCTGGTGGGGGTGGCCGGGCAGGTGTGCTGGTGGGGGTGGCAGGTTAGGTGGTCTGGGCCACGTGCAGGAGTCAGAATTGGCACCCATCACTCTGACTCCACAGCTGCCCGCTTCCACTGCTCTGCACTGCCCTGGCCCAGAGGGAGGTGTTTTCCCAGGAAAGAAGGTGCCAAGGCCAAGACCCATGTGTTCCCAGACTCACGGGGCGGGGGCAGGAGCCCCCAATGCAGCCCCACAGGCAGCCAGGCCCTGGGATGCACTGCCACCTCCTCTTGCTCCGGGAGGCAGAGGCTGTGCTCTGTGGGGCGGGCTGTCAGGGACAGTGTGAGGTTTGGGGTCCCATGGACGTGTGTGCATCCTTGTTTGTCTAGCAGGACCGGTCCAGCTTCCCCTTGCCTGCCACTGTGGGGAGGGACCCCAGACTGGCCGGGATGAATGGATGCAGGAACTGTGGCCTGCACGTACTTAGGAGTGTGCAGGGCAGGGTGTGTGGCTGCCTCTAGGCCTTTGCAGGCAGAGCCTTCCTGTCCACCCCAAGGGGCCGCAGGCAGCGCTACCAGCTGTTCCCCACACAAAAGCTGCCCGAGACAGCTGGAATGCTCCCTGCTCCTGGTGCAAACTCTCTTGAAACTCAGGGGTGGGGACATCCTGGGAGCTGACCTCAGGTTCTGTTCCTGCAAATAGGTATCTGTTGCTGACCCGGCAGATGGCGGCCTGAGCCAGCCCAGACGCGCTCGAGCCCTGGCCCTGAGCAGCCATCAGGGGGCACCTACTGAGTGACTAAATGAATTAGGAAATCCCAGCGCTTAACAGACTCACCACTCGGGGCAGAGCCAGACTGGCTCCCACAGCAGCTCCTGGTTTCTCCAAATCCTCACCAGCACGGGGGCTTTAGTGTTTAATATTTTGCTGCTCCGGCAGCAAAGCGGCGTTGCTTTTTGCGCTAATTTGCGCTTCTTTGGTTACTGGCGAGGATGAGTGATCTTCCCTGGGTTTGATTACTCTGCATGTCTCCTATTCCTAAGTCCTTTGCCTGTTTATCTCCTGGGGTCTTATATATTGGGATAAGCCCTTTATCTCTTTTTAGATATTGACTTTCTGTCATGTTCGATACAAGCTTTTCCCCAGGCCGTAGTTCCTCTTTCCTTTCCAGTTTTGTTAGCGTTAGTTGCACAAAAGTCTGTTTTTCTGTAGCTGAGTCTGAATGATCCTTCTCCTGCCCCGTTGGAGCCAAGTTTGCGTTCAAGGACATGCCCATTCACCGAGGGCCTGCGCGAAGGTGGGCACTCTTCATGGTGTCATTTAATAGGCACGGTAGTCCTGGAAGCAGAGAGAAAACTAAGGTGCAGGGCTACCACTGTCCAAGCAGTAGCGGGAACAGCAGGGAGCAAGAAGAACGTGACGCGTTCCTGGAGCACTTACCGTTGACCGCGTCTGCCAGCACGCTGCAGGTACATCATCTCCTAGGATTCTTGTAATGAGCCCCACGGTGGGTTGGTGCTTTTGCTGTGCCCACGTTACAGATGAGGAAACTGAGGTGCCGACGGTCGCACAGATAGTAAGCTGTAGAAACAGTGGGAGCCAGGCCTTTTGACTCCTGCATCAGGAGGGAGGAGCAGGCTTAGAACCCAGGGCTGCTGACACCCAGTGCAGTGCCCTCCTGTCCCCGCTCAGAGCCTGGGCTGGCAAAACCCGGTAGCCTGTGACCCCATCTGTTTGTTGGACAGAGGGCCTTCCAAGCACCAAGGCCTGGAACTCCACTTAACGGCTGCAGAAACTGGGGCCCAGCGAGGGTGAGTGAGGATGTGTCTCCAGGTCACTTAGCACGTTAGCTTCGGGGAGAATCTTTTGCTTACAGTGGAATTTGCAGCATTTTGAGGAATGCCTGGCACACGGTTGGTGCGTAAATATCCGTGAAAAGAAAGAATAAGCATAGTGCCTAGGAAGCCCGGTCGCCCAGGAGCTCACTCCGGGAGCAACAGTTGCTCCCTGCAGGCATTGGAGGGCTTGGCACTGACGCCTCCTGTTGTTGCCACAGTGTCAGGGCTGCAGACTCAGGTTGGCAGCTGTGGGTGGCTACTGGTCCCATGGGCCCATGGGACATTGGGTGGCCCTGGGCCTTTGCTAGTCCCACTTCCTCACACTTGAGCAGGACTGACTTCGCCGGCTTGTGACCCATCCGGCAGGGCCCTATGCCCACTTTAACACTCTGTCATTCCTGCCTTAGAAGTCGTAATCACTTTTTGAACAAGGGACTGTGCGTTTCCATTTTGCACTGTGCCCTGCAAATCAAGTGGCCAGTGCTGTTCATCACTCTTTCTTCTGTGACTCTGCTTCCTCCCTGTGGTCTCATGGAGCTGTGGTCCAGGCCCCGAGGTTGAGGACACAGGGCACTGCACAGTGGCCAAAATTGGGGGTGCCCAGTAGACACGGGCTCCCTTCCTTCCAGGCCCAAGCACCAGCACTTTCTGACAGTTAACTGTCTGTCCTTTATTTGGGAATGTCTGATGCCAGACTGCAGATGGCGAGGAAGATGGCCCTGTCCATGCTGGAACGACAGACCCGGTATCAGGAATGTGCCCCTGTGACTGCCACAGGCCTGTTTGGTGCCTGAGGGCAGCAATGCGTGAATCCCAGCCTCTGCCCTGGGGATGCCGTCGGGCTGGAGCACTGCTCCCAGCGTGCCTTGGCCACTGTTCCCTGCGCGGTTGTCTCTGGACATAAAGCACCTGTGGAATCCCAGGGCTGCTCCCCTTCCTCTCTCCCTTGATTCATCCAACAGATCTTTACCCGGCACGCACAGCAGGACCGGGCACTGGGCCAGGCTCTGGGACCAGACAGGCACAGCCCTGACCTCATACAGCCCACAGTGCACTAGTCAGTCCACAAATACCTGCACAATGAAAGACTTGGGAAGTGCCACAGAGTGAGCCCGCAGTCACTGGACGTTGGGCTGAGGCCTGGAGTGTGGGTTGCAGTTCCCCAGGAGGAAAAGGGGCCAGGGCAGCAGATGCGAAGTACCTGAGGGGTGAGGACGGGGCTTGTTTGGGGGTGTGGCAGGAGGGGCAGGGTGAGGGCCTGAGGGGACTGGAGGTCAGATCACGATGGCTTCTGTGGGCTCCGTCGTGGAGGAGGGGCTGTGCCATGCAGCAGGTGGCATGGTCTGGTTTCCGAGGAGGGTGAGCACGGAAGAGGCAGGGAGCCGGCAGGAGGCTGCTGTCCTGTGTGCAGGGAGAGACTGCGGCCTGGATCAGGTGGCCATGGGAATGAGAGCAGCGGCCGGATCAGCCCCTCAGCGCCATCGTGCAGGAAGGGTGTTGGGAGTCCTGGTAGGCAGTCCACAGGTTGGTCAGAGGGGGATACTCCTTGCCTGGCAGAACCGTATTCCCATTCCAAATCACCGTGAGGCTGGGAGGACCCAGATCACAGCCCCACCCGGCTGCCTGTGACAGCTCCACCCCTGTCTGGACCTCAGACCTGTCGAGGTGGCGCTCGCTAGAATCATTTCCTCTGTGGGATCCGGGCCTGGGAAGGTCCCTGTGTCTGGCCCTTTTCTCAAGGACCTTTCCCAGATCATTCTGGACACATATTTGAGTCCAGCTGCAGATTCCTAGCTGCGAGCAATGCTGCCCAGGCTTGAGCCTTTTTTGGACGACTGCAGGGACTCCGTGGGGTGTGCCATGGGGGCTGCCTTCAGCCTCCTCATGCTCTGCCTTTGACAATTCACGTGGCAGGAGCTGGGGCCGAGGCTGGGGTGGCCAGGCTTGGAGGGATGGAGTCAGGAGAACAAAGGGCTGAGATGGCTCTGCAAGTCTGGCCAGGCGACGTCCAGCAGGGCAAAAAGGACTAGGTGCTGCCCAAACCACAGCAGGAGCACCTGGTGGGCTGCGGGGAGGAGCTCAGGGGTCAAGTTGACGAGGAGTTCAGTACACATTGTCTGGGTTGGCGGGGGGCGGTCTGGGGGGGTCAGGCTGGGAATAAGAAGCATGATGGCCTGCTCAGGTCTGCCCACCCAAATCAGAGCCCACAGCCATGGGCAGTCCCAGCCCCAGCGTGTGCAGAGGGCTCTGGAGGGCAGAGCTGGATAACACTGGCCCCAGGAAGGCCAGAGCCCCCAGGATGAGAGCATCTGTCCTCTCAACCTTGCCTGGAGCCTGGGGGTCAGGCGTTCGCTGAGGACAGTGGTCTCGTATGGGCACACTGATGGGGGCCTGGCAGGTGACGCCAGCAGAGATCACTGGGCCCAGGTAGACACGGGGTCGGCCAGCAGCAGGAGGGCCTCCAATTTTATAAGAGAAGCTGGAAATTGATTTTACTTACAATCTCTTCATTTTAAACTGTTGGCAGCTAATTCAAAATTTGTGAAAGCCGTGTAAGGGTTGAGCAGCCCGGGGCAGTGGCCGGGATGGGGGTCAGGAGGCGGCCTCAGTGCTGGGGACCTTCACTGGAGCCCACGGCGCTCAGGACCGAGCTTCTTGGATGTGGCCAGGGCTGCCTCGGAGTTGAAATGTACTTCAGAGGAATTTTTATTTTCCTTTCGGGAATGTCAAGAGAGGCCTTTCCAGCGGTTCCGTTTCTGTGAGGCGAAACCTGCGGTCGTCCTGTTGTTCTTGGAGGCAGCGATGAAGCCCATCTGTAGCGCATCAGCGGGAGCCAGCAGCGGGGAGGGCGCAGGGCCCCAGCCCAGGCAGACAGAGCTGTTGGATGCGGCACTGAGGGAGCAGGCGTGGCGCCGGGTTCGGAGCAGCCCCTGGACTCCCCGGGCTGGGCGGACAGACCCCCGGCTGGTGCATCTGGTGCCCAGTTCCGGGTCTGAGGTTCTGTTCCCCGGGCTCCCGGCACCTATACCCGTGCCTGGATGTCCTCCAGGCCCCCGCAGCCTGGAGAGCAAACGGCCGATGATGGTCTCAAGAGGGTTCTGCCCTTGTGTCCAGAACGTCAGGTGCCTGTGCTCCTTTGTTCTAGGCAATATCCCGGGAGCTCCCAGCATTCTTGGCCTTCATCACCACGAGGACAAAGCTGGGCTTGGATTTGTCCCGAGGCCTTGAACTGGGAAGGAGTGTGGGGACTCACAGGCCTGTAGGAACCACCTCGGCCACCTTTGAAACTCACAATGTGGGCCCTTGGTGACAGAGACCCCGGGGACCAGGCCTGGGCCTCCCTTTCTTGGTGTCCTTGGTGCTCCCCATGGGCTGTGGTGACCCCAGTGATGGGCCAGGCAGCCGGGGCCGCCAGTGTGGGCCTGGCCTGCGGAGTCCTTGCTCTGGCCTGACCTCAGTCTTCTCGTCTGTATGTACATCGGGGTGCTGGACTAAAGCCAGGCCTCAGCCCTGCAGCTCTTGGGCGGCCTCGCCGCCCCACCCCGCAATGTTTTATTTGACTCGTACAACGGCTTCAGAAATGTTGAGTGTACACTTAAAAATCAGGAGGTTTCACATGAAAATCTCAATTTTCAGTTCCTTCAGAAGGCCTGGCCACCCTGGGCGTGTTCCTGCCAGCAGCACTGGGTGGGAGGCTCTGTGCCTCCTCTGGATGGGCGAACACAACCCCTCCCTCCCTGCCGATTCGTGCCTGGCCCCCCCACTCATGCTGGCCCCGCCTGCCTGGTTTGCAGTGGAGTGTGAGACTCCTGGACTCTGGTTGGTAGTTACACGTACATAAACTCTCTCCGTCTCTCTCTCCTCTCTCTCTCTCACACACACGCAGGCATGCACACACCCATGGTCAGAGCAGACACATCCACATCTTCATCCATGTAGGAAATGCTGGAGTGAACCGAGCCGCACCCAGGAGCTTCCCTGAGCTGGGCACCAGGAGCCCAGGGTCTGTCCTGTCTCTGGATGAGTCCTGCTGCCTTGGCCTCAGCTGAGGCCTCAGGCCCAAAGCTCCATGGCAGGCCTGACACTATTTTCCTTATAATAAGCCCCCGTCCTCTTTCCTGTTGGGCACCCGTGTCCCCAGGGGCGGGTCACAAGATGACAACTTGGGACCTGGCGGCTTACTGTTCTGTGGGCTGAGCTGGCTGCTGGGCCCTGTGCGAAAGGCACCTGTGCTCCCACCTGAAGGAGCCTGGGGCCTCTGCTCTGAGGGCAGAACAAGACCCTCCCGGTCTCCCTGTGGGAAGAAGGACCGTGTCAGAGACGCTGTCCACGGTGGACCAAGGCCAAGCTGCGGGAGAGGCTGGGGACAGAGAAGGAGACTGGTGGGTACCTGCCCATGCTCATGTGTTGGGGGTGTAGGCAGACCCCAGGGCCTACCAGAGCAGCCAGTGGGGAGCAGCCAGTTCCTAGGCCCAGCAGCATCTGTGCAAAGGGGTCCAGTAGGGTCACAGTGCCCGAATTGTGTCACACACTCCAGGGCTGCCCAGCCCTGCCTGCTGCTGCAGAGCCCCTGATCCCCGAGGATGAAGACACCAGGAAGGAGCAAGAAGTGGCCCCTGTGCCATCAGTGTCTGTGCCGTGCCACCCCTGCTTGGGGGCACATTGGTTTTCCACATGGTGTCCTTTGAATGGAGGTGAGGCGGGCCCCAGCCAGGCCATAATCTTGGGAGACGGCTCTACCTCAGGGCTTTGCTGACCCCATTCTGAGTCAGGCCCCAGCCAGGTCTTGGGAGATGGGACAGAAAGTGAGGGGACCCCAAGATTGAATTGTAGGAAGGATCTGAACTCACTGGTGGAGGCAGAGAGGGAAGATGGGGATGAGGCTGATGGAAATGCAGTCTGCTCACAGGCACAAAGGCCACATCGGCAGCCCTAGCCCTGAGCCCACCCCACAGTTCCTGACCCCCAATCCTCACCCTCTAGAGATGACCTGTGGTCAAGCATGACCGATTCTGCCCCAAAAATGTGTATAAATGGCAACAGTGACAAATGACGCTGCTATGGTCTTGCCTCTGACTTTGTTACCCGGTTCACTTGCCATGGATGTGAAGGATTCACTTTCCAGTATCAGAGTCTTTCTGTCTACCCATTCATCCATCTATCCAATCATTCATCCATTTATCCATCTGTCATCCGTCCATCCATTCATCTATCCAATCATTTATCCATTCATTCATCCATCGTGTATTCATTCGTCTACCCACTCATTCATCCATCCATCTATCCATCCATCATTGATCTCCATTCATCTACTTACTCATCCATCTACCCATCCCCTATCTACCCATCCATCCATCCAATTATTTATCCATTCATTCATCCATCATCCATCCATCCATCCATCATTCATCATCCATTCATCTACACACTCATTCATCCACCCAATCCATCCATCCATTCATCCAGTCAGTGTCTGCAAGCACCCCAGGCCAGCGCCCTGCTGGGCACTGAGTATGAACAATCTGGTCTCTGTCCCTGAAGAGTCTGGCTGGGGGAAAAGGCAGACTCCCAGATGAACCATGACAAATGCTGCTAATAGGCTGCTTGGCAGCCCTTCCTCATTGTGCCCTGTTGTGTTTCTTTCAGCCAAAATATATTTCTGTGCATCTTTGACGCCATCAACAGTTGATAGGAGAGTCAGGCAGAGGGGGCTATGGGCTTCAGGGACAGTGAGAGGGAGTGTGTGTGTGACCTGGTAGCTTAGAGAATATTCTTGTGGGCTTAATCTGCACGCCCCCCCGACTTCACCCATCTGGGCCTCTTCTGACCTCCTACAAGCATTTGAGTTGCTTCCTCTGACCTTTTAAAAATCAATGGACTATAATACATATGAGTATGAAAGTGTGTAATCCAGTGGTTTTTGGCAGTGTTGTGCAGCCATCATCACCATCTAGTTCCAAAATGTTTTCATCACCCCAGTGGGAACCCTGCACCCAGAGCAGTCACTCCCCATTCCCCTTCCCAGCTCATAGTGACCACTAATCTACTCCCTGTGTCTTTGGATTTGCCTATTCTGTATACTTCATAGAAACCCAATTGATAATATGTGGCCTTTGGGGTCTGGCTGGAGTCCTTCTAAGGATTGATCTAAAAGCTCCAGGGCCCCTTGTCATGGGAGCATCATATGCCCAGCGACATGAATATAAAATAATAATACTGCATAATTCCAGAATAGGCAGCAGCGTGTGTGTATGAAGCTCGGGACTGTGAGACAGGAGGGAGAAGTGGGGACTGTGGTTAAAACAGTCCAGAGTGCCTCTTCCTAAGGGAGGCCCCTCCTAGTTCCTGCAGTGAGATCCGTGTTGACACTGAAGTGGCCTTGTGCCCTGCTGCCCCGCCCTGGGATGGCATATATTAGAGGGGGCTCCGATCACCTCTGAACTGGGAAATGTGGAGTAGTGCAGGACACAGCAGCAGGAACCACAGCTCCCAGCCCCACCCCAGAGAGAAAGGCCCATGAGCAGCTGGTGCAGGGACTGGACTGGAGCCGATGATCAGATTTGGAGTTGGTGTGGACATGGCGTGTCACCTCTCAGGAGAGGGGGCAGGAAGTGAGGAGCCTGAGGCCAAAGGGTGAGAAGGGTCTGAACTCACTGCTGGAGGGGCATGTGTGTCCCCAGGGTTGCAGCCTGGCTGGGGCAGCCAGCACAGTGGTGACAGGACAAATTAGAGAAAAAGGGATGCCTTTTTTTTTTTTTGAGATGGAGTCTCACTTTGTTACCCAGGCTGGAGTGCAGTGGCTCGATCTCGGCTCACTGCAGCCTCTGCCTCTCGGGTTCCAGTGATTCTCCTGCCTCAGCCTCCCTAGCAGCTGGGATTACAGGCATGTGCCACCACACCCCCCGAATTTTTTTGTATTTTTTGTAGAGATGGGGTGTCACCCTGTTGGTCAGGCTGGTCTCGAACTCCTGGCCTCAAGGGATCCGCCCACCTTGGCCTCCCAAAGTGCTGGGATTATAGGCCTGAGCCACTGCGCCCGGCCGGGATGTCTTTTTTTATAAGACAAATTATAAAGGAGAAAAAAGGACAGAAAAACCAAGACAAATTGAGATCATAGAGTAAGATGGGAGAAACAAGCCCAGATTTATCAATAATCCAGGTAAATGTAAATGGATTAAACTCACAAATTCAAAGACAGAGGCTGTCATATCTGACAAACGAGACAAACCCCAAATTCAAAATCTGGCTGGACGCTATCACCAGAGTAAAGTGTAAAGGCAAGAAAAAGTGGAAAGTAAAGTATGGAAACAGACCTATCAGGCCGCCAAAGGCAAGCCGACATTGCTGTATCAATCTCAGACTCAACAGACCTCAAGACAGGAGACGCTGCTGGGGAAAGACAGGTCACCGTTTAATGAGAAAAGGTTCATTTCCCCAAGATGATAAAGCAGTTCTAAAGGTAGAGTCACTTAATAAAATAACCTCAACATATTTGACGTGAACTTTGTTAGAAATAGAGAAATTGACAAATTTATCATCATTTTTGAGAGAATCCAACCATTTTTTTCCAATTGGTGTTGGATCAAGTAGACAAAAAACCCAGCACAGATAAGGAAGTTCTAAATAACACAAATAATAAGCTTGACATTGATGAATTTTGCATCTGACAAGTAGAGGTTATTTCTTTTTCTCAAGCACATAGGAAACACTTGTAACAACTGGTCAATTAAGTGCAAATCTCACAGAAACTAAAAGAATAGTGTCAGCAGGTCTTGTTCCCTGACCATCATGCCTGTGAGAGAGAAATTAATAGCCCCCAAAGCAAAAATCCCCATTATTTGGAAATTTAAAAAAAATACTTTTAAATAATTCATGGGTCAAAGAAGAAATAATAGTGGAACTTCAAAAATACAACTCAATGATAATAAAAGCACTAAATATCAAAACGTGGATGGAAATTTACATTAGAAAAGAAAAAGGTCTAAAAATTAAAGAGATAAATTTCCAGTGTGAGAAGTTAGAAAAAGGCAACATTGATCCAAAGAAAATAGAAGGAAAAAGATAATACAAAATAAGATCAGAAATCAGTGAGACAAGGCCAGGTGCAGCAAAGTGCCTATAATCCCAGCATTTTGGGAGTCTGAGGCGGATGGATCACCTGAGCTCAGGGGTTCGAGACCAGCCCGGGCAAAATGGTGAAACCCCATCTCTACCAAAAAAATCTAAAAATTAGCTACACGTGGTGGCATGCACCTGTGGAACCAGCTACTTGGGAGGCTGAGGCAGGAGAATTGCTTGAGCCTGGGAGGTAGAGGTTGCAGTGAGCTGAGAGTGCACCACTGCACTCCAGCCTGGGTGACAAAGTCAGACCCTATCTCAAAAAAAAAAAAAAAAGAAAAGAAAAAGAAAAAAAAATCAGTGAGACACAAAACCTCTGAGTTCTGATCATTGTTGCTGTTAGGAAGATTCGGGGTCAGTGTTGCCAGATCCTCAGTTTTTCAAGATAAGTCAAAAATAGGTAATTCTGCAGACAATCTCTGCATTAAAAAAAAAGTGTCAGTAATCTGAATTTGGCCTGTGCACGTCTTTCCTCCCAGAGCTGCTTCTGCACACAGCACCTCCTCTCTGGGCCATCTTCTCTGTGGCCAGCTTCTCCTCGATGGCCATTTGTGGACAAGTCTTTGTGTGTACATATATGTTCATTACTCTTAGGTATATGCCTAGGAGAATTGCTGGCTCACATGATAACACAGTGTTTCACTTTTTGAGGAAACACCAAGACTGTTTTCCAAAATGTCCTGCACGTAGTGTCCCTCCTGGAGGGCCGGGGCTAGGTCACCATACACAGAACACGCAGAGACACCCCAGAAGGCCAATTCTTGTGTCTAGTTAGCAGGGACCTGTCTCTGTGGGGTGGGGGGCTGCTGGTTTCTGACTCTCATCTGCAGACCCCTCAGGCACTGGCCTCGTTGTTTAATTCATAAATTGGGGAGGTGATGGAGGGGGTCTGAGGCCTGCTTTTTTGGTGGCAGAGTAATTTCTACATTGGGTCCTTGCTGAAGTAGGTCACCATCAGGCAGAAATACGATTCCTGAGACTTTTTGGAGATAACAAGTTCAAACCCTGCCTGGCTGGGTTTCTAGCAGCTCTGCTTCCAGTACCGTGTGGATGTCATTTTCACTTACGCTGTCTCACAAGGGCATGGGTGGAAAGAACTCTGTTTCTAGGTAAGGGATGGAAGGCTCAGAGATGGCACAATTAGAAAGTGGAGGATCTGGGATTTGAACCCAGGCCCGCCTGATGCAGAATTGGGCTCTTTCTGCTACACTAGCTTCAGGTGCCGGCTGAGCCCTGGGAGGGAGGAGTGAGCAAATGCATGAGGCTTTGCCTTTGCCGAGGCAGGACAAGCTGAAGAGGTCTTTCTCCTTCCCTAGAGTGAGCAGGATCTCTGGACTTCTCTCCTGTCTAGTGTTTCAGCTGGGGCTCCACTGGCGGAAGCAATGTGCGGGCAGGATGCGTGATGCCTGTGGGTGGACAGTGCCACTGTCAGAAGACAAGCCGAGGCTGCTATGGGAGGGCGTTAGAGGGTGACATTGGCCTCCCATCAGCCAGGTTTCGAAAGTTAGGAGCAGATGTACAGGGTTTGTCACCCAACTACTTGCTCCCCTTCTTGGTTACCGCATGACCAACCCAGTGGCCTCCCAGGGCCTTGCGCTACACAACACTGGACAGCCAGAAAGCAGGTAATGCTGCGTCACCCACAGAGGGTTGCCTGGGGCCTGGGCTGGGCTGGAAATGGCTCTGAGAACAGAGGTAAGGAGTAGATCATTGTTTAATCTTTCCTTTATGGTGGGTTTATTGAGCTGTAATTCACATATGCTGTAGTTCAGCGTTTCGGGCGCATAATTCCATAATTTTTACTATATTCACTCAGCTGTGCAACCATCACCACAGTCAACTTTAGATCATTTTCATTGCTCCCAAAAGAAACCCTGTACCCACGAGCCATCATTCCCCATTTTCCCTCAAGAAGTGTTACTTCTTCCTTTGCAATGTGGATGCCTTTTATTTATTTATTTTTTTCTTGCTGAATTGCTCTGACTAGAATGTCCGGTACTATGTTGAATACAGGTGGTGAGAGCAGGCTTCCAGTCTTACAGTTGACCATGATGAGTACTTTTGGCTTTTCGTAAATACCCTTTATCATGCTGAGGAATTTCCCTTCTAGTCCTTGTTTCTTGAGTATTTTTTGATCACAAAGGGTGTTGGGTTCTGTCTAATGCTTTCTCTGCATCAACCAAGATGACTGTGTGGTTTATTTTCCTCCATTTTATGAATGTAGTATATTATATGGATTGATTTTTGTGTGTTGAACCACTCTTGCATTCCACGGATAAATCCCACTTGGTGATTGTATATAAGCCTTTTAATATGCTGCTGAATTTGGTTTGCTAGAATATCATTGAGGATTTTTGCACCTATATTTATAAGAGACATTAGTCTGTAGTTTTCTTATGATGTTTTTGTCTGGTTTCGGTATCAGGGTAATGCTGGCCTCATAGAAAGATGGATATTAATTCTTTAAGTGATAGGTAGAATTCCCAGTAAAGCCATCTGGTCCTAGGTTTTTCTTTATTGGGAGTTTTTGATGACTGATTCAAGCTCTTTACTTGTTATAGATCTGTACAAATTTTCCATTTCTCCTTGAGTCAATTTTGGTAGTTTCTGTGTTGCTAGGAATTTGTCCATTTCTTCTAGGTTATTTAATTTGTTCGTATACAATTGTACATAATATTCTCTTATAATCATTTTTATTTCTATAAGGTCGGTAGTAATGTCCCCACTTTTGTTTGTGATTTTAGTAATTGGAGCCTTCTCTCTTTTTATCTTGGTCAGTTTGGCTAAATGTTTGTCAGTTTTGTTGATCTTTCAAAGAACCAGCTTTTGGTTTCATTGAGTCTTCTTATTGTTTTTCAATTCTCTATTTTGTCTACCTTCACTATAATCTTGATTATTTCCTTTTTTCTGCTAGCTTTGAGTTTCTGTTGCTTTTCTTCTGGTTCCTTCATGTGTAAAGTTAGGTTATTGATTTGAGATCTTTATTATTTTTAATGTAGGAATTTGAAGCTATAAATATTCTTCTGGGCACTGCTTTTGTATGTCCTTTAAGTTTTGGGTATGTTGTGTTTTTATTTTCATTTGTCTCAAGATTTATTATTTATTATATATTCTAATTTATCTTGTAACATATTACCTGACCTAATGGTTCTTTAAGAGAATATTGTTAAATTTCTACATATTTGTGAATTTTTAAAGGGTTTCTTCTGTCATTGATTTCTAGTTTTATTCCACTGTGGTTGGAGAAGATGCTTTGTATGGTTTCAGTCTCTTTAAGGTTATTGAGACTTGTTTTGTGACCTAACATATGACCTATCCTGGAGAATGATCATCATACATGAGAAGAATACACATTCTGCCGCTGTTGAGTGGGGTGCTCTATGTATGTCTGTCAGGTCTAGTTGATTTACAGTGTTGTTCATGTCCTCTATTTTCTTACTGATCATGTGCCGGTTGTTTTATCCATTTTTGAAAGTGGAATATTGAAGTCTTCAGCTATTATTGTAAAATGGTCTATTTCCATCTTCAATTCTGTCAGTTTTTGCTTCATAGATTTTGGGATTCTGTTGTTAGGTGTGTTTATGTTTATAATTGTTATATCTTCTTGGTGGATTGACTCTTTCATCAATATATAATGCTGTTCTTTGTTGTAAAATTTTTGGACTTGAAGTCTATCTTGTCTGATATTAGTATGGCCATCCCAGGTCTCTTCTGGTTTCTATTTGCATAGCATTTCTTTATCCATCTTTTCATTTTCAAACTATTTGTGTATTTTGAATCTAAATTTGGTCCCCTGTGGATAAGCATATAGTTGGATTATATCTTGGGATTTTTTAATCCATTCTCCCATTCTCTGAATTTTAATTGCAGCATTTAGTCCATCTGTATTTAAATAATTACTGATAAGGAGGGACTGAATTCTGCTATCTGCTATTTGTTTTGTATATGTCATATTCTTTATTCCTCAATTCCTCAAATATTTCCTTCTTTTGTGTTTAACACATTGTTTTTTAGTGTACTGTTTTGATTCATGTTTTCATTTATTTTGCTGTATATTTAAAAGCTATGGTCTTATTGGTTATCCTGGGAATTACAGCTATTATCTTAAACACATAACAATTTTGTTTGAATTGATATCAACTTAGTGTCAATAGTATACAAAATGCTTTGCTCCTATACAGCTCTGTCTTCCCCACCCTTTATTATAATATTGTTACATTTCATACATGTGTGTCTATTAATGTAGATTTATAATTATTGCTTTATGCATCTATAGACTAAATCATATAGGAAAAAAGAGAAGAGTTACAAACGAAGATTTTGGGGTTCCCTTTATTAGTATTCTTCATTTCATCATATGGCTTTGAGTTACTGTCTTCTGTCCTTTTATTTCAACCTGAAGGACTTTCTTTAACACTTATTGGAGGGCAGGTCAACTAGAAAACAAACTCTCTCAGTTTTTGTTTCTCTGAAAGTGTCTTAATTTTTCTTGTATTTTTGAAGGATAGTTTTGTTGGAATTTTTAGCCGCAGGACAGTATTTTTTTCAGCACCTTAAATATGTCATCCCGTTGGTTTCTGGCCTTTATTGTTTCTGATGACAAATCAGTTGTTAAGCTCATTGAGAGCCCTTGTATATGTGGCAAGCTGCTCCTCTCTCGTGGATTTCAAGACTCTCTTTTTGTCTTTGTCTTTTGACAATTTGATTACAATGTATCTTGATGTAACTCTTTGAGTTTTCAAACTTGGAGTCATTGAGCTCCTTGGATGTGTAGAATCATGTTCTTTTTATCAAATTTGGGGAATTTGGAGCCATTGTTTTTTCAAACATTCTTTATGCCCCTTTGTTTCTCTATTCTCTTTCTTGAACTCTCATTTTTTGTATTTTGGTGTACTTGATCTCTTAGGTTCTGTTCCTTTTTCCTCATTCTTTTTCCTTCTACTTCTCAGATTGGATGATTGCTGATAATGTAAGTTTGCTGATTCTTTGTTTGCCTGCTCAAATCTGCTATTGAACTGATCTATTGAAATTTTTATTTCAGTTATTATGCTTTTCAGCTCCAAAATTGTTTGTGGTTCCTTTTTATAATTTCTATTTCTTTATTGATATTCTCTATTTTGTGATACATTATGTTCTTGCTTTACTTACGTTATTTGCCCATGGTTTCTTTTAGTTCTTTGAACACATTTAAGACAATTTATTTAAAATCTTTGTCTGGCACATGAGGTGTCTAGGCTTCCTCAGGGAAGGTCTTTTTTATTTCCTGTGAGTGGACCATCCTTTCTTGTTATTTTGCATACTTTGTATTTTTTGTTGGAAACTGGACATTTTGAATGTGGAGACTCTGGAAATCAGATGCCCCCCACTTCCCAGGGCTTGTTGTTTTTTATGTGTTGTTGCTTGTTTGTTTAGTGATTTTTCTAAACTATTTTTGTAAAGTCTGCATTGTTCATTATATATGGCCACCAAAGTCTCTGTTTTGTTAGCTTAGTGGTCAGCTAGTGATTTGACAGAGACTTTCTTAAAAGCCAGGGTAGGAAGAAATACTCTCCTCGTCTTTGTAGATTGGTTCTGTGTTTGAGCACACCTTTGATGCTTAGCCAGACTGTTTACAACTCTGTCTTAGCCTTCACTTCCTACTTGTACAGACCCTAAATGTCAGCCAGAGGTGAAAACTTTTGAGTCTTCTTAGACCTTTTCTGAGCATGCATCTCACCCTAGACATGTCAGTGGTAGAATCCTAGATTCTCTGGTATGCACAAGAGCTTTCCAAAAACCTTATTTCCTCAAATATCTCCTTCCCTACCCTCTTCCTCCCCAAGCCTTTAGATATGTTTATTGTGCGTCTTGCCCCAACTATTGTCCTGTGCCCCAGGTGTCTGCAGCTAATACATTTACCTTTAAATACTTTTGACAAACACTGTCTGGGAAACCACTTCAGTCCTGGGGAAGCTCCGAGACAGTTGAAACAAAGGCAAGCCAGCAGATGGGTTAAAACCCACAACCACAATTCTCTGGATATAAGGTCCATATTTCTTTCTTTTGAGTTTTCAAACTGGGAGTCATTGAGCTCCTTGGATGTGTAGGTTGGTATCAGCAACCTACACCAGGAATGTGGTCTGCCATCTTCATGGCCACTGCTGAGTTGGAGAATAAGATAATGGTAAGCAAGTAAATTAAAACACCATAACCCACTGTCACCAAAATTCAGTAGCTGCTTTCTTCATTAAGCATTCCCTGGTTGTTGTAGGTTTCTGGTTAAATTCTGGAGTTCCAAAAAAGTCGATTCTGAGATTTACTAGCTTATTTCCTGTTTTTGTGGAGGGGCAGAATTTTGGAGTCCTCTATTCTGTCACTTTGGTGATGTCCTCTCCCTTGTCGTATGCATCTTATCAGAATCTTTAGATTTATATTAACTTAATTCCTGTGAGCTATAGAAACATTACTCTTATATAGCTCTATTCTTCCACCCCCATCTTTGTTTTTTTTGTTTTTTTTTTTTTTTTTTTTTTTTTTTTTTGAGACGGAGTCTCGCTCTGTCGCCCAGGCTGGAGTGCAGTGGCGCGATCTCGGCTCACTGCAAGCTCCGCCTCCCGGGTTCACGCCATTCTCCTGCCTCAGCCTCCCGAGTAGCTGGGACTACAGGCGCCCGCTACCACGCCCGGCTAATTTTTTGTATTTTTAGTAGAGACGGGGTTTCACCGTGTTAGCCAGGATGGTCTCGATCTCCTGACCTCGTGATCCGCCTGCCTCGGCCTCCCAAAGTGCTGGGATTACAGGCGTGAGCCACCGCGCCCGGCCCACCCCCATCTTTGTACTGTTCTTGCTGTGCAACTTGTGTTGGTTTTTGATTGCTGCGGTAACAAATTACCACAAATTTAGTGGCTTAAATAATGCAATGGTATTATTTTGCAGTTTTGGAAGTCAGAGTCTGAAATGAGTCTCACTGAGTTTAAATCAGGGTTTTGGCAGGGTTTTGTTCCTTCTGGGTCCTCCTCCGGGGAGGATCTGTTTCCTTGCCCTTTCCAGTTTCTGGAGGCCACCTGCATTCCTTGGCTCATGACTTCTGTCCTTCGTCTTTTATGCCAGCAACATCAGGCCAAGTCCTTCCCGTGCAGCCATCCCTCCAGTTTCTCTCTTCTGCTTCCCCCTTCCCCCTCTATGGACCCTTGTGATTACACTGGGCCCATCTGGCTAATCCAGGATAATTTCAATATTTTAAAGTCATCTGATTTACAATGTTAATTTTCCTTTACATATAACCTTACAGATAGATAGGTTCTGGGGATTAGAATGTGAACATCTTTGGAGGGCCACAGTTCTGCCTACCACACAGCTATATATGCTACAAACCTAACAATTGTTGTAATTATTGCTTTATATAATTTCATGCTTAAAGAAGCTGAAAAAAGAGAGGAGAGTACATATATATCAACAGTTTGCCTTCCTGTTGACCATTTCTGGCTCTCTTCATTTGTTGCGGTGGATTCAAGTTCCCATCTGGTGTCATTTTTTTACTCCAGTAGCTGTGTTTCTGTTCACCTGCTTTGTGCTGTTAGTCAAATATATTACATTTATATATTATATGGGCCCAATAATACAATTATATACATCTTCTTCTATATTATTGCTTTTTAAGCCAGTTAAGGGAAGAAAAGAGAAGAAATACCCATTTATATTGTCTTTTAAAGTTGCGTGATTACCTTTACTGGTACTGTATGTGTGTGGGTGTGAATTCAAGTTACCAACTGAGGTCACTTGCTTTCAGCTTGAAGAACTTCCTTTAGTATGTCTGATAAAATGGGTCTACTCATAATTCTCTGTTTTTACTTATCTGGGACTGTCTATATTGCACCTTAATTTTGAAAAATAGTTCTGCTGGAGAAAGATTCTTGGTTGACAGCTTTTTTACATTGGATATGCCATTCTGCTGCCTTCTGGCTTCCATTATTAGGAGAAGTCGGCTGGAAATCCCACTGGGATTCCCACATATGTGGCAAGTCATTTTTCTTTTGCTGCTTTCAGAATTTTCTCTTTGTCTTTGGCTTTCGGCATTTTTACTATGATGTCTCTGGGTGTGGATCTCTTGGCATTTATCCCGTTTGAAGTTTGCTGAGTTTCTCGGACACGTAGGTTAATGTTTTCACCAAATTTAGGGAGCTTTTTGCCACTGTTTCTTCCATCTTTTCTGCTCCTTTATACTCACTTGCCTCTTTCTGGGACTCCCATTGTGCATATGTTCATGCCCTTTATGGTTTCCACATTTTTCTTAAGTTCCGTTTACTTTTCTTCATTCTTTTTTCCCTGTGTCCTTCAAATTGCATAATGTCTATTGATCTGTTTTCAAGATTCTTTCTTCTGCCAGTTCCAATCTACTGTTAAGCCTCTCAGTTATGGTGCTTTTCAACTCCAGAATTTCCATTTGGTTCTTGTTTATAATTTCTCTTTATTGATAGTCTTTATTTGATGAGATATTGTCATCATCACTCCTTTACATAAGCATGGTTTCCTTTTTTCAAAGACATATTTCCAATGGCTGCTTTGAAATCTTTGCTGCAAAATCTGACAGCTGTTACATCTGACATCTGGGCTTTCTTACCAGCAGTGTCTGTTGCCGCCTTTTTTTCTGTGAATGAGTCATTTGTGTTTCTGTTGTGTGAAACTGGACATTTTGGGTCATGTGGCAGCTCTGCATACTGATTCCCCTCCCCCATCTCTGAGGCTGTTTGCAGTTGTTTGTGTATTTATTTGTTTCCTGATTTGGTTAGACTGTTTTCACAAAGTCTGTATTCTTCACAGTGGGAAGCCTCAGCTGTTGGAGGGCACAGCCTTGAGCGTGTGCAGGGTCATCCCGGGATGACAGTGATTTCAGCAGGGCTCCCTATGACTGTCCCTTTCTCTGATCTGTCTGTTACACTCTCTGCTTCATTTGGTATCACACCCAGCTACTAGGCTTCACTAATTGAGGGATGATTGCTCTATTATTTTCAACAATGTCCTGAGACATAAATTGTCACATAGTTTGATCCAATTAAATTTGGGTAGGGATGATTTTGAGGCCAGTCTTTGAAATTCATTCTCCCCCTGGAAGAGATCCTCATAACGATCTGTTCTCCTGATTTTTTTTTTTTTTTTCCAGTAAATAAGCTGGTCTGTGGTTCAGGTTGTTGTTCTCATAGAGCTGTCAGCCTCCTCTTAAATTCTTGCCGCCAGAATCTTCACTGAAGCCACCACTCCAGGTATTGGGCAGGAGGTAGCCTCTGATCTTCTTGGTTTGCCTCCCCCTAGCATGGAATATTTTTCTAGCAAGCAGGCTGGACTTAGGGTGATTAGGAGCCCAGCACTCTCGCCCTGCTGCACCTGAGACGGAGCTCCTGCCCTGAGTTAGGGCTGGGTGGAGGAAGGTGCTCCGGCCTTTCGGTCACACTCAGCAGGGAGTTACCCTCTGTCACTGGGAGTTGGAGATGATGAGAAACGCTGGTGGCCCATCTATCCTGGTGAAATACTGTATTCCTTGACTGGGATCTGAGGGAAGAGGGAGCCCTGTGTTCTTGGCCACACACCCCCAGAGTGGAACTCCCCATAAGCTGAACTGGAAGGACTAGAAGCGGGGAAGAGAGAGCAAGTGATGGCTCAGGTGCCACCGATTCTTGCTGTTCTTACTGGGATTTTTCTTCCCAAGATTTGGTTGATTTTCTTGAATAGATGATGTTGCTTAGTTTGTTGTGTGCTCTTAGGATAATTTCTAGAGACTTTAAATTGTTGTTGATGGTGACTTTTCAATACTTTTCACCAGTTATGGTTGTTCTGAGGGGAATGTGTCCATGGGGCTCCTCTCACCACCATTCCAGAAGTGGAATTCTCATGGCAGATGATTCCTAATCTTTTTTTAAAGGGCCACAGCAATAAGGAAGGTAGAAGACACTGGATATGTCAGGGTCATTCAAGGTATAATTAGAGATCCAAATCCAATTAAGCCAAGAAAAGGAGATTTGCTGGCACACGCGAGCAAGACAGCAGGCACCGCTGGCCCACACGAGGCTGCCAAGGCTCAGCGTCTCTCCTCCTCCTAGGACTTGGCTCTCTTCTGCAGAGACTTCCTTCTCAGATTGGCTCTTCACATACGCAGCCCCAGGCCTACGCTGTGAGCTTACTGAGCCAGGAAGGGAATATTTTTTTCTCCCAATGTTCAGATCTCATGGAAGACCCATGATTAGTCTCACTCCAGTCATGTGTTCACCCCCTGGACCAATCACTGTGCTGAGGGCATTGAGTACCAGGTGTGGGCTATGTGCCCCCCCACCACAGCCACTGGGGAGTAGCATGGGCATGAATTACCCATCCACCAGAGACACATTGGGTGGGGCAAGGCCCTTCCCGCTGGCGGAAAGGGGCTACTGGTGTGAAAAATCAACAAGATGGTCCCCCACTTGCCCCTTTTAAAAAATGCGTAGAGATAGGTACACACACTATTTTGCCTATAGTTTATTTTAATGCACTGTAAATCTCTTCGACATACTCAGAACTTAAAAAGAAACTTCATGTGCATTATCTCTTTTGACTACACTTTTCCTGCAAAAATGGTCACTTCCTGAAAAAGTGAAATAAATTCAAATTGCACAAGTAAAAGAAAGAGGAAACTTGAATTCTGCCCAAAGGAAACTTCTTCAAGAAGGCTGTGCTCTTTTGATTTTAATACACTGAAATTACAGAATGGCCTTTGACATGGCAATTTTCATGTCGTTTTGAACGTCAAATTGATTTTGACTCTGTTTGGAAGGCAGTGAGGCCCAAAGCCCTGACTCATGAAAGAGCAGAATAACAACCCGAACTCGCCTCGTTTTGCTGGACGTGGAAGCCCGGCTGGGTTGATCTGCTGTCTCCTCGTTTTCCACCAGCGTGAGGTCATCTCTGGCAGTGTGTGCCTCACAGAGGCTGGCTGGGGCAGCAGGTACTGGCCACTGGTGCAGGGTCCCATTGCCTGCGATGAGGGACACAGCTAACGTTCCCGAGGAGCTTCCAGGCACCTTGCACTCTGTCCCTGGCAACACAGTGACAAGGCTTTGTTCCTCCACCCGAAACAAGGCAGTGGCATGGCCTCCGGTTCTCGAAGGTTCACTCCTATCTTCCGCTCACACTTCAGTTTCTTTGTAGTCTTGAATCATTGTTCTCCAGCATATTCTACAGAGGGCCTTGGTCTACCTCACCCATGCAGCTAAACCCATCTATTAGGGAAACCAACACTCAAGCTCACTCCTGCCATTAAACTCTCCTGAGATTTGAGTTTCCTCCTCTTTCACAAGACCGGAAATCCCTTGTAAGTTAAGCCAAGCTCATTAACGTTGTCTTCTGCGGCATCCATAGAGTTCTGCCAGGAGAGTTGAACCCTGTTCCTCTTCCCTTTACCGGACAAAACCTCTGGGAGAGGTGGGCTCAAGCTCTGAATCTGGTGACGTTTATGGTTTCCGCAGCAGTGTGTCTATTGGCATCGCGTATCAGGGTCGAGGGTGGCAAGGCATGGGGTCTGCAGAGTTTCTGCCCTCCCCCAAACAGCAAGATCCACACGCACTGACACGCGTCACGGGAACTCATTTGACACAGGATCAAGTTTGCAAAATTTCCCATGAGGTCGACCATGACCACAGCTGTCAAGGTTTCCAAAAAGGACTCCCCACTGGATTTGGCCTTGGTCATACCTTAAACCTTCTTTTGCCAGCGGCCCCTATACCTGCATAATCCGTTGCAGTGTTGCATTCTGATGACCTTCTATTTTCCCGGTTCCCTTTTGCTCCGACCTGTGCTCCAGCAAACCTGCAGGCCATTGATGCTGCCGCCTTGTCACGGTCTCTCACACCACTGATCCTTCCCTCCACCCCTTACCCAGCCTCCTTCTCTTAAACTGCAGGTTCCCTCATTGGAGTCACTCTTGCTTTGTAACATCTACTGAACAATGCCCTAGTCCTGGTAAAATGAAACTTTCTACCTACTTCATGCTGGCACGGGTACCCCTGAACAAAGCTCAGCCCTGCTTCTGCTCTTGCTTACGATGATGTTCACCAGCAAGGTGCCGCTAGCAGCCAGACTGCTCCCCTCAGTCTGTTTGCCTCCTTCCAGATGACTTTTCATATCTTCCGTCCTCTGAACACCTCCAACATCTGCTCCCTATCCGCATTCACACCTGACGGCTTCCCTCGTCTGTCACCTACTCTCCCAGCTTTTTGCTCTCTCAGCAGCACCCCCTAGGTGGAGACGCCATCTTCGATTCCTCTCCTCTCACTGTGTCTTAACCCCACTTGGACCAGGCCTCTGTGTGTGCCACTCTGCCAGAGGCACCCTCCCCGAGGTCATCATGCTGCTGCATCTCCCTGCCAATCCTCAGTCGCCATCCCTAGCACGTGGCAGGCTAGTCCCTCCTGCTCCCTTGGTGTGGCTTACCGGACACCCACTTTCTTGGTCTAATCACAGCACTCACAGTTCATCCCCGTTTCCTTTGCTGATCCTTCCTCTTCCCGCACCCTCTGGGGTTGATGCGCCCAGGGCTCTGTCCTGGACGCTCCTTGGTCTCCCTCTGCACCCCTCTGTGGGCGATCTCATTCCTCTTGTTGCTTTATGTACCATGAAATGGCTCCCAGATTTGCGTCTCCAGCCCAGATCTCTCTCCTGCACCCAAGACTCATATTCCAACTGCCCCTCCACCTTCCATGCTCTCTGTATTGCCCACGCTCCTGACTCCAGCAGAATCTGCACCTCATCTGTCTCTGCACTCTTCAAATCCAAGTTCCAAGGCATTTCTCTACTTGCCAACCTCAATTTGGAAGTACCACCTCAGCACGCCCCTCACTGAACTCGCGCTCACCCTCTCCGCACTCCACCCTCGGCCTTCCCCAGCTCTGTGCACGGCTGATCCTTCCTTCCATTTGCACAGCCAAAGCTCTGCAGTTAGGGTTGACCCCTCTCTTCCTCTCACACTGATGAGAAACCTGTTGAGAAATCTTTTTAGGTTTTCTTTCAAAATCCACCCCGACCCTGATCACTTCTCACCATCTCCACGGTTGTCACTTGCGTCAAGCCTTTGTCCTCTTCTGATGACTTTGGGAGCCCCCAGCAGACCTCCCTGCCTCCCCACCCCCATGTGTCCTCAACACAGCAGCAGGGATTCTTTTCTCTAACAGCTTTATTGAGATATAATTCACATACTATACAGGTCACCCATTTAAAGTGTACGATTCAATGGTTTTTATTATATTCACAACATCTTCTCCCTCCCCAAAGACCCCACACCCCTTAGCTGTCGTCCTTCCTCCCCCACCACCTTCCAGGCAACCATTCATCCACTTCCTGCCTCTCTAGATCTGCCTACTGGGGCATTTCCTGTAAGAGGAATCCTGCACTATGGTGGAAGGGTCCTGGGGCGGTCCGTGGTCAGGGATCCTTTGATGCCTTCTGCTGGATCATGTCTGTCTTCTGCTGGAAATCCCACAGTGGCTCCTGCTTCGTTCAGCTCAGAAGTCAGCACCCAGCACCCGGGCCACCTACCAGACCCCACACGACCCAGCGCCTCGCCCTGGGACCCCGTGGCCTCCATTTTCCTTCTCACTCACTTGATTCCTGCCATCCTGGGCCTCCTTGCCCTTCTTTTCAAAACCCCACATGGGGTCCTCCTTCCGCCTGGATGCCCTTTCTAGACACCCTCAGCTCACCCTCCCACCTCATTCGAGTCTTTGCTTGCATGTTCCCTTCCAGTGGGACCTACCCTGGCGCTCTAAGGCTTTGTAGACAGCTCCCCCCGCACCACCTGCCCTGGCACTCGCAGACCCTGTGCCCTCCAGCCCCTTCCCGCAGCACTCACTGCCCTCCGGCATACTCAGAGCACTGGCACCCTCTGTTCCTTCTGCTAGCGTGGCCGCTCCACAGAGCAGGGAGCTGCGGTGACTCCCACGGTCTCCCAGGAGCAGTCCCTGAGGGGAGCTGGCCCCTACACAGTAGCTGGGGGTGAATCCGTGGACACCCAGCAGGTGAAAACCGGGACTCAGCTCCCTGGAGAGACGTCTGCGGTTCCACCTGCTGCATGTTCCAGAGAACTAGAGCAGCTCCAAGTTCCGCTGTGGCTTCCTTCAAGCTCAGGAGGAATATCTGTGAGCCCAGAGTGGATGGAACTGCTTGTTTCTTCCAAGCCACAGAACAGCTTGGCTGTTTCCAGAGTGCACAGCCTCCCCAAAGTCTCTCCAAGAACATGGCTTCGGTGTGTGTTTATTGTAGGATGTTCAAGGCCTCCGTGGGGCGGGGCAGGGGGACCCCAAGTTCTGGTTAAGTAACTGTCCTTTAACACCGCCGTTCTCAGGAGCCACAGCTACACTGCGGCGTGCGTGTCGGGAGCGATGGCTGCCTGGGACTCTTCAGCTTGTGGGTTTGCTCTTCCTTTCTCAAGCACCTTGCAGTACAAGAAGCACTGGGTTTTTGTGTCCTGGTGAATCCAGGGATCAAGGAAAACCAGAGGACACAGATGCTCCAAGATGCCTCCTTCCTTTCACCATTTTCCAGACAAAGCAGACAGGGACACAGAGAGGCCCAGAGCCCCTCATCAGGCCCCGTCTCCTTTAATTCCGTCCTCATTAAACCCTGCTAGACTTTCCAACATGCTGACCTTGAGAATCACACATCGCCTCATCTCCCCCAGCCTCCCAGAGCTGGGCAGCACCGCTTAACTGACGCGACTGGATCCAGGTGACGAAGCCTTTCTTGAGAGTAGCTGAAGTGACACTGTCTTAGTCAGTAGAGGCTGCTACCACAAAAAGCACCCCCAACACCAGGTGGCTTACATAGTGTTTATTTCTTTCTCATGGTTCTGGAGGCTGGGAAGTCCAAGATCAAAGTGCTGGCAGATTTTGTGTCTGCTGAGGGCCTACCTTCTGGTTCACACATGGCACCTTCTTGCACTTTGTCTTCATGCATTGCAAGGGGCAAGAGAGCTCTCTGGGGCCTCTTTTATGTTATTTCTACATTTTTAATTTAAAAAAATGTTTAGAGACAGAGTCTCACTCATCACCTAGGCTGGAGTGCAGTGGCACGATCCTAGCTCACTGTGTCCTTGAACTCCTGGGATCAAGCGATCCTCCTGCCTCAGCCTCTCACGTAGCTGGGGCTAGAGATGTGAGCCACCACATGCAACATATTTTTTTTTATTTTTAGTTTTTGTAGTGATGAGGGCTTGCTGTGTTAACCAAGCTGGTCTTGTACTTCTGTGCTCAAGCTATCCTCCCGTCTCAACCCCCCAAAGTGCTGAGATTACTGGTGTAAGCCACTGCACCTGGCCATGGGGCTTCTTTGATAAGGGCACTAATCCCATTCATGAGGCCCCACCCTCATGACCTAATTACCCCCCAAAGGCCCCACCTCCTAAAATCATCCCTCTGGGGATTAGGTTTCAACATATGAATTTTGGGGGTACAAATATTCAGTCCATAGCATACATCGAAGGGGGAAATTCTTTTTTCTGAAACCAGGTCTTGCTTTGTCACCCAGGCTGAAGTGCAGCAGCATGGACTCGGCTTACTGCAGCCTCAACCTCTCAGGGTCAGTCAGTCCTCCCACCTCAGCCTCCCGAGTAGCTGGGACTGCAGGTGCACCCCATTACGTTTGGCTAATTTTTTTTATGTGTATGGAGACAGGGTTTTACCATATTGCCCAGGCTGCTCTTGAATTCTTGACCTCAAGTGATCCTACCGCCTCAGACTTCCAAAGGGCTGGGATTACAGGCATGAGCCGCAGCAAAGAAAGTCTTTTTAAACGATTCTTTATCAGAGGCCTCTGACAGCTCATTCTTGTTCCCCACCTTAAGCACCTCTGGCTTTCATTGATATTGCTTGCTTGGGTCTTAGTGCCTCAGTCAGGGCCTGGAGGTTGGGATTTCCTGGTGAATTTGATGGTTAGTCTCCTGGTTCACCCTTACGGGAGTGGCTGGAACAATTGGCGTCCCTCTTCCCCAAGCACCTGAAGACAAGTCCTGCCCTTTGTGTGCTCAGAGAGGAGGGAGGGAAAGTGATTTCTGGGCCCAAAGTCCAAGACTTGGAGGGAGGGAAGACCCCAAACACAGCACAGAGGGACGATGCCCATCATTGCTCCCAAGGCAGCTCTTCCCCCTGCCTGGGAGCGGAGCTGACCTCATGGCAGAGGGCTAGGCAGAGTGTGGTTAATATCTCACAAGGCACAGGACATCTGGAAGCTGAGATGTGCCAAGAGGCTTTGAGGCTGAGCATATTTCAGGGCTGGGATGGGAGGGAGCTTCTCATCTGTTTAGTGGCAGCTAGACCAGGAGGGCACCTGGGACCAGGACCAGGCTAGGTGGACATGAGTGGTCACAGGAGGCTGAGGCTGCAGGGTGTCTGGGAAGGCACTTGGCCAGATGCAGAGGGCAACCCATGCCCTGAGGGTGGGGGCACTGTTGGAGCAATCCCAGTGCAGGGAGACCCCCAGGATCTAGCAGGAGCTCTGTGCAGGGCTCACATGGTTCATGGGGGCCCAGCAACAGAGAGGACCCTATTGGCAACCATCAGCACTGGATTCTGCCTTTGGTCTGAGCAGAGGTGGTCCACCCCGCTTCCCCTCTCCTTCCTCTCTGCCCTTCCTCTCCAGGGCAAGGCCTGGCCTACCAGCACTTTCGTTGGCCCTGCTCAGATGCTTGGGACTAGGTGGGAACAAGGCCCTCTCCTATGAGAGTTCCTGGCAGCACCAACCCCTAGGACCTGAGACAAAGGGGCCAGGTGAGTTTCTTTAAGGGCCCCTCGCTCATTCGATTTGGGGTCCCTCTGATTTCCATGCAGCCTGGGACTTGGTAGGACTTGGACACACATAGGCTGGCATCTGGCTCCATTGGTGTGAAGGCGTCAGTTCTGTCCCACACACCCTGAGCATTTCATGCTATTCTGAGGCATGAGGATGAGCTCGTATTCTTGCTCCTTGTCTATTCCTTCATCCCATTGTGCCAAACCTTCA